>NT_187660.1:4697716-4997716 GCF_000001405.40 Homo sapiens | reverse complement strand
GTAAGGATTGCCATATAACCTTTATTTTTTTTTGTTTTTATCAATTCAGGAGGTACATGGATTTGTGCAGGTTTGTTACACGGATGTATTTCATAGTGGCAGGGTTTGGGCTTCTACTGTATCCATCACCTGAAG
The DNA here is from genome assembly GCF_000001405.40 of Homo sapiens. Lineage (NCBI taxonomy): Eukaryota > Metazoa > Chordata > Mammalia > Primates > Hominidae > Homo > Homo sapiens. Next base: position 4,997,581 of record NT_187660.1, on the reverse strand, counting down.
AGTGAACCTTGTACCCAGTAGATTATTTGTTGACCCTCACTGTCTTCCCACTCTCCCCACCCCCAGCGTCTGTTATTTCCCTCTATATGTCCATGTGTAACCACTGTTTAGCTCCCACTTATAAGTGAGACCATGCAGTATTTGATTTTCTCTTTCTGAGTTATTTCACTTAGGATAATGATCTGCAGCTCCATCTATGTTGCTGCAATGGACGTGATTTCATTCTTTTTATGACTGCATAGTATTTCATGGTGTATGTGATCCACATTTTCTTTGTCCAGTCATCTACTGATGGACATTAGAGCCAACATTTAGGCCAGAAACAAAAACAAGTCCACAAACAATGAGGAGGTTGAGCGTGTATGCAGCTAGAAACTGTCTAACCAGCAAATTTTCTTTGATTAAATGCAAAAAGCCCTTACCTCCTAAGTGGGAGAAATAAATTCCAGACTTGGGACAAAGTCACATAACCTCACTGAGTCTTAGTCTCCTTGTGGGCAAAGTAATGTGGATACTTTTAAGTATCTTGGAATCTATACATAAGATGACACGTGTAAATATTTAGCACATTTGGGTGGCCTTGAGTATCTTTTCTTTTTCCTTGTTTAAGACTTAATCAGCTAATCAGTAACTGGAACTACACTTCTAAATGTTTTTATAGTTTTTTCCCAAGGATAAATGCAAAAAGCAATCATTTTATAACTATTTACTAAACATTTAAATTGTTTAAGTCAGAAAAACAAAAGTTATCAATGCATGTCATTTGTCACGTAGATACTAAGAACTGACTTGAGCATGGTACAGTGCTGGGTAAAGGAACAAGGAGAGGTCCCAAATATGGATAAATCCTGCTCGTTGTCCCTAAGTCATTCCAATGGTTTAAGAAAAATAAGACACCTACTCAGTTCTAAGATGAAATGCCTTAAGTACCTTAAGAGAGGCACAAAGTGCTTTGTCACTTAAGAAAAGAGCAATTACTTCTGGCTAAGAGAGATGAAGGAAGCTTTCATGACTTTGACACTTAAGCTGTAAATAGAAGAATGGGAAGAATTTGCATGCATGGAAATGACTCAGACCGTCATTGAGGGAACAGTAAAAGCAAGATGCAAAGGTGAGAAAAAGCCATGTACAAAGAATGTAAGTCGTTTGGGTGGGTCATGGAACACGTGGAGTGAGGTGAAGGAAAAGATGCTTGATCAGTAATCACATATAGTATTTTCTTTAATTTTTATAGCAACAATGTTATTAGGTGTGGTATTATTCACACTTTAAAGAGATGAGGAAATTGAGGTTTGGGGGTTACATGACTTATCCAAGGATACTCAGCTAATTAAACCAGCATACTACGAATACAACAACAGATCTGGGTCTGAAAAGGTAAGATAAGTAAACTGGGTTTATAGCAGGGAGATTGTATTGCCAGTCCAAAAGCATAAGATTTTGAATCCTATGATACAGTCCAGGAATTGGCAGACTACAGCCTATGAGCCGGATCTGGCCCACTACCAGTATTTGTCAATAAAATCTATCAGAACATAGCATAGCCCGGTCGTTGATGCATTTTTCAGATGGCTGCTTTCCCACTGCAACAGTAGAATTAATTTATTGTCCAGTGCACAAGTAAGAATGTTGAATTCATTGTAACTAACGTGTGCATGTGGGCAGGGAGATGGGATTACTAAATGTGTGTTTTAAGCAAATTGTATAACATTAGCTAAATAAAGAGCTAAGCTACTCAGCCACTTACAGATGCCAACAAGTATGTGATTAATATTAAGTAAGATATTTTTATTTGAAGCATGGAAGAAAAAGCATATTTTTTAAATGTCTGAGTTGATAGATCTTTAAGTATTTACTATTTTGAAGATTTTTTGAAGAAATTTTAAAAATAAAAATATAAAAGATAGCATATCACACCCATATTCCCACTACCTAGAATTATAACTATTAACATGCATCATATATTCTTTAAGATTTTAAGTTTAAAAATGAAGTATTACAGATAAAATGAAATTCTACTTGGCATATTATTGCCAGTGTCATTCTCTTCCCAGATCTTTCTAGCAATAACCTCTATCATGAAATTATTGAGTATCTTTCTAGTCTATTTTGAATACTTTCATATGTGTGTATCCATATATAAATACAGATAGATGTCTGTATGTATGGGTTCAATTTAAAATTATACGCACAGTGTAGCATACTGCATGCAAAGTAACAATAGCAGCTTACATTTATTCTGCTATTACCGCCTGCCTGGAGCTGTACTGCTGATACAGGACCCCACCGGTTACCCAAAGCTAGCCTTTGGGTCAGGGGTTTCCTCACTATAGTCCCTTCTGTGGTTGCCAGAAAGATGTTACAGGAAAGTGGTCCCAATCCAGACCCCAAAAGAGGGTTCTTGGATCTCACACAAGAAAGGATACAGGGTGAGTCTGTGGAGTACAGGGAAAGCAAGTTTATCAGGAAAGTAAAGGAATAAAAGAATGGCTACTCCATAGGCAGAACAGCCTTGAGAGCTGCTGGCTGCCCACTTTTATGGTTATTTTTTGATGACATGCTAAATAAGGGATAGATTATTCATGCCTCCCTTTTTTAAGACCATACAGGGTAACTTCCTGACTATTGCCATGACATTTGTAAACTGTCTTGGCACTAATGGGAGTGTAGCAGTGAGGACGACCAGAGGTCACTAGGTGGCCATCTTGGTTTTGGAGAGTTTGGGTCAGCTTCTTTACTGCAACCTATTTTATCAGCAAGGTCTTTATGACCTGTATCTTGTGCTGACCTCATGTCTCTTCCTGTGTCTTACAATGCCTTAGTCATCTGGAAATGCAGCCCAAAAGGTTCCAGCCTCATTTTACCCAGCTTCTATTGAAGATGGAGTTGCTCTGGTTCACATGCTTCTGATACTGTCTCAGTCCTCTTATTGATCCTATGTAGCATGCACTATTACTGTCATGTTTTTTAGGAAATAAGGCACACAGAGAGTTCCCTTGTGCAGGGTCACACAGTTAATAAGTGATAGGGCTGAGAATTAATTCTGCAATCAGGCTTTGGAGCCTGAGCTCTTGACCATCATCACAGATGGACTATTCACTGTATCACTGCAGGATTCTTCACTCTCAGTATCATGCCTCTGATTCCTGTGATTTTTGAATTTGTAGATCTAGTTCATTCCTTCTCACTGTTATACCCTATTCTGTTGAATGAATACAGTACATAAGCAGCATTGCACATTGCATGGTGGTTAAGACCTATGAAATGGGAATAGTAGAAGTTCCTATCTCACAGAGTTGTGAAAATTAAGTTTAATTCAAATACAGTAGGTAGAACAGCACCTGGTACAGATTAAGTACCCAATAAATGTTAGTTGTTATTTGCTATTCTCATATATCACCCTGTTGAACCTATTCATTAGGTTGTCTGTAGTTTTTCTTGATTGCATATATTGCCACAGTGAAAGCTCTGTGTCTGTTTATAATTCTTTTTGGTATCTCCCTACAAGAAAACTTGATGGCTCGTAGAGTGTACATGCTTTCAGTTTTACTTGATATTGCCAAACCCAACTAGACCAATTTCTTCTCCTTAGTGCACTGTGTGGCACTTCCCATTCCCCTGCATCCTCACAAACAGTTAATATTGTCTAATTGTTTACATTTGCCAACCTGATGGGTAAGAAATACTATCATGCTGAATTAATGAATTTTTAATAAGTTGTATTGAGATAGAATTTACATATCATAAAATTCACCCTTTTAAAGTGTACAATTCCATACACATTAGTATCACTTCACTACACAGTGGTTTTTAGTATGTTCACAAGGGTCTACAACCATTACCTCTATCTGATTTTAGAGGAAATCTTTGACTGGTTAGCAATAACTCCCCATTTTCCCCAGCATGGGGAAACCCATAGTTTTGCTAACCTACTTTCTGTATGGATTTGCCTGTTCTGAACATTTCATATAAATAGAGTCATGTGTTTTTGTGATTGGCTTCTTTCACTTAGCACAATGTTTTTGAGGTACATCCATGTTGTAGCATGTATCAGCAAATTCATTCCTTTGTATGGCTCAGTAGTATTCCATTGTATGGATATACCACATTTAATTTTTCCATCAGGTGATGGAAATTTGGTTGCTTCTACTCTTGATTACTATAAATAGTGGTTCTATAAACATTCATATGCAAATTTTTATATAGACATCTTTTCAATTTTCTTAGTTATAGATATATTTATGTACCTAGCAGTAGAATTGCTGGGTCATATGGTAATTCTGTGCTTAACGTTTTGGAAAACGGCCAAACTGTTTTCCAAAGCAACTGTGTAATTCTACAATCACATCAACAGTGTATAAGGGTTCCAGTTTCTTCACATCTTCATCTCTAGTACTTGTTACTGTCTTCCTTTCTGATTCTAGCCGTCCTAGTGGATGTGAAGTGGTATCCCATTGTGGTTTTGATTTGCATTTTCTGATGACTAATGATGTTGAGCATCTTTTTACGTGCTTATTGACCATGTGTATGTCAGCTTTGGAGAAATGTCTATTCAAATCCCTTGTCCATTTTTAGAGGAGGGGGTATAATTTGTCTTCTTATTTGAATTGTAAGAGTTCTTTCTGTGTTCCAGACACAAGTTTCTATCAGGTATATGATTTAAAAATATTTTTCCCATTCTGGAGGTGGAGGTTGCAGTGAGCTGAGATCGCATCACTGCACTCCAGCCTGAGCAACAGAGCAAGACTCTGTCTCAAAAAAATATATATATATATAAAATATATATTTCTATATTATACATATATGTATTATATAATATATAAATAAATGTATTATATAATATATAAATAAATGTATTATATAATATATAAATAAATGTATTATATAATATATAATAAATGTATTATATATTATACATAATATATAATAAATGTATTATATATTATACATAATATATAATAAATGTATTATATATTATACATAATAAATGTATTATATATTATACATAATAAATGTATTATATATTATACATAATATATAATAAATGTATTATATATTATACATAATATATAATAAATGTATTATATATTATACATAATATATAATAAATGTATTATATATTATACATAATATATAAATAAATGTATTATATTATACATAATATATAAATGTATTATACATAGTATATAAATGTATTATACATAATATATAAGTAAATGTATTATATATTATACGTAATATATAAGTAAATGTGTTATATGTTATACGTAATATATAAATGTGTTATGTTATACGTAATATATAAATGTGTTATGTTATACGTAATATATAAATGTGTTATGTTATACGTAATATATAAAGTGTTATATGTTATACGTAATATATAAAGTGTTATATGTTATACGTAATATATAAAGTGTTATATGTTATACGTAATATATAAATGTTATATTATACGTAATATATAAATGTGTTATATGTTATACGTAATATATAAATATAATATATAAATATATTATACGTAATATATAAATATAATATATAAATATATTTTTTGAATGGAAAAAAACCTACAGAATGAAAAATACATATATTTATATTTTCCCATTCCGTAGGTTATCTTTTTTCCCATTCTATAGGTTATCACATCTTAATTGATGTGAATTCGTGAATTTTAGTATTTGTAGTTTCACATTTCCTCAGAACTTCATTCTTCAAAATCATCTCATTATCTGCTAAGTGGATCACAAGCCAGATAACACTGAAGTAAATAATGCTCTGTGCACATAGTACTCCATCCATCAGAAACTACCACATTGTTCACAAAAACAGGCTTCAGCTGGTGAAGAAAATTAAATTTTGATAAAGCAGAGAAGCCTTCACACCTAATTAGGATTTGAATTTAATAACAAGCATTGAAAAAACATTTCAGTATTTTCAAATTGCTGATGGATTAATTCAAAAGCATTTGGGTTTATGTTTAACCTGCCTTAACTCTTTTCTTCTTTCCTTTTCCCTCTTCCTTTCTTTTCCCTCTCTCCCCTGTCTTTTCCCTATTTCTATTTCAGATTGAAAATGGCTCAGGAATCAGTCAGCAAGTTGACTTCAGAGAAGAAAGTGGAGACAAAGAAAATCAATCCCACTGCTAGCCTGGTGAGATATATTTTTCAACATAATCTAACGATTGTCATGAAAATTGAGGTGCGCCCAGGAAGGGCTAAAGCTCAGAGATGAAACATAGTATCCAGATTCTCAGTTCCCATCCCAGAGTAGCATATGGTTAAAAAAAAAAAAAAAAAAGTATGTGTGGGTGGAGGTACAAAACATAGCTTTATATGTTTTTCCTGTAAACTCAACATAGGTCATTTCTGATAAACCAAATTTAGTCACTTACCATTTCACATCCTTCCACACCCTACCCGCAGTACAGTCACCCTTATCTCAAAGTATCTTTTTCTCAAAATGTTTAAATATATTCATTCTCTTCAGTTCCTTTTCCCCATTAAAGAAAGAGGCAGGGATTCTCCTATTTTGATAGTTGGAAAATTTGAAGTGCAGAAAGATACAGCCTACCCAGGGTCACTTAGCAAGTGGATAACAAAAGCCAGGACCAGATTCTGGGTCTCCTGACATCTCTCCCTGTGCTGGAAACCAGCAGTCTCCCCAGCCTTCCTAGATGTGAGATTGCGTTGTCCTCCAAAGTCCAGTTTTCAGTAGAGATCACAATGAATCTCCACCTAGGTGTTACGGACAATAGTCAGAATAGCTACATGGTTAGGATCCCAGGATGCCGAGAATGAAATGGCCTGGGTTCAGATCACAGCTCTGCCACTTAAATAGTTGTAAAACCTTAGTGAAGTTACTTTGTTTCTTTCTCTTCCATGAAAAGAACATACTACTTTTTTTTTGGGGTTATTTTGAGAAAACTGAGAAAAGACATGTAAAATGCCTAACACATAATAAGAGCTCAATAAATATTAGTTGTTTTCCTTGTTGCTGTGAATTTCAGCTGCTTTGGTTGACCCTGCAATGGGGAATGGCAATGAGTGGGAAGTGGAAGTATCACCCTCCTCTCTCGGATTTTTCAAACTCTGTCCTCTCTGGGCCCTGATGTCCAACAACTACTTACTTTATCCTTTTAGATTATTAGTACCTTTTTGCTGGATGCTTCAAATCCTTTGAAAATATAAATGGGTTCTAAGTTATAAAGTGAGATTATTTCTGTTGATTGACCATAATGTTTCTCCCAACAACCCCATGAGCAGCTAAATGAATGTTGCATGAGGTTGATGAATGAGAAATGGAGAAGTCCGGGCTATACTTTTTGGTCGGGGAAAGCCATGGTTGAGCACATGGCCCCTACCTAACCGGACATGTCCTTTGTACCCGTTTGATGGTATATTTATGACATTCATTTGTATGACTTTCAGTGGCAGTCGGCTGAACCCTGATTTTTGTCTTCTTCCTTCATGAGCCTCTCCCTCTTCCTCAGACCTTTTATTTGGGCCTCTATCCAGACTTTTACAGCCAAGTTTGTTCCCCCAAGGCAGAGAGAATGGGGTCAGCCATATAGACAAAAGGGAAACAGTGGGTTTACGACCTCCCCTGTGAGCAAGCTCCCAGTTGTGATCCTGGGCTTGTTGGGGCTGCTTATTTTATTGTCTGTGTGGGTGGGTGGGTGGAAATCAGGGAAGAGCTTGTAAACTGATTCCTGATTCAATTTCGCAAGTTAGGGATGGGGTCCAAATTTAGGATGGGTGTCGAAAAATCATCAACTTAAGTTTATATCTAGGCCAATTTAGTAATTCACTGCAACATCATATCTCATAGCTCATAAGCAGCTAAGGATCCATTCTCAAAGGCTTCTCTCTGCATCTGCTCATTCCAAAAGAGTATACTTCTCCCTTTTCCATTTTAGCCTTCTATTTACCCTCCTCCCAGAGCAGGCACACCATCCTTACCATACTGATATGTGTGCTTCCCTAGTGTCACAGATACCATGGGGGTCCATGTTTCTGTGTAGTGTGCTCCTGTGTATTCTTACGTCTTCCCAGCAGATGTCCATGTCCTTCCCTTTAGAAGGCAGTCCCTGAGGAGGAAGCTCGGAGAATGAAGAGCATAACATCCATGGCAAATCGGGAACTTCTGCCATTCTGCAGAGACTAAATCTGGTCATCTCCCATTTTGCATGGCTTTTGTTGAGTTCTGCCAAGTTGATCATTGGAAATAGTAATTTTTTTTTTCATATCTTCTTGGGCATTCTCTAATTCCATCAATGAGCCAAAGGTAGGGACGGAAGGGGTCCTTGAGTAACACTACAAAGTTAGGGTCTTTGTCACAAAAGAAGAGAACAGAAAAGACCACCCTGGCATGGTAAAGGCCCGTGTTTTAGATGGATGTAGTTGGTAGATTGGCTGGTTATTGATTTCTTGTTTGTTTTTCTGGGGAGTAAGGGTGATAGGGAGGGGCAGATAACTAAGAGCTTAGGGAAAGCAGTAGAGGTACTCTCATTTCTAGGCCATTTGGCACAATTCCGGAAACTCAGCATTCTAGACCAAAATTTGAGAAATGTATCAAAACTTGAGAAAGATGAAAGAAAATGATACATTCATTTTTTTTTCCTTAACAGAAAGAAAGACTGCGTCAGAAGGAAGCCAGTGTGACCACTAACTAAGATGAAGACACATGGAAATGATGGCACTGGAGGTGGAGGACCTTGCACGCATACTCTTTGTGACCACAGGGTTGCAGGACGTTCTTGAAAGATGTGTCACTAAATGTTTGTTTTTGCTCATCTCTTTCTGAGGTCATCTGCAGAGAGTGCCCCATGCCTTCTTTAAGAAGTCCCTCATTAAGCCGCAGGAACAATGGAAAACTATTTAAGGGAACATTGCAGAAATATTTGATGACTGTTTCTTGTGGAAGCCCAAAGTCCACTCTAAGAGCAGAAGAAATACCAAAATGTTTCCAAAATTTTTTTAAAAGCTGAGATTTCCAGCTTTATAACCAAAGCTTGATATATGTCACATTGTCACAGAAGAGAGAAAAGATCATTGAGGACAGTTGCCTTGGGAGAGTTCAAGTCTTTGTCGTTACACACTGCTGTTTTGATTATTGGTCTTAGTTTTGATCCTGTTGCAGCAAAATCCTGCAGCATCTTTCTCTCCAATAATGTTGCAACTCACCAAAACTATTCTTGAAGAGGTCCAAGAACATGTATTATCCAGACTAAAAAAATGATTTTTTGTTGTTATGGTTTACGTGATGAAAAGGAGAAAAAACAGAATCATACCTGGGTGGAGAGAGGGAGACAAATAGCCATAAACTTCATCCTGGAGAACAAGTTACCATGCAAGGAGTTGACATCAGTTGTTCAGTGAGGCCCATTCTTGTTTTTACATCGGTCCTTTGTGGTTTTTCTGGGCCAGCAGAGATTCTGCACCCCAACTCCCAGGAGAAAATGTAATACCTGAGCAAGCACAGCCTTGGGTGTGCTTGGACAAGAGACCCAGCGGCAGAGCACCTTTTACATTTTGGACCGTTCATGAATGGACAATGTTGTGTTGATACGCAGCCGAGTTCTACGTTATGTGCTGTGACTGTGCAGCTGGACGACCCCCATCCCCAGGAGGCAGTTTCCAGACAGGAGAGCAAATGCAACTCACAGCACCTGCTCATGACCTTGGCTGATAGGCATGTGAAGTAGGATGAAGCAGGACTCTTTAATGTCAAAAAAACTGAAGGGCAGAAAAAAGGTTCCTTACATCAAAATGAAAGTAATTACATTAATAGAAAACTTCCAAGTGGAATATTGTTCACAGGCAGCTCTTTCTGACCCTGGCTCTTGAGTCACATAAGGAAACCACCTTTGACCTCTCTGACACTTTTGTCTTTAAGCCACGTCTCTGAAATCTTGTGAGGGGTGAAGAAAGAGGACTGGAGATGAATGGACAATATGATCAAAGACTCATTTTTAGGCCTTGAAGAGGCCGAGCTTTCTCCCCCCAATTGGTGGAGGACAGTCCAGAGATGAGCAGAAATCTTAAATTCCTTCCTGATCCAGCCTCCACATGTGGCCTGCCCCTTGCCCCAGCATCTTTCCAGAACCCCTGGACTTGCCAGGTGCCTGAGCATCTTCCCAGGATATGCCTGCCAGCCAGCAGCCCCTCAGGAATGCTTCTATAATAGATCCAGTAATGAAAGCAGCACCATATCCTAATCTAATGTCAGCTTCGAGAATGAAGACTGCAGTCAGGATCAAATCAAGTCACAGAAGCCATATTCATGCAGGTGCTAACCGCCTTTTCTACTGGTGCAACTGAAAGGAATATGGTAACATGGTTGGATTTTTAAAATTCACAATGAAGGAACGAGACAAGCAAAACAGAAAAGCCGAGAAGGAACATGCATGACTAAAAAGGCTTGAAGTTGCTTGTGAGCAACAAGCTTTTTATGCTGCTTTCTTACATAGTTTCTCTTCATTTTCACTTAACTCTGAAGACAACCAAAAGAACGGATCAATTAAAAACTAATTCCACTTATAACCATCATATGCTCCTTCTAGTGTTATCATGCACAAGAAAAGTGCCAGTTTTACCCATGCCATAGAAATCAGCTCTTTTGAGTTACATGGGGCCAGCAGAAGTCTCAATCCTTATAGGCTTGATGGTGAGAGCAGCGGGAGGTTTGAGGTGTACTCATTGCAGTCCAGTTTGGTCTCTAAATAGGATGCTTACGAGAAATCAGTGAAGGTAAGCAGGGCTGCCACTGTGGCCACGTAACCCTTCAGGAACCAGTGCTGAAGAATAATGAGTGAGAACACTTAATTTGAGAGTTAGACAAATACAGCCCACTTTGGATTTCATCCTAGTGAACAGACTAAAACTTTGCAGTAAAATACCTATTTCTACAAAGCAAGGTTTGCCTGCCTCGGTTGGGGAAACCTAGTGGTTTTGTCACACTAGTCGATGTATGATGTTAGTGTTGTAAGACACCATGGCAGAATCTTCATTATTCTCACCTATTCTGAACCCTGCGTCATGTATCTGGGATGCCCCCTCCCAAGTCCACCAATGTACCACGTTGCTGACACAGCCTTCATTTTTAACTCAAATTGATGCTCAGTAAAGGTCAATGACAATTTGTTCAAGGAAGTTCATCTAAAATAATCTGGAGGCCTTGAAAATGATCCCTCTAAAATGCTGTTGAGCTTGTGTTCAGTGTAGCAGGAGGATCTGAACTTTTCCTGGAGAGGAGGTGATCGGGATGCCATTTGGCAGCTTAAGCACATCCTGCCAGCAGGCTTTAAGTGGCTGTTCTAGGCATAGCCCTCCCTGAACTAGAAAGGAGAGTAACCAGTTTGCTATGCTGCGTCTCACCAGACACACCTGACTTAGTAGTAACTCTAAGAACCCTTAACTTACAAACAACTTTGTCTCCTCTTAGACAATATTCATTAAATCTGAGGACACAGTTTGACAGTAGTTCAGATTCTTGCATGAGCAATTGACAGCATCAGAGCACACAATATCATAAGTTACATAAATTACACAAAGTACATCATAAATTACACTACAGACACATTAGGTAAAAAGCATCAGGCCCGGGCCGGGCGTGGTGGCTCATGCCTATAATCCCAGCACTTTGGGAGGCCAAGCAGGGGCGGATCACGAGGTCAGGAGATTGAGACCATCCTGGCTAACACGGTGAAACCCCATCTCTACTAAAAATACAAAAAATTAGCCGGGCGTGGTGGTGGGCGCCTGTAGTCCCAGCTACTCGGGAGGCTGAGGCAGGAGAATGGCGTGAACCCGGGAGGTGGAGCTTGCAGCTAGCCGAGATCGCGCCACTGCACTCCAGCCTGGGCGACAGTGAGACTCCGTTTCAAAAAAAAAAAGCATCAGGCCCATGAAGTATCAAAAACCAGGTTAGGAGGTGTGCTGTATGGCTTTTATCTCAAGAAGTGGCAGCTTACTGGGGAAAAAGAAATAAGAAAAAGTGTGGCCAAGCAGAAGTGGATGTTTATGATGACGGTGGGGGCCCAGAAGTCATAGGTGATGGTCCTACTGCCCAACAGTTGCCTTTTGAATCCTTATGTTGATGATGGTGTCTTTCTACACACTCACTGCAACTACTCAGGAATTATAAAGATTTTCTGAAATCTGAGAAGTGGAATAAGGAAACCCAGTGGAGCTATTACACTTTTAAATGTTCTAGCCAAAACAAATTGCCAGTATGGTTGAGGAATTGAATATCAGATGGCATGCAGTCTCCCCTCCCCTCCCCTATCAAGGACAGTAGAAGCTGCAAACCTCTTCTCAGCCTCCTTCAGGCACCTCCTGTTTTCATAAGCACCATGAAGAATGGTGTTTCCTAAATGAAAAGTTCAGATACTGCTGGTAAAGAAACTGGAAAAACTGAAGGAAGGAATAAAATATGTTGGTGGTATTAACACCTCCAGTAAGATAAGTCATTGGTACGGTTTTTCTAAGGGCCGCAGTGAGATGTAGCAGAAGAAATATGTTTATTTTGGGCAAAGATTTGCTTATTGGCCTGGGATTGCACATTTTCTCTATGATGTTTGCAACAGAGAAATTTTCATTTTAATGATACTCTTCCTTTCTTGAAAGTTACATGTCCTCATTTCTGTTTCTGCTTCTCCCTTGGCCAGTGTCATTGATGCAGATCATTGCATACAACAGCACAGCAAATTGCGCCAAGTCAGTGTGTGAATGGGAATTAGCAATGCACGCTTGCAGGCTCTTTTTCCAGGAACCAGGCTGTAACATTGACCGGGGAACCTCTTCATTCCCTGACATACTAAATTGGTCAATTTTGTAGTACTCATCTCCATCCACAAAAACAACAAAGATAAAATCAATTTGGAGCTTTATATGACAAAAAGGAAGAAGTCCAAAAATATATAGCCTTCCCCCCTCCCACATATCTGATCCAAATATTAAATATCTGATTTTATAAAACAGTTTAAATTGTCTTTTTAAATTGCTAACAAGCATCAGTTATATTTGAGCTTCATTTTTCTTTTATCCTGTCTGTCCTAATAAAAACAAAAATGGCCAAAAAGTGGAGAGGAAAGAAAAAGCTTCCACTTTTTAAAATTTGTTTTGTATTAGTTATTTTACCTTTAGGGACCCTACAACTGAAGAGAGTGGAGAGAATAAAGAAGTGAACTTTCATTCATGTCTGCTACTTTGACCTCATAAAGAAATCTGCAACACAGATGAAACCAGTCTGTGTGGCCAAGCTGATGGGATTTGAAAAGAGTGGATAATTTTTAGCCTTTCCAAAATGCAAATAACTTGGATATATTTCCATTTTCCAGCTATAGAGAGAAACAATCCAGCTGCCTGGAAACTGTTATTAGTATAGAAGTGGCTTAAAGAAAAGCATCTTCAAATACTTGACTTAGCATATCTTTCTTCTTTAGACTTACATAATGATATTCATCTCTCCATTAGCAATTGAATCCAGGCATAACCGGGCTCAGTTACACAGCTTGTCTGTGACTGGGAAGCCCATTTTGTGTCATTTCTGCACACCTGTCCGCTGTTGACACCTTATTAGAGGCACTGCATTTTGGTTTCACAATTCTTCATCTCCCTTCCCAAGGAATGGGCAATCTACTGAACTTCCAGATCAATGCTTTGTTGGAAAGTGATGAATTTAAGAGAGTTTTAACATGTCAAATTTGAAGCCAATTCAGTATCCTTATTTGTTCCAAGACTCTTAACCAATACTGTGATATAAAGTTAGGATTTGGGAAACGTGTAGTTAACAACTTGGAAACATGAAGATATTAAAATGGCAGCTGGCTAACTGTCTCTTAAGCCACTATGCAATTTCTACCAATGGAGAGATTAGGGAAGCAAATTAAGCCTCATTCAGTAGGTCTGCTGTCTGGTGGAACTTACGGAACTCATTTCCTCCTCTATCCCCAGCCCTTCTCCTAACTATGGTGATAACCAGGGCCATAGAAGACCTTTTCTCTCTTACCTTTCTCTGATAGGATCGTGTCCTTCAGTCAAGAGCTCATGTGAACTCCAGACTTTATATTACATCTCTGAAGTTCTTGATGTGGGGAAGATTGACTTTTATTCCATTTTTATATGAAGGTGTTAGATATAGCCATCAATTTATTTTTCTACATTCCCTCTACGCTTATGTAATTTTCTATTTTTAAATCTTCTCTTAAATATACTGAGAATCTCTAGTCTCCTTTTCTAAAGGCTGATCCAACTACACTTGTGGGCTATTTTTCCAAGCTTTGTGTGAAACTTGATGACATTGGGCCAGCAAAATGCAAAGAAGACTATAGTTTCAGGCAGAAAATCACGTCCAAAGAATTTGGCATGGATTAAACAACCTCTACCACACTATAGCTCTCACATAGGCTGAACATTTTCCTAAATTCTACCTGTGCAGACACTGAGGGGCTCTCTACCTTTGAAACTATGAGAACGTCTTAAATTAATATGAATATTTCTCTCCATGTATAGTGTGAGCTGCCAATGCATTATCTTAATACATCAAGAAGGAAATCAGATTTCAGGCACACATTAGCAATTGTTTGTTAATGTCCTTGGCAAACGTGTACCTGCTTTCCTTCATTGTTCTCTTCAGGGGCTTTCTTCCACTTTCCTCTTATGAAACGAATGTGTTTTTGACTGTTAACTGGGTTCGCTTTCCAGATCTGTCTTTCCCAAATGAAAGGTTAGTCCCATAGACCACTGGCTATTCAGGGAAATTACTCTCTACCTCCCCATGACATGGATGATAAGTGTTGAGGGATGAACACTCTGGAAACTCTTAGCATGGATTTTGAATTCCAGATTTCTTTATAGGAGATGTATAAAAAGGAGTTTATAGCATACAAAAATTATACTGCTCTTCCCAGTAAGGGACTAAAAGGACATTTGAAATCTTTACATTTTAGATGTTTTTGTGAATTATAAATATCTCCTTTTTCCTCGCTTCATGCTAACTTGTCTCTAGATAAAATCTTATTTCTTCATACATTGGACCACAAGGCATAAAGAAGGTAGCTCAGCGCCACTGAGATTGTGTTCTGCATAATATTTGGAAGGCTTCCATTTCCATTGAAAACAAATCCATGAGTGAGAGGGAAAGTCTAGTATCAATTCTTCTGTTTGCTCGCAATGACACAAATAGGTTTTGGGGATCTACCTAAGGGATAGGTCTACTCCAAAATTATTAAATTTATAATTGTGCAATTCTGTAATTTCCCAAGGCATAAGTAATATGACCCTACTGTCAGCTAGATGTCTTATCTTCAAAGAGAGTATGCATTAATAAAAAGAACTTCCCTTTAAAGAACCAATCTAAAATACTAAAAAGGCAGAAACTTTTAAAATTAGAAATTGGATAATTTTTAAGAATCTTTAGAGAAAACATTGGTTTATCATAGTCTTTTTCTTTCATTGAGTTTTCATTTAGACTAGCATGGCAAGCAGGGTGGCCTTGGACTTTGATTTAGGGGATCGTGCTTTGGCCTGGAAAATAAGCACTGGCCTGCATGCCTAGAACCTGAGTGAAGGCAGTCAACATCCTAGTATGAATCAGACCTAGCAGAAATGTAAATTATTTCAAGTACTTCAGGGTTTAGTTTTCTTAGTGACACCCTGGACCCTGGATGCTGCTTTCTAAAGTGCACCTGATCCATGCAGTTTTATGTCTTCATATAACTGGTATCTTGTGAGTTTGCAAGCAATGGGATGAGCAAGAAAAAAAGGACGCATGGAGGAGAAAAATTTGAACGAGGCTAGTGCAATGTTTTGCTGATAGATTACATTGTTAGGGAGCTGGTGATTTTTTGCCATGGTCGTATCGTGGACAGCTTTTCCGTGGAAATTCAAGGCATCTGTATTAGGCAAATGTGAGTGCCCTTGATCTTGTATTGATCAGTGCCAATGTACTGGGAAAGCAGGTACCCCAGTGAAACTGGTCTGTGCTTGGTTTAACAGCTCCAACAATTTCAGATCCATGGGGCTGCTTGACCATAGACCCTGTTTACTCCATGCCTGTTCAAAAGTCATTTTGACTTCTAGCTTTGTTTCACTTTCTTCTTTCAATACTTCTGTTTCCTCGTCCTTTTCCTTCATATTCCATGGCTATTTCTTTCCTACTTTACAGTTTCCCCCAGACCCAGATTTTTTCACACCTCTGCATCATAGACAACTGAGTAGCTCCCTTGGCCCCTCCTCCATCCTCTCACACCCTGTGCTCCGTTCCTCAGCCGTTTGGACAGGGAGCTCCGCTGTCACCAAGGAGCCCATGTGAGACACACTGCTGTGACTGCCTCTTGTTAATGTCAGCATCACCTCATCACTTAAGCAAAAAGGAAAATCCATAAAAGAGATGGAAAATACGTCTCTTTTTATTTTATTTTAAGAAGATTGGGCGGGGTGGGGGGGGGGTTCTTATTCTAGGCCTTCTCAATTTCTCATAGATTTTACCTTAAACTAATTAAGGCCATTCTCTTGATAAATTTGTACATCAGACCGGGTCACCAGCTATGATGCAGAACGCCAGATTTTTGAATCTCAAGTAACTTTCTGTGGTGCTGGACAAATTGACTTAATTCTGTGCAGGCAAACACTTTGAATCATAAGGATTTTTATTGCCGCTCCATTCTTACTACTATTCATGATTCAAACATCTACCCCTGTTCTGAATCAGGATGTTGACACTTCTTGGTTATTTTCAGATGAACAGTAACTGCTACACTCTTGAAAGCACTTAAAAGTGCAAGCATGTCCTAAATAGCCATTTAACCTGGTAAAACATAGGCTTTTCTGTTTAATTAAGTATTAGACCAGTCTGTAGATATAATCTGAAAAGATTGTAGGCAGTAATGAAGACAGTTGGGGAAAGGAGAAGGCCCTTTAAAGACATGAAACCTTACACGCTCTTGGGATATTTTTAAGCATAATAAGCTCATTGGATTCAGGTATTTTTCCCTTTGCATTTTTAAAAATACGTATTTCTAATTTGTTTGCATATTTAATTTTGTCAAAGCTGAGAAATGCTCATGAGTTGAATTTATAAATGTCATTTGCAACCAAATGAAGTATTTATTTTTAAAAAGAGAGTGAAGGAACCAACACTGATTTGTACATAATAAAAATGTGTGTATTATATATATATATTTTTTCCTCCTTGACAGTACTTGGTCACAATATCAAGTGTATTTTTGTACATAATATATATTGATTAGAAAAACGTCAATTGTCTATTCAAAAAATTCTATCTCTGTGATAGATTATATTTATCCTAATCTGTTGATACCTCTGTTAATTTGTTTTAAGAGAATTATATTTTTTGGAATTTACAGAGAATTGCATTCATGGCTTTCAATTGTAAATATGCTAAGGGTATTTTAATAAATCTTGGTTTCATGTCCATCTGGTGTGCAATGCAGATTTGTTTTCAGGAGGCATGTAAAGCAATATCCCAGTAGTACTGTAATGTGGAGAACACCAGTCATTTCTAACTTGCGTTACCACTCAGGTACACTATTCTGAGCTGCAAGAGCTGAGTCTGAGGAAGTCTATCGTTGGTATTTCCGTTTTTCTCCCATTTGTCCCCTATCAACTGTGGGCAACTTGGCCAGACATTCAAGGCTAACAACCAACAGACAAAACCAGCCAGGCATTGTCTCAACAAGGCTTACCCAAAAGCAACACTTCCTGAATATACATTGCCCAAGGGACGGGGCACAAAGAGATTGGTGACTTCAGGCTATAGGTTGAAAATAATAAACTGGAGAAACAGAATAGAAACATAATTGTATGGATTCTTTTACTAAGCACAAGGTACACATTCTTTTCAAGGAATAATATGAAGCATGCAGGTATTTTATAAACATAAAACACTTTAAGCAAAACAGTCTTCTATTTAAATACAAATGTAATTGTGCTTTTTAGTTAATTCATTTCTTTGGTGTTCCTGAATGCCGTACGCTACAGTTCTAGATATTTGCTGCAATATACCCTATTATGTATAGCAATGTTTAATGAACATACATAGTTATTATCTAGGAAGACATTTCACCACTACAAAATCTTCTAAATCATAGTCAGTGAGCTGCAAAAATCTTTGGACATTGGAGAAAATATCTCAGTAAAACTTCTGAAGTTCAAGGGAATTGCTAAAAATCACACTTACTGTTGGTGAACACTTCAAGACTAGAACCCAGATTTCTTGACACTAAGGCCAAAGCCCTTCCAACTGATGGATTCATTCATCAAATTAGACCGCTCTCTCCTTCAAAATACTCTATCATGGAGAAATATTCTAGAACTATTCTTTGAAAAGAAGAATCCAAAGGCCGCTAACATTTTTGAGAAACATTATTAGGTTTGTGTTCTGAATTACAACACCTATGTGAGGGTAGAGGCCTGGATGTCATAAGGACCCAGGAAAAAATACCAGCACACCATAGGAAGAATCTCATCTCTGGTCTAACCAAGATTTACCCTCCCTTGCTTAGCTAATGAGTATACATCTTTGCCTAGTCTTTAAATAGTCTATGAAGCTGATGGTCCAACTAACATCTGTTTTAGTACGTTTTGTGTTCCTGTAACAGAATACCTGAGAATGGGCAATTTATAAACAGAAATGCATTGTCTAACAATTCTAGAGTCTGAGAAGTCCAATATCATGGTGCCAGCATCTGGCAAGGACCTTCTTGGTGCATCATCAGACGGCAGAAGTCAGGCCACAGAGGCAAGGGGGGGCCTAGCTTTTTTCATACAGCATTAATCCCACCCATCAAAGTGGAGCCCTCATAGCCTCATCACCTCTTAAAGGTCCCATATCTTAATACTGTTACAACGGCAATTAAACTTTAACATGAGTTTTAGAAGGGACAAACATTCAAACCATAGCACAGGTTATAAATCCCTGAGGCTAAATATTCTCCCCCAGATCGGCTGCCCACTTTCACCTTGCTGTGATTGTCATTATGGAAATAAAAGACTTTAAAGTTCTCCACTGGCCCTTCATGCACATTAGATGCCACTGAATCCAAATCTTCTGAAGGTAATGTTTGCTTCATGCCCATCATTGTGCAATGATAAATTGTAGGAGAAAATATATTAGTTATTAATTGCTGTATAACAAAATACCCCAAAATTTAGTGTATTAAAGCAACAATATTACTTCTCTTGGCTTTTGTTGATCAAGAATTTGAGAAAGGCTCAGCTGGGCTGTTATCACTTGGAGTGTCTCATAAGGTTGTAGTGATATGTTCATTAACATATCTGTCATCTAAAAAATTATTAATATGAGCCTGTCATCATCTGAAAACTGTATGGCTTGAGTGGGACTGGAAGATGCCCATTCTAGTTAGCTGACTCAGCTGGCAAGTTGGTGCTGGCTCTAAGCTGGAAGCCTCAGTTCCTCTCCACATGGGCGTCTTGAGTGGTCCAAAGTGAAACATGTAATGTGCTTTCTGACCAAAGCTCAGAAGCTACACCCAGTCACTTTCATATTGAGCTATTTATAAATGATCTGTGCAGACTGGGGAAGTGGGGAACTAGACTCTGCCTCTTGATGGAAGAATGTCAATGCCACATTGTAAGAGCATGTAAGATGGGATGTATATTGGTGAGACCATCTTTGGAAAATACAATCTGTTACAGCAGCTTGCCCTGTTTTTTCTCTCTAGTCTTTCTCCTCCTTCCCTTGTTCTAATTTTTGTCCTAAATCTAGGTTTTAGATTTCTTTTTCAAATTTTTTCCTACTTTTCCCCAAATCTTCCCTCCCTCAATCTGCATATTGGAGCACAGACATGTTTGTCTTGCCTCTCTGGAATAGAGGCACTCTTTTTTTTTTTTTTTTTTTTTTGAGACAGAGTCTCGCTCTGTCTCCCAGGCTGGAGTGCAGTGGCGCGATCTCGGCCCACTGCAAGCTCCGCCTCCCGGGTTCACGCCATTCTCCTGCCTCAGCCTCCTGAGTAGCTGGGACTACAGGCGCCCGCCACCACGCCCAGCTAATTTTTTCTATTTTTTAGTGGAGACGGGGTTTCATCATGTTAGCCAGGATGGTCTCGATCTCCTGACTTCGTGATCTGCCTGCCTCAGCCTCCAAAAGGGCTGGGATTACAGGTGTGAACCACCACGCCTGGCCTGGAACGGCTGTATTTACCCAATATCTGTACCCCCATTGTATCTAGGATGTAACTAGCTTGCTTTTGATTTTACAGGCTCATAAGCAGAATAGACTTGCCTTGTCTCAGATGAGACTTTGGACTGTGGACTTTTGGATTAATGCCGAAATGAGTTAAGACTTTGGGGGACTGTTGGGAGGGCATGACTGGTTTTTAAATGTGAGGACATGAGATTTGGAGGGGCCAGGAGTGGAATAATATGGTTTGGCTGCGTCTCCACCCAAATCTCAACTTGAATTATGTCTCCCAGAATTCACACGTGTTGTGGGAGGGACCCAGGGAGAGGTAACTGAATCACGGGGGCCGGTCTTTCCCGTGCTATTCTCATGATAGTGAGTAAGTCTCACGAAATCTGGTGGGTTTATCAGGGGTTTCTGCTTTTGGATCTTCCTCCTTTTTCTCTTGCTGCCACCATGTAAACAGTGCCTTTCACCTCCCGCCGTGATTCTGAGGCCGCACCAGCCATGTGGAAATGTAAGGTATGTCTCAGTCTCAGGTATGTCTTTATCAGCAGCGTGAAAATGGGCTAATACAGTAGGTCTTGCAAGGAAGAGCCTCTGAGGTGGCAAAGCCTTCAGTGGTAGATACCAAGTTTTTATTACAAGTGACTGCAAGACTGTGTCAGTTAAGATGGCTGTTTGAAGCTCCTGAAGGCTTAATTTTTTTTATGGTCACAGAGTCCTCTGGTGAAAACTGATAGTGGAAGAGTGTGCTTGTTTGTGAACTTATCTGGTTGGATGCAATCTTCATTTCTTTATATGTTTATTAAACAAAACATGTTATCCTTATTGGCAAAGTGCCCTATGAAATATAAAGTAAAGTCTTTTTCTAAGATGGAGTTAGTTATGTCCGAGGTGCTCTACACAAACAGCCAATACTGTTTTTCCTGGGACCATCCCCTTTTGAACTTCACAATTGGAAATTACTGTCTCATTTCCTGAACCCAAACCTTGCCACTCGATTACTTAGTCTGCATGTGAGTTGATTCATTCTGGCCTTTCCCGTTCCTCTAGGGGTGAGATATTCTTTCAGTTCTAGTTAGCCCACAACAGTACTTTATTTATTCACTTGGACTTTTTGCATTTCAATTTCCACATCTGTTTAGACCAGAAGATTTTTAAGCTCTGTAAGCAGCTATTGTAGAAAGCACCGTATGAGCTCCTGTCTTCAAGACCTACAATATACCAAAGAGGAAACACACCACTAATAAAAACGAATGGGCATTTACACTAAACACATTCTATTTGGGAAGAGGCCATTGACACTTAGAGCTGAAGACTGGCTCTTTAGACATTTCTCTTGAAGAACGGCAAAAAAGAGAAAGCCTATTCCAAGCAGCATAATGACCCATGTGGGAAGCAGACAGTAAATACGGAAGCCCTATAACCACATTTGCAGATAAATCAAAGGATATGGCAGGGTGTTGTCCAGGCAGCAGTAATGTGTGTATGTAGATTCATCCTATGTTGAGGCATGGTAGGTAATATGGGTCTCCTCACTGAGAGCAACAAGAAAGACAATTTTTAAAAATTTACTTGAAAGACTTTACAAAGTAAAAATTACTGAACTAAGATTTGAGAGAAGATCAAAGAGATAAAGATGACATTTGGCATTGCTTTCCACCCAGGGATTCTAAAAAAGATTACTGAGCGGCTGGGAAACTTTGATGTGTTAGAGGTACAAAAGTGAGATCAGGCACCATTATGTTTAAACCTGATAAAATCACCTTGTTTTGGGTTAAGGGAGTGGTTCTCAAGTACCAGGGACATTTGGCAATGTCTAGAGACATCTTTGATAGTCAGGACTGGGAAGGGATGCTGTTAGCATCTAGTGGGGAGAGGCCAGGGAAACTCCTAAACTTCCTACAAGGCATAGGACATCCCTTCCACAATAAACAATTATCAGACAGAAATTTCAATAGTCCTGAAATAAGGCGATACCAGATGGCTAGTGCTCTCAAGTGCCTGGAACAACAGCAGCACAATCCTTTCTGGAGGTATATAATGTCATCCTACATCTGTACAAACAAACCAATTTTTCAAATAAAATTTCTGTCACACAAGGATAAACCAGCATACAAGGAAACAACAATCATGAATGAGAATTAGTAGGAAACATGCTCAATAGAACAAAACATGCACAGGCTTGACATATTGAAGCTATCAGCTTGCAATGTTCAGGGAGAAAAAATGAAAAGATTGGAAATTTTGGCAAAGAACTGAAAACCATGAAAAGATTACAGGGCAAATTTGGGAGAAAGAAAAATTCTAGAACCAAAAAAATGCAGTAATCCCAATTAAGAATGCCCAGGATGGGCCAGGCACGGTGGCTCACGCCTGTAATTCCAGCACTTTGGGAGGCCGAGGCGGGCGGATCACGAGGTCAGGAGATCGAGACCATCCTGGCTAACACGGTGAAACCCCATCTCTACTAAAAATACAAAAAAATTAGCCGGGCGTGTTGGCAGGCATCTGTAATCCCAGCTGTTGGGGAGGCTGAGGCAGGAGAATGGCATGAACCCAGGAGGCAGAGCTTGCAGTGAGCCGAGATTGCGCCACTGCGCTCCAGACTGGGTGACAGAGCGAGACTCCATCTCAAAAAAAAAAAAAAATGCCCAGGATAGGTGTTACAGCAAATTAGAAATAAAGTAATAGAGAATTGGTAAACTGAAAAGCAGGTCTGAAGAAACAATCTAAAATGAAACTCAAAAGAGATGAAACATTGAACAGAAGGTAAGAAATGTAGAGGATACAGTGAGAACAGAAGTAGTAAAGCTATATTAGCAGGGTTGATGGCAAAATGTTCCAAAACTAAAGCAAAGCATCAGCCAACAGATTCAGGAAGCTGCCGGAAACCCAAGCAGTATAAAGGAAAAGAAATTCACTCCTAGATGCATCTTAATTAAACTTCAGGAAAACAGAAACAAAAATAAAATCTTAAAGGCATCCAGGGAAAAAAAGACATTAAAATCAAAGAGTTGTTATACAGGTTGAGCATCCCTAATCTGAAATGCTCCAAAATCTGAAACTTTTGATCACTGATATGATGTTATATGTGGAAAATTCCACACCACCTCATGTGATGGGTTGTAGTCAAAATGCAGACGCACAACCTCAGTTTATTCAGGATTTCCAAGGGAAAACAGACCCTCCAGCCATTTAAAAATAGCCATGCAGCAGAATGCCTCCTCATTCCTGGAGGACCCACTTCCTCGTCTCTCAACTGCTTCTAATGTTTCTTCTCATCTAGAAAGGTAAAATTCAGTGTATAGTAACCTTTTCATCGAAACACACATCAAAAGTAGAGATTGAAAACTTGCCGTTCTTTGTGGTTGCTATTGTTTAAAAACTGATACAGGTATTCTGGTGACGCTACTGTGCTGCTTAGTTACCCTGAACATTATTTTTTCACTGGATTCATGGTACCTCCTAGTTTTTACTGTTGGGTACTTGTGTGAGTAAGTGTAAGAAAAAGATTGCTTCTCGGTTGCATATAAATTCAGTCAGTAAAGATGGTGATGCCAAACAATGACAGATTGTCCATACAGGTGGCTGAAATAATGGCACCTGTGCTTTCTGATGGTTCAGTGTAAATAAACTTTGTTTCATGCACAAAATTATTAAAATATATACAATTACCTTCAGGCTATGTGTTTAAGGTATATATAAAACAAATGAATTTCACATTTAGACTTGGGTCTCATCCCCAAGATATCTCATTATATATGTGCAAATATTCCAAAATCCAAAAACATTTGAAATCTGAAAAACTTGTAGTCCCAAGTATTTTGGATAAGAAAAACTCAACTTATAGTAGGATGGTAGATTTAAACTCATATTTGTAATTATGTTAAAAGTAAATAAATTATATACCCCAATTAAAAGACAAATTCTGTGAGAATGGATTTCTTGGGAAGACCAAAAATCTTTACAGCTACTGATGGGATATACAAAGATTCAGAAAGGGTGAGAGTGAAAGGATAAAAAGTGTATAAATATACCATTTAAAGTTACAAAAACTAGATCATTAGCTGATTTCTCAAGTGAAAGCATGAAATTCAGAAGATAATTATATGATTTATTCAGTGTTCAAATGACACACACACAAAAGAGAAAATTTGTCACCTGAAGCCCTGCCCTAAATTGATATAGCTACATTAATATTCACTAAAGTATACTTTAAGAAAAAAAGCATTACATTAATAGGAACACTTCACATTAAGAAAAGGCTTCACTTACTCGGAAGATAAAACAATTTCATTTTTTATTTATGTAATGGCATAGTCTCTGAATATTTAATAGAAAAATAGAATTATAAGGAGAAACAGAAAAAGCCACCCAACACTGTGGGAGTAACTGACAGGTCACACGGAGAGAAATTAGAAGGAAGTAGGATCATGAACACCATGATTAATAAATCGACCTAATCTACATATATAGAACACAACACTCAACAACTCTTTAAGCACATACAAATGTTTACAAAAATTGACTATGTGTTAGATCGTAAGGCAAGTCTCAACGAATTTAAAATAACTGAAACTATAAAATATGTTCTGTGAAAGCAAAGCAATTAAAATGGAGATAAATAGCTTTTTAAACTAGAAAATTTCTACATTTATAAACAGTAAGAAACGTTCTTCTAAATGACCAGTGGGTAAAAAGAAATCGCAATGAAAATTTAAAAATATTTTGAGCTGAGAGATAATATTTTTCGTGGAAAAACTTGCGTAATAGAGCAAAATCAGTGTTTAGCAGGGAAGTTATAATCTTAAGTGTATAATTACAAAACAAGACAAAATATTAATCTCAAGAAATTAGGCATGCTATAACAAAACTACCTTAGGGGGAAAAAAGAAATTAGACAAATAACAACATGTAGAATCAAAAGAAAGGGAAGAATGAAATAATTAAAGTAGAAAACAGAATTAACACCAAAAGATGATTTTTTAAAGTCTAATAAAGTTTTTAAACCGTTGGCAAGACTAAGTCAAATGAGAGCATGAGAACGAATATCAGAAAGCAGGAACAGAAGACACCAAAAAAAATGGAAAAATATTTCATGTTCATAAAAGGGAAGAATTAATATTGTTGAAATGTCCAGACTACCCAAAGCAATCTACAGATTCAGTGAAATTCCTATCAAAATACCAATGACATTCTTCAGAGAAATAGAAAAAACAATCCTAAAATTTATACAAAACCACAAAAGACCCAGAATAGCCATAGCTATCCTAAGCAAAAAGAATAAAACTGGAGGAATATATTACCTGACTTCAAATTATACTAGAGAGCTATAGTAACCAAAACAGCATGGTACTGGCATATAAACAGACACATGAACAGTGGAACAGAATAGAGAACCCAGAAACAAATCCACACACCTACAGTGAACTCATTTTTGACAAAGGTGCCAGGATCATACACTAGGGAAAAGATAGTCTCTTCAATAAATGGTGCTGGAAAAACTGGATATCCGTAAGCAAAAGAAGCAAACTAGACCCCCATCTCCTACTACATACAAAAATCAAATCAAAATTAATGAAAGATTTAAATCTAAGGCCTCATACCATGAAACTATTACAAGAAAACTTTTGGGAAAATCTTCAGGACATTGGTCTGGGCAAAGACTTCTTGAGAATTATCCCACAAGCACAGGCAACCAAAACAAACATGGGTAAGTGAATCACATCAAGTTAAAAAGCTTCTGCCCAGCAAAGGATACAACCAACAAAGTGAAGAAACAACCCACAGGATGAGAGAAAATATTTGCAAACTACTTCTCTGACAAGGGATTAATAACCAGAATATACGAGGAGCTCAAACAACTGTATAGGAAAAAATATAATAATCTGATCCAAAAATGGGCAAATTGAACAGACATTTCTCAAAGGAAGACATACAAATGGCAAACAGGCGTATGAAAAAGGTGCTCAACATCACTGATTATCAGAGAAATGCAAATCTAAACTACAATGAGCTATTATCTCACCCAAGTTAAAATGGCTTATATCCAAAAGACAGGCAATAACAAACGCTGGCGAGGATGTGGAGAAAAGGAAACACTTGTACACTGTTGTTGGGAATGTAAATTAGTAAAACCACTGTGGAGAACAGTTTGCAAGTTCTTTAAAAAACTAAAAATTGAGCTGCTATATGACCCAGCAACCCCACTGTTGAGTATATACCGAAAAGAAAGTAAACCAGTTTTGTTGAAGGTTTGTCTTCACTCTAGTGTTTGCTGCAGCACTGTCAGCCCTGTTTACAATAGCTAAGATTTAGAAACAACCTAATTGTCTATCAATAGATGAAGGGATAAAGAAAATGTGGTACATATACATGATGGAATACTATTCAGCTATACAAAAGGACAAGATCCAGTCATTTGCAACAACATGAATGGAATGGAGATCATTATTCCAAGTGAAATATGCCAGGCACAGAAAGACAAATATCACATGTTCTCACTTATTTGTGGGATCTAAAAATGAAATCAGTTGAACTCCTGGACATAGAGAGTAGAAGGATGGTTACCAGAGGCTCTAAGGGTAGTGTGGGGCCAGGAGGTGGGGAGGGGGTGAAGGTGGGAATGGTTCAAACAAACAAACAAAAAAAGAAATCAGGGTGAAAGAAGGGACCCATGGAACATCACTATAGAGCCTGTAGAAGATTAAAAAGATGATTTTAAAAACCTTTAACCCAACATATTTTAAAATTTAGATGAAATCGAAACATTCTTCTAAAAATATTCAATTCACCAAAACTAACAAAAAAATAGAATATCTGAATCTTTCTAAAATTATTAAACATAATCAAACTAAACCCAAAGCTTTCACTTAAAAAATTCATCAATCATTTAAGGAAGAGATTACATGAAACTTACACAAACTCTTCTCGAGAATAAAAAAGAAAGATGATCAAATAATCTTGATAATAAAATTTGATAAAGGCACATAACAAAGGAAAATTACAGGTGATTCTCAGTCATAAGCTTAGATCCAAAAATCCTAAACAAAATATTAGCAACCTGGGTTCAACTAATATATAAAAAGATGATATACCATGATTAAATTGGCTTTATAATTCCAGGAACTCAATGGTTTTGTTTAATATTGAGAAATCAAGCAATTTAATTCACCATGGTAACAGAGTAAAGAGGAAAAATTATCATCTCAATTGATGCTCCCCAAAAACATCGGATAAAATGCATCATGAATTAATAATGGAAAAATACTTTTACCAAACTAGAATAAATGCATCTGATAAATATGTATTCATAAAACAACCTAATTGAGCATTATGTTGAATGATGAAATACTGAAAGCTTCTCTTTGAGATTGAGAACAAGAGAAGAATGCTGCTATTATTATCTCTAATCACTGTTATGTTGAATGAAGATCCTAATCAGTGCAATAATCTAAGAGAAAAGATTAAAGTTGTAGAAATTAGAAAGGAAAAAATAAAACTTATTCACAGATAATATTGTATGCACACAAAATTTGAAATAATCTATAGACAAAGTGTTAGAATTAATAAGCACATAAGAGAGGTTTTGAATATAAGATAAACTATATAGTATATAAACACACACACATATATATATCTCAACAACCAACCACAAAATGTTTAAGTGCCATTTGGAATCACATATGAAGTATACACATGACTTCTACATAGAAAATTATAAATCACTATTGTGAGCAATTAAAAACCTAAACAAATAGAGGGATATAAGCATATTTATACATTGAGTATGTAGGATGTGTCTTAGTCAATTTGGGCTACTATAAGAAATTACCATAGGCTGGGTGTGGTGGCTCATGCCTATAATCCCAGCACTTTGGGAGGCCATGGCAGGTGGATTGTTTGAGCCCAGGAGTTCGAGACCAGTGTGGGCAACATGGTGAAACCCCATCTCTACAAAAAATACAAAAATTAGCTAGGCATGGTGGTGTGCACCTGTGGTCCCAGCTACTCAGGAGGCTGAGGTGAGAGGATCGCTTGAGCCTAGGAGGCAGAGGTTGCAGTAAGCCGTGATCAAACCACTGCACTCCAGCCTGGGTGACAGAGTGAGAGCCTGTCTCCAAAAAAAAGAAAGAAAGAAAAAAATTACCAAAAATGGTTTCTTAGTCTCTTTTGTGTTGCTATAATGGAATACCTGAGGCTGAGTGATTTATTTTTTAAAAAGGCTTATTTGTCTCATTGTTCTACAGGCTGTACAAGAAGCATGGCACCAGCACCTGCATCTGGCGAGAGCCTCAGGCTGTTTCCACTTATGGTGGAAGGTGAAGGGGAGAGGAAGGAAGCAAGAGGGAGAAGGGGAAGGTGCCAGGATTTTTTTTTTTTTTTTTTTTTTTGAGACAGAGTCTCACTCTGTCTCCCAGGCTGGAGTGCGGTGGTGTGATCTCGGCTCACTGCAACTCTGCCTCCCGGGTTCCAGCGATTCTCCTGCCTCAGTCTCCCTCCTGGGCTGGGACTACAGGCGGGTGCCACCACGCCCGGCTAATTTTTGTATTTTTTAGTAGAGACTAGGTTTCACCATATTGGTCAGGCTGGTCTTGAACTCCTGACCTCGTGATCCGCCTGCCTCAGCCTCCTAAACTGCTGGGATTACAGGCGTGAGCCACTGCGCCTGGCAGGTGCCAGGATCTTTTTAACAACCAGCTCTTGTGGGAACTATTAGAGCGAGAACTCACCCAGAAGGAGGGCATTAATCTACTCATGAAGGATCCATCCACATGACCCAAACACCTCCCATTAGGCCCCACCTCCTACATTGGGGATCAAATTTCAACATGATGTTTGGAAGGAACAAATATCCAAATTATATCAGATGGGGAGGCTTAAACAATAAATATTTATTTCTCACAGTTTCTGGAGTCTGGAAGTCCAAGATCAGGGAGGGGACCAGCATAGTCAGGTTCTGGTAAGGACCCTCTTTCAGGGTGCAGACAACTGACTTCTCATATTCTCAGATGGTGAAAGTACGGTGAAAGAGCTATCTGATGTATCTTTTATAAAGGCACTTACCCCATTGATGAGGGCTTCATTCTCATGACCTAATTCCCTCCCAAATCACCTTCTAAAACCATCATATTGGGGATTAGAATTTCAGCATGTGAATTTTGGGGGGCCATAAACATTCAGTCCATTTCAGGATGTTAATTCGCCCCCCAACTAATAAATAGATTCGATGCAGTTGCATATTAAAATCCCAGCAAATATCATTGTAAAACTTGACAAGCTGATTCTAATATCTGAATGTAATTGCAAAGTGTCAAGAGTAGCCAAGATGATCTTGAAGAAGAGAACAAGTTTGTCAGAAATGTGTTCTACCAGATATCATGATTTTTTTGAAACTATATAACTACTATAACAGTGTGAATTTGGTACAAGGATAGACAAATAGAATACAATAAAGACTCCCCAAACAGACCTATATATAACTATACGATCTATTACACAAATGCCACTCTAGAGAAATGCAGAAAAGCTGTTGCAATGAATAGTTCTGGGATAATGGTACATTTATATAAGAAAAAACTTGACCTCTAGCTAATATGTACGTGCAAGTATCAGTTTCCAGGTGCTTTGTAGGTCTACATGTGAAAGCAAAGGAATCAAGTTTTTTAAAGACTGTATTCATGATTTGTGAAAGGAAAATATTTTTAATTAGGACACAAAAAGTTACCAACCATAAAATTGGATAAATTTTACTACATTAAAAGTAAGAACTTCTCTCCTATTAAGGTAAAGACTGGGAGAAGCTATTTGCTACATGGTTCTGATAAAGAACTGTCATCAGAATGTATAAAGAACTCATAAATTAATAAGAAAAGACCCCAACTAATAAAAGAATCAGCAAGAAACTACACAAAAGGAGATAGCCAAATGGCCAATAAATTTTTGGAAAGATACTCAACCTCATTACTGATCAGGGAAGACCATATAAAAATCACAATGAGATTAGCCAGGCACGATGGCGGGTACCTGTAATCCCAGCTACTCGGGAGGCTGAGGCGGAAGAATTGCTTGAATCCAGGAGGCGGAGGTTGCAGTGCGCTGAGATTGTGCCATTGCACTCCAGCCTAGGCGACAGAGACTCCGTCTCCAAAAAAAAAAAAAAAAAAATCACAATGAGATTATTAGTGTGATTTAATACACACCCACTGGAATGGTTGAAATTGAAAGAACCAACAACATCCAGCGTTGGTGAAAATGTGGCACAAGAAAATCCTCTGATGCTGTTGGAGGGAGTGTAAATTGAGACAATGACTTTGGAAAACACTTGGCATTATCCATAAAGCTGAGCAAACACACACCTTATAACCTAGCAAAATTCCACTCACAGGTAAAATGCTCAATGGGAGCAGATGCACTTTGGTGCGGAGATACACATACAACAATTTTTATAACAACCTTATTCATAATAGCCAAAACTAGAAATCTCTCAAATTTCCATCAAAAATAGAATATATTTTTAAAATTATGATATACTCACAGATGAAAATGTTATACAGGAATGAGACAAGTGCAAATAACAAATGGTTGAATCTCACCAACAAGGTTGACACACAAGATAATATGCCATGCAATTCCATTTACAGAAAATTCTGACAGGTAAACTATAATGTGCAGATATGCATACCGAGGTGATAAAACAATACAGAAGAGCAAAAAAGGGACCCGTGAAAGTTAGGATAATGGGTATTTGTGAGGGAGAAGGAGATGTGATTGGGTAGGAGCATGACTGGGTACATAATTGGACAGGCCCAGTGCAAAATGAATATATAAGATTCCTTGTTCATAAATTATTAGGAATTTTAAAACAGTTTCAGTAGAACACTAACCAAGGTGTGAGGTCTGCTAAGCACAGGATCCTGTCTCATGTCCATGAAGCCCTCCTGGCTCAGTACACTCAAAGGACCTCCACCGTGCTGGCGATGTTACAAAAGTCTTTGAAAATAATTCAATAAGCTCTGCTTCATTTTGTGTCTTTTTCTGTATATATATGATAAAGCATGATAAAGAAAGGACATTTTTTAAAGGACCAAAACAAAACAAAATACAGGAGCCATATTTTATTCCAATCCAAGGAGTTTTGGAGGCTAATGCAGATCAAATTATGCGGGGAAAAAAAAGAAGGAAGAAAGGAAGGAATGAAGGAAGGAAGGAGAGAGAGAGAGAAAAAAGAAAGAAAGAGAGGAAGGAGGGAAGGAATGAAGGAAGGAAAGAAAGAAAAAGATCCTAGGGCATTGGAAGGTTGGGGTACTGTCATAGCTCTCATTTATGACTTTAGGCAAGTCGCTTGACCTTTTAGAATCTTGGTTTCTCAATCTGCCAAATGTACATTCACCTCCCTACTTCACAAAGTTATAAGAATCAAATTATATCAGTAGCACTTTAGAAAGAACAAATGTCATACCCTATAAGATAGTGGCACTGGAGAATTCTATATGCTTTAAACTTCATGTTTATATATCCCTATGCTATGTACACCAGATGATTTCAATTTACAGTGGTGTCTCCTGGTTACCTTCTTCATGTTTTGCTTTGGGCTAGGTCAAGGGATGGCAATTGAATTTCCAGGCCCCTTTGCAACCTCATGCGCATTTGAATTCCAGGATTGAAAGGCCAGACCCACATAAATTTGTTACTACGGCCATCTCTCCTGCACACAGAGTCTAAAGTAACATCCTGCTTCCTGCACACAGCACTGACACCACTCATTTCCATCTGGGTGATTGGGAGTCAGCGGGACAGCCTGTGTATTTGAACTAAGAAATCATGCTCATTCTCAGGAAGTGAATAAAAAGAGGGATTCTGGTCCTTTAGGATAAAATCCTGTAGTCCCCTGTACAATTCTTTCTCAGGCCCAAAGTTACATAAGTAATTTTGATCATGTAGTCAGAACCTGTATGGCATTCATTCCACATATTGAAAGTCTTCATTCAGATAGGATGAATTTTTCTGAAAAGCAGAAAAATATAGAGAAGAAGCAGGTAACCCCCAGGTCTGAAAGGACACCTTGAAACAGTCATTTTAAGAGACCTCTATTCAAAACATGAGCAAATCCAGCCACATCTGCACTTCCACCACTGTGTGTGAGTATATCTCCATGTAGAGTTGTTCAGATAGATTGTTGCAGGTGCTGACTTCACAGATCTTTTTTAAGTGCTTTTGCTACCATATTGTCTGTAATACCCTTGGGTATACAGATTGGGTCTTATAGTTTCTTCATATTTCTTCAAAACCTCTAGGGGAGTCCTTTGTGAGCACTAAGAAAATATCCTAGGGAGACTTGAGTGTCAGTGCAGTGAGGGTCTGTGTTTCCTCCCAAATTTATACCCACTTCAGACTATTATTTAGGCTTCTGAAGAGCCTCTCTTGGGAGCCATCCCCATCAGACTTAAAAGCTTCAGCTGTGGCCATAGTTTATATTTTAGAACCATAAAGTGGAAAGAAATGCTTTATGGCCTAATACCTGATATCCAAGGAATTGATTGAAAACTGACTGGAAAATCTGATAGATGTGTTGACACAAAGGGGCACACCGAACTCTGCTTTCATGCTGCAAAGGTGAGCTGCACCACTGGCACAGAAAAAAATAAAATCAGCCTTTGCTGTTTGTTTTTTCAGTCCTCACCTCAATGACTGCTTTCATGGCTTGTCTTTCCACTAGAAGTTCATAGGGGATTCCTGAGGAGAAGAATCAGAATTGTGCTGTAATGGCAGCATGTGTTTGCAAACGCTTCTTACAGACAAAACCTCTGGTCCTCATAGTACACAGGTGGAGAGGCAGAGTGTAGAGTGAGTCTTACTAAGTGGACAGAAGGAGGGAAGAGGCGGGGCACAGTGGCTCACGCCTGTAATCCCAACACTTTGGGAGGCCAAGATGGGCGGATCACCTGAGGTCAGGAGTTCGAGACCAGCCTGGCCGACATGGTGAAACCCTAACTATACAACTAAAAATACAAAAATTAGCCAGGTGTGGTGACAAGCGCCTGTAATCCCAGCTACTCGGGAGGCTGAGGCAGGAGAATCTCCTGAACCCAGGAAGTGGAGTTTGCAGTGAGCTGAGATCGCGCCACTGCACTCCAGCCTGGGTGAGAAGAACAAAACTACGTCTCAAAAAAAAAAGAGAGAGAGAGAGAGATAGAAGATGTCAGGAGATCTGAGTCACAGTATTGCCTTTGTCTCCAACCAGTCACAAGGCTTTCCAGTACTCGTGGACCCCTTGGGCTCGGCTTCTTCATCCTAAAGTATGAAGGACAGTGCTGCCCTGGCTCCCTTACAGTGCGGTTATTTGGCTCCAATAACATTCTGTTTGTAGAAGGACTTTTTAATTTAATAGAATGTTAGGCCAATCTGAGTTTACCTACTCTTCCAGAAGAGAAAATAGATGAAGAGAAGCCATGATTTACTCAAGGTCACATAGCTGCAGTGAAAACATGATGTATTGAGACTTGAACCCTTTCTCCTGCTACGGAACTGGTGTTCTCTAGAGCAGGCTCACATCTTGGGGCAATTGTCCGTGGTTTGATCCACTTGAGGGCAAAATCGTGGCCAAATGTTTTTACAGATTCAGTTGAATGCCTCATCAGTAGTATTCACTGAAGATTAATTAAAGGAGACTGGCACAGTGGCTCATACCCTTAATCCCAGCACTTTGGGAGAGCGAGGCAAGTGGATCGCTTGAGGCCAAGAGTTCGAGACCAGCCTAGCCAACATGGTGAAACCCCCATCTCTACTAAAAATACACAAATTAGCTGGGCGTAGTGGTGTGCACCTGTAATCCCAGCTACTCAGGAGGCTCAGGCAGGAGAATTGCTTGAACCCTGGAGATTGAGGTTGCCGTGAGCTGAGATCACACCATTGCACTCTAGACTGGGTGACAGAGTAAGACTCTGTTGCAGACAAAAAAAGGAGATTTCCAAATGCCATTTACCTTCTGTCAATGGGATGAGATTGGGTTCAGATATTTGCATCTTCACCATCAACAGAATGAATGAAATCAAACTCTTGGCCTCGTCATCTGATTGCCCGACACAGGCTGCATCAACAAGGACAGGAATAAAACTTTAACTGGGATGAAAGTCATAGAGGACTTAGAGAAGGAAGACATTCTGATTTGGTGTATTTCATTTAAATCAGATTCTTCTGCTTTACTGCTTTGCTAATAGGGTTGTTCTGCGAGGATTTTTTTTCACATATCTGGCTGGGACTTGGAGCGGGAAACTTCATTTTGAAGAACTGGAAAAAAAAAATCCTGCCCCCAAGTAAGCCAACTTTGTTTCCTTACAGAGAAATGTGCATGAGACTTTGCCTAGCACTTCTCATAAGCTACTGGTATTTTTTTGGCTTCCATTGAACCATCCCAGTTGCCTATATATAGCCCTGTCTTGTGTAAAGAATTTAAAAAGCATTAGAATGCAGAAATCAAAGAGACAATAAATTTAAAACCAATCTTATTGTCTGCAGCCTAAAGTGTTATTCAGATCAAAGGGGAGGGGACATCTGGCTTCTGGCTTGCTACAAAAGGCAGATCATGTTACCTACCAATTGCTGAATTCATCCACTCTCATTTTTGGTGTCTAGAGAACATGGCTTTTTCAGCTCCCACTTGAGGCATATTGGGTGAATCAGCCAAACCTCCCGACACTCTCAAAAAGAAACAAGCTCTACAGGATCACATAAAAATGTACTGATGAGTTTGTTCCTGTGCCTCTTTGGTCATCTGTGAGTGCTTCAAGAACCCAAAGCCACGGCCATGTTGTCGTCACATGGCCCCGTCCACTGACCCCTCCTGTATAGGCCCATCCCCCAAAGCTAGAACTTTCTGGTTTGCAAAGCTAACTTAGTTGAGGAGACACATCCGTGTTAGATTATTTGACTCTGTTTTTGCCCAAATCACAATGTGAGACTGAGTCACCAAATACGTAGTTGAAAACTTGTGTGCTTCCTTTCTCCCATTTTGGTTATAAAAACATAGATTTGTCTTACCATACATTTTTTTCTAATGGAAGCTTTGAAAGCAAGGTCAATTGTGCTCTTCGACTAGGAATTTGCTTAATGTCTGTATAAATTGTATACATGGCTGGGCACGGTGGCTCACACCTGTAGTCCTGGCCCTTTGGAAGGCCAAGATGGGCGGATCACCTGAGGTCAGGAGTTCGAGACCAAACTGGCCAACATGGTGAAACCCCATCTCTGCTAAAAATACAAAAATTAACTGGGCACCATGGGAGGCACCTGTAATCCCAGCTACTTGGGAGGCTGAGGCAGGAGAATCACTTGAACCTGGGAGGCAGAGTTTGCAGTGAGCCGAGATTGCGCCATTGCACTCCAGCCTGGGTGACAGAGCAAGACTCTGTCTCAAAACAAACAAACGAACAAAAATATAGACATGATTCAATTTAAAGGCCTTTCTTAATATCCACAACCAGAAACAGCGCACATGGCTCTGACTTCATTTGTTATAATGAACAAATCGCAAAAACGCAGGATAGGATTATTTTTTCAGACTGTTTCAGAGACAGCAATCAAAGAAGGAAGCGCCACAATTAACAATATTTTCCAATTACTCAGTACTTCCTCATTACAACGCTCACTAATTCCTCACTCCAAAAAGTCTAGAAAGGAATGCAGACAATGGCAATATGGATTCTGTATTTAGAATATCACATAGAGCTCTTGGCAGCATTCTTTGACTACTGACATGGTTCACTCATTCTCCAATATAGTGGATAAGGTTTCTATTAAAGGGCTTCACAAATTGCTATGCTGCTCAGTCCCACTTGTATATTTCCCTTCCATTGCAATTTCCTTCTACTGATTTTGGTTCTCTACTTGCCTAGGGACCTTCTGGAAACTTACAAAACAAATCAAAATTGTCTCTTTACTTACTACCTCAGCCTTTTCCTCTCCTCACCTATTTTCACCTACCTTAATCTTTCAGGGAAAACTTTCACTGCCAGCCAAAAGTTAAAAAAAGAAAAATCACCAAGAGATTTTGCATCATCCTAGACTGATCGTCTTCTCCAAAAGACATGATTCTCTTCCACAATCTTAATTCATTATTCACTAAGCATACCCTTTATTGCTGATGAAAGACTTTCATTCACAAATACAAGGAATCTCAGGTGAGAGGTAAAAATTAGTGAGGAGATCTTAATTTGATTGCAAGACAGGTTTCAGGGTAGAAGAATATTTTAGAGTCTTCAGTTCCTGGAGGGAGTTGGAATTGAGATTTTTCCATCTAGTATTTCATCACCACTAATGGCTCGTTACTTCTATTTTGAGAATAGTGTCCAGCTTCCCTTGAGTCATGGGTGAGAATTTGGTATGGATGTGGCATTCAATTGTTAACAGTGTGTCTGGAAAGGAGGTGACTAGTTAAAATGTTTAATAAAATACAAAAGAATAGACCAGCAGGGAATAAAATAGCTCTTCCAGTCTTCCTTCCAACAACTGGAACGGCACGTTTTCGGTGTCAAGTATCAGGGCAAGAAATCCAAATAAAATATTCTTTAACACCCACCTCTATTCTGTTCCCTTTTTCCTTGACAAACAGAGCCTCTCTCTGGAGCTCAATGCCACATTCCATAAACTTTTCTGTATGCCTTCCTGCTCTCAAAAAAAAGCCAGAAGTGGGGTTGTACATATCCTCACTACTAACTACTAAAAGAAAAACTTAATGATTTTCTTAATGAGGGTGTTAACATAAAATAACCTGTGGCTCTGAAAAGACTCAAGAATGCCCCCAACCAGGCTCTGCTCATTATATCTGTGTATTTATGGTAGATACAATAGCAAAAATGTTTTGTATTCCTCCATTAGAGAGCCGGGATTTTATTTTGACAGACATATAATTCTTCTCAGATTTCTAAAAAGTGGGCCTTTTTTCTACCCCTGCCCTCTTCCATCCTTCCATAAAGTGTAATCAATAAAGCCAAATTTTGGCAGAAGAGAAAGAAAGTGAAAAGCAGAAATGAATGTCTAATAATTGAAAGCATCATGGACTCCATTATGGTTTATGGCCTTGTTCTAGGGGTCGGATGAGCACACTGTAAAGAATGTGGCACTAAATTTATTAGCATGGTTATCATCTTTCAGACAAGACATAAAGCTGAGGGGACCCACTTCTTCCATCACCTGCCATCACTATAGATCCCATGGCACCTTCTATAAGAAGAGTCGAGTTATCCTGGCCCAGATCCAGATTCAACTATTTGATGACTTATATTTCCTTTGTAGTATGCCTGGGAGACATTATGGGCTCTTCTTCTTTGAAACTCTGTCACTACCATAAGCACAGCCAAAATGGCTCCAGCGAAAGGATGTAAGAGAAAAATTCTCACATCCTAGCATGTGGATCAAGTGAACAGATTGAACAGTGTGGCCTGAAGTACGAAGCTGAGCCATGCCTGGTCTGACCCACTCCACCATGACTGCTCACGTATATCAAAAATCCTAGATTGTGAATGGGCTACATCAATGCTATACAAATTATGGGTTTTCTGAACTCCACGCATTATATCCTTCTCTCAAAAAAGTTTTGAAAAGAAAAGACAGGTAAGTTGTATTTTCTGACTTGCCCTTATTATCTTGAGACTTAATCCCCAAACATTCTCCTAAAGTATTTAAAAGAAAGCAAATCACTCATGAGGCATTAGGCAAATCATTTTATTTATCTAATTTCAGCTTGTTTACCACTAAAATAGGGGTCATTTAAATATCTATCTTGCCTTTCTCTCAAAATTAATGAGAACCAAACAAAATGATGTGTGTCAAAGTACATTTTGTTCTTATTTTAAAGCAATCTACGAAATCAAGTTTTTAACAAGTAACAAAGCAGACAATGCCAGGATTGGAGATGTGGAGAGTGAATGGGAGGAAACGGGAATGAATAGTGCAACAGCTCCTTCTGTGGCACAGAGCATTCATTTCTGTCTACAAAATGGAGCTCCGGATCTGCTGGAAGATAAGTTATCTCTGCTATATGCTAAGGTCCTGCCTCTACAGAACCAGTTTGGGTGCTTGATTGTACAGATGCAGGATAACACTGCATTGTTATCCTGCATCTGTACAATGTACAAAGAGAGTAACATTGTTTTGCTTGAGTTAAGTGACGATTTATGAATTCACTAGATTAAAAGCAATAAACAATAATATCTGAAACTTTCTTTTTTTTTTTTTTTTTTGAAGCTGAGTCTCACTCTGTCGCCCAGGCTGGAGCGCAGTGGCGTGATCTCGGCTCACTGCAAGCTCCGTCTCCCGGGTTCACGCCATTCCCCTGCCTCAGCCTCCCGAGTAGCTGGGACTTCAGGCACCTGCCACCACACCCGGCTAATTTTTTGTATTTTTAGTAGAGATAAGGTTTCACCGTGTTAGCCAGGATGGTCTCGATCTCCTGACCACGTGATCCGCCTGCCTCGGCCTCCCAAAGTCTGGGATTAACAGGTGTGAGCCACCGCGCCCAGCCCTGTCTGAAACTTTCTTAATGACTCAGATGTAGATACTGGTTAGGGCACTTTGGTTGCAAGTGATAGAAACCCAATAGAAGCTAAGCCAAAAATGGAATTTATTGATTCATGTAACTGAGAGTGTAATTAAAAAAAAAGGCCACAGATTTTTGGGTGCTTCTCCATTCAAGAGGTGAAGCCCAAATACCCTCATCTTAGATGTGGGCAAATTTAGTGACTTGCTCTAACAAATAAGATAAAGCAAAAGTAAAGGTTTGTAACTTTGGAGAGTAAGTCATGAAAGGCACTGTGCTGTCATGGCTGTCAATCCTTGCTGTCTCTTGGATTAGTCACTCTAGAGGAAGCCAGTTACTAAGTCGTGAAGAGAGGTTCACATGGTGAGGAACTGAGGAACTTGCTAATACGGTTCCTAAAAATCCTTGCAGAACTGCTAATAGGGTTGTTCTGCAAGGATTGTTTTTCACATATCTGGCTGGGACTTGGAGCGGGAAACTTCATTTTGAAGAACAACTGGGAAAAAAAAAAATCCTGCCCCCAAGTAAGCCAGCTTTGTTTCCTTACAGAGAAATGTGCATGAGGCTTTGCCTAGCACATTTGGCCTCCAACCAACAGCCACGTGAGTACACCACATTGAAAGTGCGTCTCCAGCCCCAGGCAAGCCTTTAGATAATTGCAGCCCCCTACTGACACCTTGCCTACACACTCACCAGAGATTCTGACCCAGAACCACCCAGATTAGTCACTCCTATATCTATATCAGAAATGCATGAGATAATAGATGTTTGTTGTTTTAAGCTACTAAATTTTGGCATAATTTGTTACCAAGCAATATATAAGTACTATAGGATACTTCAAAAGTTGGCTTGACTTCAGACATGGCTCAATCCAAGAAAAAAATTCATCAGGATATCCTCTTCCCTTTACAGCTCTGATTTTCTGTGAATGGAGGCTTCATCCTTCAGATAGTTTCATCCATATACCTGGGAAAGGTGGCTGCCAGCAGATATTGGCCTACAGGCTTATTATATATAACTTGTCATCCTAGAGAAAGAAAAAAATCTTTCTTCCAGCCTCTATATTCAAATCTTAAGGAATATATTATGGGCTTTCTTTGAGCTTCAAGTCCATTTCTAAAACCAATCATGGTGGCCAAATGGAATGAGCATTCTGATTTGCCAAAGTGGTCTCATGTCACCCCGTGTCTTCTGTTCCATAGATTGCCTTTTCATTCAGTTGGTCGTTTGCTGTGCAGAAACATTTTAATTTGAGGTAGTCCCATTTGTCTATTTTTGTTTTTATTACCTGTGCTTTTGTTGTTATGTACATGAAATCATTGCCAAGGGCAATGTCATGAAACTTTCTCTTCTGTTTACTTCTAGGAGTTTTACTGTTTCAAGTCTTACATTTAAATAATCCATTTTGAGTTGATTTTTGGTATAAGATAGGGTCCAATTTTATTCTTTTGCATGTGGATATTCAGTTTTCCCAACACCATTTGTTGAAGAGATTATCATTTCTCCCACTGAGTATGCTTGGCACCATTGCCAAATGTCAGTTGACTGTATATTCACGGATTTGTTGCTGAGCTCTCTATTCTGTTCTATTGGTCTGTGTGTTTGTCTTTATGCTGGTAACATACTGTTTTGATTACTGTACCTTTGCAGGATATTTTGAAATCAGGAAGTATAATGCCTCCAGCTTTGTTCTTCTTTTTCAAGATTGATTTGTTTATTCATTGTCTTTTGTGGCTTCAGATGAATTTTAGAATTATTCTATTTCTGTAAATAAAAATGCCACTGGGATTTTTGATGGGGATTGCATGAATCTATAGATCACTTTGGGTAATATGGGCATTTTAAGAATATTAAGTCTTACAACCCATGAATACATGATGACTAAATCATGAAGAAATACAAAGACTGGACAGACCTATGACTAGCGTAAAGATTGAACAAGTAATCAAAAAACTCCCAGTAAAGAAAATCCCAGGACCAAATAATTTCACTAGTGAATTCAACCAAACATTTAACAAAACTAATGCCAATTATTCTCAAACTCTTCCAAAAAAATCAAAGAAGAGAGAACACTTTCTAACTTATTTTATGAAGCCAGAATTACCTTTATACTAAAGCCGGACAAAGACACCACAAGAAAAGAAAATTACAGCCCAATATCCTTGATGAATATATAGATGCAAAAATCCTCAACAAAATACTGGCAAACCAAATTTAACATTATATTAAAAGGATCAAAGACTATGACAAAGTGGGATTTATTCCTAGGATGCAAGTATGCTTCAAGATATGAAAATTAGTTAATGTGATAATCCATTAACAGAATAAAGGATAAAAATTACATAATCATTTGATGGATGTAAAAAAGGTTTTGACAAAATTTAACACACTTTCATGAGAAAAACATTCAATAAACTAAGAATAGAGGAAAAGTACCTCAACCTAATAAAGGTCATATATATTTTTAAAAACCCATAACTAACATTATACCGAATAATGGAAAACTGAAATGTTTTTCTTTAAGACCAGAAACAAGGCATACATGCCCACTCTCATCACTTCTATTCAATTTAGTGCTGGAAGTCCTAGCTAAAGCAATTAGGCAAGAAAAATAAATAAAAGACGCTCACGTTGAAAACAAAGGGTAAAATTGTTGCTGTTTGCAGATGACATAATCTTATACATAGAAAACCCTAAAGACTCCATCAAAAAACTGTTAGAACTAATAAATTCAGTAAAGTTGGAGGATACAAAATCAACATACAAAAATCAATGGCATTTCTATACCAACGATGAACTATCTTAAACAAAAATTAGGAAAACAATGCTATTTGTAATAGCAGCAAAAAAAAAAAAGACCCTGGAATAAACTAAGAAAGTGAAAGGTCTGCATACTGAAGACTACAGTACTTTGATCTGTTACTGTTCCCCAATATCATAAAAACAAGGCTTAGATACTGTTTACTAAAGGATTTTATTATCTCCTATATTTATAGCTGAAATCACTTTCTCTGTTCTGTTCCCCTTATTTGTCACTAAACAATGTAGCATGAATCTGTTGGAATGAGCTTCCTTGCCTTCCAGACCATTCACTTTAAATATATCAATCCTCACCCCTTAAGTATAGACATTTATTACTACACCACAGTGAACAAAAAACATTAAATGTGGAAAAGGCTTTTAAGTAGATATTTGTTATTTTTGACTCCTTGTATCTCTTTTCCTTACAACTATTTTTTTTCAACTACTTTCCCCCTATCCCATGTGGTGCCATCCAGTCTTCTTATCACCATGCTTTTCATCTCCTGTTTCCTTTCTAGGCACAGGGGTAACATGAGACCACACTGGCAAATCAGAATGCTCATTCCGTTTGGCCACCATGATTGATTTTAGAAATGAACTTGAAACTCAAGCTAAGTCCATAAGAATTTTCCTTAAGATTTGAATATGGAGGCTGGGAGAAAGATATTTTTCTTTCTCTAGGATGACAACTTATAATATGCCTGTAGGCTTTGGGATCACTTTTTTATGACCTTTGGGCTTCTTGGATCAGAATGTTCATTTTCTTCCTCATATTTGGGAAGTGTTCAGCCATTATTTCTTTGAATACGTTCTCAGTTCTTTTCTCTCTTTTATTCTGTGATGCCAATAATGAGTATATTGTTCAGCTTGATGTTGCCCATAAGACCCTTGGGCTTTTTTTCACTCTTTTTCATTTTAATTTCTCCTCTAACTGAATTATTTCCAATGACCTGTCTTCAAGTTCATTGATTCTTTCTTCTGATTAATCTTGTCTCCTGTTGATGTCCTGTCATAAATTTTTTCAGTTCAGTTGTTGTGTTCTTCAGTTCCATTTCTTTTTGGTACTTTTAAATATACTCTATCTCTTTGTCAAAATTCTTAACTTTTTTCATGCATTGTTCTCTTGACTCTGGTGAGAATCTTTATGAGAGCTATTCTGAATTCTCTGTCAGGTAAATCACATAAGTTTATTTCATTAGCTCAGTTTCCAGAGATTTATCTTGTTCTTTGGTTTGGAACATCTTCGTATGATTATTCATTTTCCTTGACTCTTTGTGTTGGTGTCTGCACATTAGACAAAGCAGT
Organism: Homo sapiens; assembly: GCF_000001405.40. Lineage (NCBI taxonomy): Eukaryota > Metazoa > Chordata > Mammalia > Primates > Hominidae > Homo > Homo sapiens. The sequence goes on along the minus strand of NT_187660.1, from coordinate 4,954,767 downwards.
CACCTGTCCCAGTCCTCACAGCTGGGCCTCAGAGGAGAAGACCCCCACCAATAAGTCTGCCCAGTGATTTGGGGGCCTTTAACAAATCATTCCTTCTCCAGGGAAATGTAGGTAGCCATGATTTTTGTCCTGTCTGTGCTGAGCCAGGAGGTGAGGCAGTAGAGGGCAGGGTGCCATGTCATCTACTGGTCTAAACCTCTGTCTCTGTCCTTCCCCAGGTAGCTAGATAGTACCAATTCTGTCAGAGCTCCAAGACTGACAAGATAGAAGCCAGTCCTCTGGGAATCTCCTCAGAAAAGTTGGAGGTCTTGGATATGTGAACCAACTCCTCTCACCTGGGAGAAACTGAGTGCTAGGGAGTCTCTTGCTGACTACATGGCACTGTGCTGGGGTTAGGGATTCGGACAAGGTGGTATCTCAAATCTCTCTACCAGCTTTGGTGAGTCTGGTTTTTGCATTTGCTGGGAGTGCAGGAGCCTTTTAGTTTCTGGATTCCTCACAAAGGAATTTAGCCATGAATTTTTGCAGAATAGATGTGTTTGTGGATTGAAGAAGGGTCCAGCATTTGCTAATACAACATCTTGCTGATGTCACCTGCCCCATTATCCAATTATTTTAAACTTCTGCTCAGTAAACTTGTTGGTGCCAGAGGAAGAAGCAAACATTTATAATCCCCTAGGTGGTAATCACTATCAGGATTATAGAAAAAGGTTTAGGGCTGCTGCCTTAATTCAGGCCTTATCTTTTCTCATTTAAACTGTTTGCAACCAGACTAAGGTGTTGAGTTTAGGAATGCACACTTCAGTGATGAAACTATAAATATAAACAAGGAGGTAATTGCTTTAAGCTTTAGGAGAATTATAACTGTAGTGGTACAGAAAAAGATTAAAATTGAGGTGGGGTATAAGGAGAGTTTCTGTGAAGCATGGAAAAATTTCTTCCCCTAATGGTAATTACAGGGGTATTTGCCTTACAACAATTCTTTCAGGGTAGCAGTTCTTTTGTAAATTCCTTAGGATTTCTACATACAATATTATGTCATCTGAAAATTGAAATTATTTTATTTCTTTTCTAATCTGGATGACTTCTTTTTCCTTTTTTTGCCTAATTGCCCTAGCTAGAACCTCCAGAACAATATTGAATAAAAATAGTGACAGCAGATATCCTGTTAGTTCCTGTATGGGGAAAGCTTTCAGTATTTTTGTTGTTTGTTTTGTTTTTGAGACAGAGACTTACTCTGTCATGTAGGCTGGAGTGCAGTGGTACAATCTTCTGGGCTCAAGTGATCCTCATGCCTCAGCCTCCTAAGTAGCTGGGACAACAGGTGCATGTTACCACACCTGGCTAATTCCTTTTTAAATTTTTAGTAGAGACAAGGTCTCACTATATCGTCCAGGCTGGTCTCAAACTCCTGTGCTCAAGTGATCCTTCTGCCTCAACTTCCCAAAGTGCTGGGATTATGGGCATGAACCACCATGCCCAGCCTGGTGTATGTTATGAAACCAGGAAGTGTGAGTTCTCCAACTTTTTAAAATCTTTTTTAAGATTATTTTGGCTATTGTGGATCCCTTTCAATTTCTTATGAATTTTAGGATTAACTTGTCAATTTCTTAAGCCACCTGGGATTTTGATAAGAATTGTATTGAATCTGTAGAGCAATGTTAATTTTTTTCATCCATGAACACAGGTTTTATTTCCATCTATTTTGATGATTTTAAATTTTTTAACAATGTTTTATTGTTTTCAATGTACCAGTCTTGCACTTCCTGTTACATTTTTTCTATGTATTTTATTCTTTTTGATACTATTCAAAGGGTGCTATTTTCTTAATTTTATTTTCAGATTTTTCATTACAAGTGTGTAGAATACAATTTATATCTGTATGTTGATCTTGTATCCTGCAACCTTGCTGAAATCATGTATTAGCTCTAATAGTTCTTTTGTAAATTCCTTAGGATTTCTACATACAATATTATGTCATCTTAAAATTGAAATCATTTTATTTCTTTTCCAATCTGGATGACTTTTTTCTTTTCTTTTTTTTGTTTGTTTTTTTTTTTGTTTTTTTTTTGTTGTTGTTTTTTTTTTTTTTTTTTTTTTTTGCCTAATTACCCTAGGTAGAACCTCCAGTATAATATTGAATAAAAATAGTGACAGCAGATATCCTGTTAGTTCCTCTTGGGGGAAAGCTTTCAGTCTTTCACCTTTAAGTATGATGTTAGCTGTGGGTTTTTCTTTTCTTTTTTTTTTTTTTTTTGAGACAGAGTTTTGTTCTTGTTGCCCAGGCTGGAGTACAATGGCGTGATCTCGGCTCACCAGAACCTCCACCTCCTGGGTTCAACCGATTCTCCTGCCTCAGCCTCCCAAGCAGCTGGGATTACAGGCATTTGCCACCACGCCGGGCTAATTTTTTGTATTTTTAGTAGATACAGGGTTTCTCCATGTTGGTCAGGTTGGTCTCGAACTCCTGACCTCAGGTGATCCGCCTGGCTCAGCCTCCCAAAGTGCTGGGATTACAGGCTTGAGCCACCATACCCGGCCAGCTGTGGGTTTTTCATAGATGCCATGTGTGAGGTTGAAGAAGTTCCCTTCTCTTCCTAGTGTGTTGAGTGATTTTATTACAAAGGGGTGTTGAATTTTGCCAAATGATTTTTCTGCGTGTATCGAGATGATTGTGTGGTTTCTGTCTTTATTCTATTAATATGATGCATTACACTGATGGTTAAATCAATCTTGCATTCCTGGGGCAAATCCCACTTGGTCAAGGTATATAATCCTTTCCATATGTTGTTGGACCCAGTTATCTAGCATTTTGTTGAATTTTTTTGCATTTACACTTAAAAGAGATATTGGTCTATGGTTTTATTTTTGATGTATTTGTCAGAATTTGGTATCAAGGTAATACTAGTTATAGAAAATAAGGTGGAAAGTGTTTCCTCCTCTTCCATTTCTGGAAGAGTTTGTGAAGAATTTGTACCAATTCTTCTTTAAATATTTGCTAACATTAATCAGTTAAGACATCCTAAATTGGGCTTTTCTTTCTGGGAAGTTATTTGATTGCTTATTTAATCTCTTTACTTGTGATAGCTCTATTCAGATTTTTATTTTTTCTTGAATCAGTTTCAGTAGTTTGTTTATTTATAGGTGTGGTGGACATCTGCATAAACAAGATGAAATGTCACCAAAATTTGGTTTAGATGCTGAGACTGATGATGTTACACACACCCCAAGAGAGTATGAAACATTTATTACTCACATGAGGCTTTTTGTGGAGAGCAGCTCACGTCTCCTAACCTGGTCTGAAAATGACTTGAGAGAGCCAGGAAAGGAGACTGGTTTGGGCTTTTTATGATGTTTAGAAAGTATGACTTGGATGAGGATTCCCACATGCAGGCAGGGCCATGCATGGTTTGATCGTACTGTCATTTCCCCAGGGTTTGTTGTTGTTTCTTTGTTTAATGACTTTTCTGAACTAATTCTGTAAAGTCTGTATTTTTTGTTGTGTGTGGACACTGAAGTCTCTGCTTGGTTAGTAGTCATCTAATAGTTGTACACGGATTTCCTCAAACACTTGGAATCAATAATTCAACCAGTCTCTGCCAAGGAGCTCTGTGTGAATGCTGAGGCACACTCAACACTCCGCCATGCAATTGACAACTCTGCATTCCCTTTACTTATGGCTTGTGCAGAGCCTCAAGATCAGCTTGAAGTGAGAGCTTAAGGCTTTCTTGGGTTTTTCCTGAGCATCTGCACAGTCCTGGGCATGGATGGAGTCCTATTTATGCATTTGGCAGTCTAGATTGCCAATAACACTTTGGAGCTTTTCAAAGTCCCTATGAAAATCTCTTTTTCCAGCTTCTCCTTTTAGGCTTTTTATTTAGCCAATTGCTTTCCCCAACTGTTATACATTACCCCAGGCAGCCACAAAGAGAATCAATTGCCTCTAGTTGTTTTGACAAAGTTTTTTACCCTGGGAAGCTTCCAGTCAGGTCAAATATAGCCTTGCAAGTGGAGCTTCCAGGGCCTGCCAAACAGGTCAAATAGTGACAATTGTCTAGGAATGGGACTTTGAAAGAACTCCAACTCCATTCTGTCACCTTCAGTGGCTGCCAGACTGCTGATTTTCATGGTAATTGCAGGCTGTTGGTTTCAAAGCTATTGTGGAGCTGGAGAGGGGGAGATGAGAGTAGTGCAAGTTACAATATCACAGTGCTCACAGAGATTTAGTCTTTTTCTTGAATAAATGCTCTGCAAATTGCTATACATCTTCAGTTAATTTCCAGAGCTATAAGAAGTTGAATCTATTTTTGTCACATTCTCATTAGTTTTATGGAGGAGAGACTCTTTGGGGGACCAGGGAATCTCAAGCATTGTTGCTGACATCCTCCCACATTCTTCTTTTTTTTTTTTTTCTTAAGCTTGAAATGCTCTTCCGTGTCAAGTCCCACTCACACCTTTCAGGCCTTGTATTTTTCTAATGGGTGTGGCTTTTCTGAGAACACTTTCTCCTTGGTACTTGCTTCCATTCTCCCCCTCCAAGTCCAAGAAGGCCATGACAAAAAGAGAGGTGGCCAAGAGGCTTTGACTGAATGCTTCAGATCTTGGGTTCCTGATGATGCAGCTATAATCTCAGGGTGGCCTTAATCGCTAGATGTGAACAATCTAGTTAGATCTATTTTTAGAGTGCTGTGTTATGTTCTTAAAAGAACAAACCGATAAAAGTTGCTCACAGTTTTGCATAATGTTTAAGGACCCAGTGCCACAGTAAGACCATATAAGTTCACTGCTTTCTAGCAGTGATAATGGTACCTACCTCACTGAGCTACCGTGAAGATTGAGTGAGAAACAATTCAAAGAAAATCCTTAGCACAGTGTCTGGTGTAACCATCCCATACATAGCTGCTGGGATTTTCATTATCATCAGAGCACCCATACCTAATAGAAATCTTGTATTATATATCTAAGTAGAAAGGGACCTCAGAAATTGACAAGTTCACAATTGCACACCAAGGGCAGTGACTTACTCTACTTCACATCCCTATTAAATGATATCTAGCCTGTGGTTTAATATTTCCAAGGACAGGAGTTCACTATCTTTTAAAGGTACCTCATGGTATTGCCAATCACTCTTATCACTAGGAAGCTTTTCCTTCTACTGAGCCCCAAATCTTTCTCCTGCTTTTCCCCTGGAACACCCTGAAATGAAGTTATTATCATTTCTGTGTGATGGTCCTTCCATCTCAGGGCCTCCCTTATAACACTCTATAGTTCTTCTTTCTAGTTGTGCTCTAGGGAAGAGGCTGGTACTTCCGATTGCAGACCAGCTCTCCCTTGCCACAACCTGAAGTGTCCTACGGAAATCAAGCAGGGTCTGAAAGGCCTAGGCAAAAGGAATAAATTCCACCAAAGATCACAGGCTATCCAATTCTCTTTTCTACCTCCCTTCCCATGATAAGTGCATCCCTGCTCCACCTCTGCCCTAGGAACACTACCAAACACAAACGCACGCTCACACACACAGAAAGAATAGGTTTAATTTATTAGTTGCTCTTTAGCAAAGGCTATATAGAACATTATTGGGGTGAAAATTAAATTCTAGTTACAGATTCATGAAACTTGAAGCCAAATTAGTTTTATGAGACTATCAACTCCCCTTTCATCCTCCTACACAGCAAGGTACCTCATAGTCTATATAATTCTTTGCCGTTTTTAAATGATTTAAGCAGACATAATACATAATGCAGTTGATATTAAATATCTTGAGGAATGTCAATAGAACTACTTTCACTCTTAGGCATTAACTGATCACTTATAAATGTTCTGTTTATCCACTTTTCATTTTAGATTTTCTCCTTAAAAGGACTTTATGTGTGAACTAGTCATCATTATCTGCTATTCGTTTGTATACATGCATCGTAAGTCTTCCAAAATAACATTTAAAGTCTTTCTTAATATTGCTTTAGAAATGTTAACCTTTAAGGAACATTCAATTTAAAAAATAAAGATTCAGGCACTGACTCAGGAAGACATGTTCAGCTGGGTCAAGATTTTGTTTCCCCTGACCAGATAAAAGACTCTAACAACATACGGTGTGTCAGCTTCTTCTTTGCCCAACTCAGAGAAAGTCATATAAAGGAGAAAAAGAAAACATGCTTGAAATCACAGTGACCAAAGGATTTGAAGTAATAATTACATTAAATAACCATAACTTTTCATTTAACTATTCACATTCCACACAGTGGAAATTATCCTCTCCTCCAGATTTTTCACTTACACTCTTAACTTTGAAGACCTACAGTAACAAAAAACAACTTACAGACTTCCAGGATGTGTGTTTTTTTCTTTTAATGCCAAGCACAAAGTGTACATCATAAAATTCATATTTGGTGTTTGGCATTATTTTAATAGGTATGATCAAGACCACAAATATCTTGCCATAAAAATATTCTACTATAATAATGAAAAAATATATCATTACATCATCAGTGACTCGAATAAAATATGGTATAGATATGGCATTTTCAATGAAAGTTGGAAGACACACCACATTTGTACTAGTCTTAATATAGGCACAGTAAGAAGAACAGATATTTCCCTCTTTGGCTAGTGATATGCTTTTAGGGTAGTTACGCTGCTGATTATCCCAGTGAAGTTAGTGTTGAGGAAATTCTCTTTACTTGAGCCAAATCTGCACTTATGTGCAAGACTGTGGTACAAGCTCCTAAAAGAAGATTACTGCTGCCAACTTAAGTCATCTCCGTTAACGAAATTGCATTCTTGTGGCAGAGTTAAAACAACAAGAGAAATTCAGTGTTTGCTGGTTCTGAATGTCATTTTTCCTCCCTGGTGTGGTTTTACATTTTCAGCTTCTTTCCCTTTTCTTCTCTCCCACCCTCAAAATTCTGCCTTAGCATTTGTGTGCTTAATTAAATCCACTCTGTGCTTTATTGTTGGAGAATGTGGACAATACAAAGATTTGGGGTGGGGTCATACAGTGTATACAAAACACACACACTATGTGTTTGGACAAATTCGCCTAGCGTGAGAATCATCAGTAGTGAGTTTAAAAGTTTGAAAATCAGACCCAACATTTTGGGTGTTTAAAATATCTCCCGCCTTGAAATGGCTCCTGTTTAGTTGTTAGATGGGAGAGCACTGGATCAAAACAAAAACGAAATAAAAACAGCTTCTCGAGTTGCAAGGGTTCTCTGAATGCCAGAGCCTTGATCGGCAACTGAATCTCAAGTCTGCAGTGTTTGTTTTCCATATTACATAGGACTTGGCTAGGAGGCTGAGAAGATACAAGGCAAAAAGAGTATTCAGGGAGTTTGTATATAAAACCTCAGGCTTGAAGAAAACAGGTTAACCAAATCCAAAGTACAATAAAGTTCACCCACCCTGCACTTTGGCCCTTAGATCAATCCTAAGTAGCCATTGCCAGTAGGCCAAGTTTAATCAGAGGACAGTGCCTACCAGTAAATACTGAATAGTTACAATAGTTATGTCCATCCAACCAGTAGCAGATGAACAGCTAATACATCATGATGCTATGCTCTCCTAACAGGGTCCCCTCAGATCCTCAGTGAGCACATAAAGAAAGGGAGGTCATATCCCTTACATCTCTACCAGGTATTAACACCTAACTACTCTCTAGCCAGAGGCAATTCCCTTTATTTCCTTACTCTCGTCGTCTTCTCTTTAGCCCAATCTCCTGACAATAGTTAAAACAAAAAGACCCCCAAAATATCTCTTGCTAAAACAGAGTAGTCCCTAAACTCTCTCATCTTAGACTACTGTCAGGTACACTCAGCAGAGGCAGGATCTTTATCAATCAAGTTAGTGGCTCTCAGAAGCATTATGGGAAATAGTGGAATGGAAATGAGCTGACTATAACCACGATAAAGGAAAGGTATTAGGAATTTCAGCCTCTGCGGTTTTTGATTAATTCCCACCCCTATGCAGAGAGTTCTAAACTACCTCTCTTTTCCACCTGAGGGACAAAGCAGAGGAGTTGGTTTGGTTTAGCTAACTTGCTTGGGTCCGAACATAGGAGTGGTCAGTATTTATGTTTTCAGTTTGGTGTTAGGTTTGAGCAGATTGCAACGGCCAAAGTTAATCACTTTCTGGCAATCTCATTTCTCCTCTGTTCACTTGGGTTCTGTTAAATACTAGGAAAAGACTTTCTCAGAAGCATCAGCCTGTGTTCTGGTATTGGCCTTTCAAGCTTCTGCAATGTCCCTACTGACTTTTGCTGGACCTGATTTGGCCTCACCCTCCACCCTCCCTTTCTCACTCCACTATCCTGCTTGTCCTTGCCCACACCAGCCTCTCCCAGAGTCTGGAGGGTCTTCACAAAATGAAAAACATTTGCATCATGGTTAAGTGAATTAATTTAGGAACCTTGGCAAACAAGAGATTAGACTGACATAGTCACTATCAACTTAAGAAGAGATGGATTGTGAGGAGGAGGAGGAAAGGAGGATGCAAGCACAGGTTAAAAGGACTTTTCCATGTCGAATGCAGCACTAAAACAGGTCTCTTGCCCTCAGAGGAGCCTCTTCCATGAACATTCATTCCGAAAGGAGATTCTGGTCCCCAGGAGGGCACAAAAACACAAAGTCAGAACCAGACCACGGCCCCGCCCCTTTAGATGTGAGCCGGGGTGAGGTGGGTTTCTGGTACATCCCCATTAAAGCAGATATGTTTACAAAATAGGGAGTGCTCTCTAGCAGAGACTGTGTTTTCTCTGGTGTCTAAAAACACCCACAGGCACCCATCCACACTCATGCACACGAACTACGCACAAGCAGGCTCCTGCCAGGAGGCAGCTGGGGGTTCTTCTGGCCTCTAGGTTTAAGCCAAGTAAGAATCTGGTTGTTTTAGGTCTGGGACTTCCTGGGGCTGCATTCCTAGGACATGCTGGGTGCACCTGGATTTGGCTTAATCCAAATCGATGGATATGCAACGACACTGCTTCACACGTGTGACTCTCTTCTTCTTGGTAGGTGGCTGTAGTTCAGGGCAGTTGAGTGTGACCATCATGGTAGTGAATTTCTTGGGCTTGCAGAAGGAGCAGGACTGAAAGGAACCTTCCTCCTTCCGGATGTGCCTGGGGATGTAGAAAGAGTTGCACTGGCCGTAACAGAAGCGGTTGATGATGGTGCGACTGTTGCAGCCTTCCTCGTGGATGGTCTGCTTAAGCGGCTGGGTTTTGCACCAGTCTCGCTTCAGGTATTTGCGCTCCGTCACATGCAGGGCCTCTTGGCTGGACTCCAGCACCTCCTCCCCGGGCATGGCAGTGCCCCGCCCTTGGCCCCGCCCCCGGTTCCTGGAGCCAGGCTGCTGGGGCGACTGAGTCTGCTCTGAGTCATTGTGCTGGGCCTTGTCTGGCGGGGGGATGGCACCTTGGGACCCTTTCTTTTTCCCTTCAGCAGCCGGCAGCAGGGTCCCCAAGAGGAGAAGCAGGGCTCCCACCGTGTAGGCTGTGCGGCTCATACTAAAGAAAGGAAGCACAGAGAGGGGAAGACACAAAACATGGCAAAGTTAATTTAAAAATTAATAATAATAGCACCTAGCATTTAAACGCACCGTTAAACACTTAACGTGAAATATTCCATTTACTTCTCACAGTACCTGTATGAATTAGGTACTATTATCTCCATGACCCAGCCATCAATCCATGGAGTAACTCACCCAGAGTCCCACAGTGACTAAGTCAAGGTTTAAACTCAGCCAGGGCCTAGCTCTTCTCTGCACCTATTCTCACAAGAACTTCTTCCTGGCCTCTGGCACCAACCACATTTGTCTTTGTATTACGTTCACTTATTGAGGGGAACTTATTTTCTATTTTGTTTTACAGCAAGATGAATTAACCTCTCTGCTCAGAGGACTTCATTCCTCCGGAAACCTCCCAGTCTTTTCTCCCCAACTAGCCTGAGGCTTCCTGAGCTGTGAATGCTTATGAGACTTTGCATTTTTATCATATGTGGAAGGAGAGATTCATGGAGACCAGAAGGCATTTGACAGAGGGAAAACAACAAAACAGGAAAGGTCGCGCTCCTGGTGCAGTAACTTGCTATCTGATCTTAAAGATGTCACTTTGTCTCTCAGTAAATCACTCCATTTAAGCAAAGATACCAATACTTCGTCTCCCCAGGTACGCTGTTCAGATCCAACTCGATGTCAATGTGACAGCAATTGGAGAACTAACCAAATGTGTGGCAGTACTGCAGATGGAATGAAAGACAGTAGCGTGTAGGTGACGTGACTCATGAGGCTTCACCTCTCACTTATTCTCATCTTGAAACTGGGCACAGATACTCAATGTATCACTTTGTACCACGATATACATTTTTCTACCTTTTAAATAGTGAAATATGTCATTCACATGTGTCTGTGTATATACAATTTAAAAGGTAGAAAAATGGGCATGATAGAACAAGTATGTGCAAATATTTACATTAATAAATGGCATGGGCATGCTGAATAAATTAGTGGCAATGGATTAGTGGATGGGTCAGAAGCTAGATATGGGTCTGAAAGGGCAGTGATATGTGAACAATGGCAAAAAATAACAAGGAGGTGAGGTGAGGGAAAACCGACAAAAAATAGGAAACCATAGACAGAGAGAGAAAAGAATGAATGAAGTGAAGAATGCAATTCAGAGAAAGGGGAACTCTTCTACAAGTTGAATGTTCAGGGGAGGTAGTAAAGGCAGACAGAAAAGGCGGAAGAAGAGGGAAAGGTGGAGAAGGAGCAGCATATTTTTAAAAAGGAGAGTGCAAGAGAGAAGCCTCAGACTAAAAAGATTTTCCTCCTGGGACAGTGCTTCTTAGACTTGAAAGTGCAGACAATTGGCCGGGCGCAGTGGCTCACGCCTGTAATCCCAGCACTTTGGGAGGCCCAGATGGGCGGCGGATCACGAGGTCAGGAGATCGAGACCATCCTGGCTAACACGGTGAAACCCCATCTCTACTAAAAATACAAAAAAATTAGCCGGGCGTAGTGGCGGGCGCCTGTAGTGCCAGCTACTCGGGAGTCTAAGGCAGGAGAATGGCGTGAACCCGGGAGTCAGAGCTTGCAGTGAGCCGAGATCGCGCCACTGCACTCCAGCCTGGGTGACTGAGCGAGACTCTGTCTCAAAAAAAAGAAGAAAGAAAGAAAGAAAAAAAAAAAGAAAGTGCAGACAATATCTGGGGATATTGTTAAGATGCAGATTATGATTCAGCAGGTCTGCCTTTTTATTAAGCTTTGAGTAGCAAGGCCTATAAGCACTTGCTGCCATGGGGCACGGAGAGAATTATTAAAGTGTGGAGGGATTTTCTTTTCAATGGATGCAGTTTCAAATTCACAGTCTCCCTCCTGCGGCCATCACAACAATCGGACCTGAATCCTGAAGGTTCTCCTGTCCCACTCCTGTGGTTTTCTGAACCTAAGAACACAGCTGTGTAGCAAACATTTTCCTTCTCTCTTTGGAATACCAGTATTACACATAATAACCACTAAGTGCAACTTAACAGTAACATTATTTCTCCCACCAAAACTGGACAGGTTGGTATTATTAGAGCAACTACCTTGCGCAAAGGCAGTGTAGGATCTAGATTTTCTAATGAACAGCACATGGTAAGTAAACACCATTCAACTCTAGGATAATGTCAAATTAAAATAATTAAATATTGAATTTAAGATATCTTTAAATGGCACCATCTTTCCAACATTAACCTAGTACTTTTAGACCATTATAAGTTCGGAGCTGATAATGTGACATTCAGCTTCTGCTCCAACTGTAGGTTTCCCACCTTTGGTCAGTGTATGTTACAACATCCCTGCTCTTTATGCAGAGCTTTTGTTTTACCCCAACAACAAAAAAATTACTTTACTTTGTCTTTTAAAAAAAAGCACTTATACTATACCATGCTGTTTTTGTTACTGTAGCCTTGTAGTATAGTTTGAAGTCAGGTAGCATGATGCTTCCAGCTTTTTTCTTTTTGCTTAGGATCGTCTTGGCTATACCGGCTCTTTTTTCAGTTCCATATGAAATTTAAAGTAGTTTTTTTCTAATTCTGTGAAGGAAGTCAGTGGTAGCTTGATGGGGATGGCATTGAATCTATAAATTGTTTTGGGCAGTATGGCCATTTTCATAATATTGATTCTTCCTATCCATGAGCATGGAATGTTTTTCCATTTGTTTGTGTCCTCTCTTATTACCTTGAGCAGTGGTCTGTAGTTCTCCTTGAAGAGGTCCTTCACATCCCTTGTAAGTTGGATTCCTAGGTATTTTATTCTTTGTAGCACTTGTGAATGGGAGTTCACTCATGATTTGGCTGTTTGTCTATTATTGGTGTATAGGAATGCTTGTGATTTTTGCACATTGATTTTGTATCCTGAGACTTTGCTGAAGTTGCTTATCAGCTTAAGGAGATTTTGGGCTGAGATGATGGGGTTTTCTAAATATACAATCATGTCATCTGCAAACAGAGACAATTTGACTTCCTCTCTTCCTATTTGAATACCCTTTATTTATTTGTCTTGCCTGCTTGCCCTGGCCAGAACTTCCAATAGTATGTTGAATAGGAGTGGTGAGAGAAGTCATCCTTGTGGCGGTTTTCAAAGGGAATGCTTCCAGCTTTTGCCCATTCAGTATGATACTGGCTGTGGGTTTGTCATAAATAACTCTTATTATTTTGAGATATGTTTCATCAATACCTAGTTTATTGAGAGTTCTTAGCATTGAAGGGGTGTTGAATTTTATCGAAGGCCTTTTCTGCATCTATTGAGATAATCATGTGGTTTTTGTCATTGGTTCTGTGTATGTGATTGATTACGTTTATTGATTTGCGTATGTTGAACCAGCCTTGCATCCCAGGGATGAAGCCAACTTGATCATGGCAGGTAAGCTTTTTGATGTGCTGCCAGTATTTTATTGAGGATTTTCACATCAATGTTCATCAGGGATATTGGCCTGAATTTCCTTTATGTTGTGTCTCTGCCAGGTTTTGGTATCAGGATGATGCTGGCCTCATAAAATGAGTTAGGGAGGAGTCCTTCTTTTTCTATTGTTTGGAATAGTTTCAGAAGGAATGGTACTAGCTCCTCTTTGTACCTCTGGTAGACTTCGGCTGTGAATCTGTCTGGTCCTGGGCTTTTTTTGGTTGGTAGGCTACTAATTACTGCCTCAATTTCAGAACTTGCTATTGGTCTATTCAGGGATTCAACTTCTTCCTGGTTTAGTCTTGGGAGGGTGTATGCGTTCAGGAATGTATCCATTTCTTCCCAATTTTCTAGTTTATTTGCGTAGAGGTGTTTATAGTATTCTCTGATGGTAGTTTGTATTTCTGTGGGATCAGTGGTGATATCCCCTTTATCACTTTTTATTGTGTCTATTGTCTATTTGATTCTTCTCTCTTTTCTCCTTTATTAGTTTGGCTAGCAGTCTATTTCATTAATCTTTTCAAAAAAAAAAAAACAGCTCCTGGATTCATTGATTTTTTGAAGGGTTTTTTGTGTCTCTATCTCCTTCAGTTCTGCTCTGATCTTAGTTATTTCTTGTCTTCTGCTAGCTTTTGAATTTGTTTGCTCTTGTTTCTCTAGTTCTTTTAATTGTGATATTAGGGTGTCGATTTTAGATCTGTCCCGCTTTCTCCTGTGGGCATTTAGTGCTATCAATTTCCCTCTAAACACTGCTTTAGCTGTGTCCCAGAGATTCTGGTATATTGTGTCTTTGTTCTCATTTCTTTCAAAGAACCTATTTATTTCTGCCTTAATTTTGTTATTTACCCAGTAGTCATTCAGGAGCAGGTTGTTCAGTTTCCATGCAGTTGTGTGGTTTTCAGTAAGTTTCTTAATCCTGAGTTCTAATTTGATTGCACTGGGGTCTGACAGACTGTTAGGATTTCTGTTTTTTGCATTTGCTGAGGAGTGTTTTACTTCTAATTATGTGGTCATTTTAGAATAAGTGTGATGCGATACTGAGAAGAATGTATATTCTGTTGATTTGGGGTGGAGAGTTCTATAGATGTCTATGAAAAAACTACTTTAAATTTCATATAGAACCAAAAAAGAGCCCATATAGCCAAGACAATCCTAAGCAAAAAGAACAAAGCATCACGCTACCTGACTTCAAACTGTACTACAAGGCTACAGTAACCAAAACAGCACGGTACTGGTATCAAAGCAGATATACAGACCAATGGAACAGAACAGAGGCCTCAGAAATAACACCACACATCTACAACCGTCTGATCTTTGACAAACCTGACAAAAACAAGCAATGGGGAAAGGATTCCCTATTTAATAAATAACGTTGGGAAAACTGGCTAGCCATACGCAGAAAACTGAAACTGGACCCTTTCCTTACACCTTATACAAAAATTAATTCAAGATGGATTAAAGACTTAAATGTAAGACCTAAAACCATAAAAATCCTAGAAGAAAACCAGGGCAATACAATTCAGGACATAGGCATGGGCAAAGACTTCATGACTAAAACACCAAAAGCAATGGCAACAAAAGCCAAAACTGACAAATTGGATCTAATTAAACTAAACAGCTTCTGCATGGCAAAAGAAACTACCATCAGAGTGAACAGGCAACCTACAGAATGGGAGAAAATTTTTGCAGTCTATCCATCTGACAAAGGGCTAATATCCAGAATCTACCAGGAACTCAAACAAATTTACAAGAAAAAAGCAAACAACCCCATCAAAAAGTGGGCAAAGGATATGAACAGACATTTCTCAAAAGAAGACATTTATGGGGCCAGCAAACATATGAGAAAAAGCTCATCATCGGTGGTCATTAGAGAAATGCAAATCAAAACCACAATGAGATACCATTTCACGCCAGTTAGAATGGCCGTCATTAAAGAGTCAGGAAACAACAGATGTTGGAGAGGATGTGGAGAAATAGGAATGCTTTTACACTGTTGGTGGGAGTGTAAATTAGTTCAACCGTTGTGGAAGACAGTGTGGCAATTCCTCAAGGATCTAGAACCAGAAATACCATTTGACCCAGGAATCCTATTACTGGGTATAGACCTAAAGGATTATAAATCATTCTAATATAAAGACACATATACACATGTTTATCGCAGTACTAGTCATAATAGCAAAGACTTGGAGCCAACCCAAGTGCTCATCAATGATAGACTGGATAAAGCAAATGTGGCACATATACACCATGGAATACTATGCAGCCATAAAAAGGATGAGTTCATGTCCTTTGCAGGGACGTGGATGAAGCCAAAAACCATCATTCTCAGCAAACTAACACAGGAACAGAAAACCAAACACCGCATGCTCTCACTCATAAGTGGGAGTTGAACAATGAGAACACATGGACACAGGGAGGGGAACATCAAACACTGGGGCCTGTCGAGGGGTGGGGGGCTAGGGAAGGGGTAGCATTAGGAGAAATACCTAATGTAGATGATGGGTTGATGGGTGCAGCAAACCACCATGGCACGTGTATACCTATGTAACAAACCTGCACATTCTGCACATGTATCCCAGAACTTAAAGTATTATAAAAAGAAAAAGAAAAAAAAAAAGCACTTATGAGAAACGCCCAGTTATAATACAGGACTGAATTTTTCCAGAGACTAGGATAAGACAGTGTGGCAATTTCTCAAGGAGCCTTCTCCTGGTCTCAAAATATAGTGTGAATTTGAGAAGGTTTCACGAATTTCTGGTATTCAAGTTGGACGAAGATCTAAAATAAAACACAATTCAGTTGCTCCCCATTTCAGAGGAGGAGTACATGGGATGGCCCCAGGCCTATGCCCCAGTCTTCCTCCATACCTCCTGAAAATGGCCTCCAGACAAATTCACCCCTCCTAGACCAGGACCCTCTGAGTTTGTCATCACAGAGGCCAATCTGAGACTAACTGGGAATGTATGTTCACTGCATAGGACAAGTTTACCTCATAAGGCCGATTCCATAAACATCTATCCGAAAAATGCAATTTTATTTCTCTGAACCAACTTAAGGCTTTCTTTATACTCAACTTTTCCTTCTTGGCATTTTCACATCTGTTATTGAGTAAATATCTAGTCTGACAGTTGATGAGGGCTTATTCATCACCTTACCCTCAGTGCCTGGCACAAGGCAGGTGCTTATAAAAATTTGGTAAATGCATGATTATTATGAACCTCATTGATTTACAGAGGTACCATTCTTCGCATTTTAAAATGCCTTCACCAGTGCCCATGAGCAGAAGAGCCAATTGCTATCCTTTGGATGTCTAACTCTCAGTGTGGCAAATTCCTTCCATCCTAGAGAGCTTCCTAAGACTTGTCTTTCTTTTTCTTGGAAAACTCCAAATGTCCCTGACTTTTTACCTGTTCTCATATGGAATGCTATGGGTTTCATTTTCTAATTGAAGCCATTGAAATTAATACTATCGCAGAAGCCAACAGCAGAGCTATAAATTCAAAATTAGTCAACTGTGGTTTTCAGTTTTAATTTGGACAGACTTTCTGTTTCTATGTGAGTGTGCCTACCTTCTAAGCCAAAGGGTCTAGAGTGACAGACAGGCTTTTTTTTTTTTTAAAGAAAAGTACATTTTCCTCAAAATAAGATTTATTAGCTATGGAAAGTGAAATGTTTTTTCATTTTTTAAAAACCTATTCTTCAAAAATCTTTAGTACTTATTGTAAGATGTCTGAGTTGCCAACCTTTGTTTATTCAGAGAGAAGTAAACACCAACTTCAAGAATGTCAATCGAGACCTCAGCTTCTCAGAGAACAGCAGTGCTCTGAGGCACACTAGCTGCTCTACATGAGTGACAGTAAGCAGGGTAAGAACTATAATTCATAGTGGAACCAGGGCTCTGCCACATCCTTGTCAATCACTCAAGCTCTCCCCACCCCCAGACTGCTCTTGATTCTTCAGTGAAGGAAATAGTAGTGATGTGCACTTGAAATCCCAGTTGTAGTATCACCAAATAATGTGCACTTTGTAAATATCAGAGATGTAGAGGAAATGCAGAAGATGTACATTTCTTGAGGACAATTCTTTTCCACAGCAACATGTAGAAGGGTGTCCCATAGTAAAAATTCAATCCATAGCTCATCCAGACTTAGGTTCCTATGACATCATTCATGCGCCGTCATTAGCTGCAAACACTTTATGGTAATTTCCACCACTTATGAAATGGCCTACTCATATCATTAAATTAAATTAAGCTGCATCTCATAGACTCAGGGTGCATCAAGATACCTGACATCTCCGTTGATTCTTTTTTGCAGACAGTATATCTTCTTTTCAAACTCTGCCTCAACTTCCCATCAATGCAGTTCAGCTTCTTCAAGAAATGTGATGTTATTCTCATCATGAGTTTTCTTTGCAACTGTCCACCAGCAAGTCTCACCCCATCTCCACCTTTTTTTCTCTTTGCCTCTATCCTCTCTTTCATTCCACTTGTCCCAGAGGACACATACTCTCAAAGCAGGTCCTCTCTACAGCATGCTTTCCTTCCAGTTTCCCTTAGGGATCAAGAGTAAACATCTACAAGCAAGGTAAGCCATATTAACCACCTCTATCCTGTGCAGGTCATGGCAATGTATTCCAATTTTCACAAAGCCTCTAGGAACACAATATTCTAATACTGAGGACTGAGAAATAAAAATGGTATATGTATGACCTGTTCCCAGTGTTCATGATGTCTTTGGGAAAGTTTAAGCCAGCTCTTTCCATCCCTCTTCTTGCTGTATTTCTCATTTTAGCTAAGCAACCTGCTCATAATCAGTGAAAGGGAGTTTTGAGTAGGAATTACAGTGAAAGCCAAATGTCTGTGCATGGACTTCTGGTCAGTTCCTCCTGATGAATCAAGCTTTAGAAAGACATTCAATAGGCATGACATCAAATTATTCTCTCAGCATAAGAAATAGTGGAAGTGACTACAAATGCTCTAAGTGCAGGCCAGGTTTTAGAAAGATCTATTCCTTTTTCTCAGGTCTAAATCTTTGGGAAAACTATAGCTTATTTTTAATTTGATCTTTAACTTTTAAGAAGATAATTGTGTTGACTTTCTTTTTCAGACAAGTTGCACCAAGGAGATAAGAAGAATCCCTTGTTGGCACACAGGTAGAGGATAAAGTCTCATCCCCTTTGTGTTGTAAGAACCCTAAACAGCCTCTCAAGTCTGAAGACCAGGTCGGCTAAATCAGGCTGGGGCCCAACATTGCATAGGACAGGGAGGAGACCACCTGGTTGTGAAATATCTCAGGAGCTCTATGTTTGTCAAAGATTTTCTTAGGAAAGTTAATGACTATGTACAATTCTTGAGGTCAACAAGAAACGAGTTAGAAAGTAATAAATTATTAAATGTTCACTGAGCAGCACTGCTGAGAGACGGCCAAGTTACAGGTTCTGTTCTGTAGTGAAAGATGTGTTAGTCACTGCGTAGTGTGGTATTCAGGATTTTTTTTTTTAAGAGATGTCACCCAGGCTGGAGTGCACTGGCACGATATCAGCTCACTGCAACCTCCGCCTCCTGGGCTCAAGTGATTCTCCTGCCTCAGCCTCCCAAGTAGCTGAGATTATAGGCGCCTGCCACCACACCCAGCTAATTTTTGTATTTTTAGTAGAGACGGGATTTCAGTGTGTTGGCCAGGCTGGTCTCAAACTCCTGACCTCGTGATCCGCCTGCCTCAGTCTCCGAAAGTGCTTAGGATTACAAGCGTGAGCCACCTCACCCGGCCAGGATTCAGGATTTAATTTCAGAACTGCCCTGTGATATATCCTGGTTCTGTATAACATTGCTACTTTTCCTAACACCATTACTAATAATAAGAGCTACCTTTTATTTTGAAGCCCTTACTGTGCCAGGCATTATGCTGATTTCTGACCCAATTTTATCATTTATTTTTCATAACAAAATATGAGGTAGATAATATCATCTTCCTTTTACCAATCAGGGAATCTACACTCAGAAAAGTTGGAAATTTGTCCAAGGTCACACAGCTCATAAGTGGGAAAGCCAGCATTTTTTTGTTTGTTTGTTTTGTTTTGTTTTTTTGACGGAGTTTTCACTCGTGTTGCCCAGGCTGGAATGCAATGGCGCTATCTGGGCTCACCACAACCTCCGCCTCCCGGTTTCAAGCAATTCTCCTGCCTCAGCCTCCCAAGTAGCTGGGATTGCAGGCATGCACCACCATGCCTGGCTAATTTTGTGTTTTTAGTAGAGACGGGATTTTTCCATGTTGGTCAGGCTGGTGTCGAACTCCCGACCTCAGGTGATCCGTCCTCCTTGGCCTCCCAAAGTGCTGGGATTACCGGTGTGAGCCACTGTGCCCAGCCCAGCCAGCAGTTTAAACCCAATTCTATCTAGCCCCAAACACAGGTCCTTAACCACTGTCCTATTGACACCCAGTGCTGTCCTTAACAGTGGGTCAATGGATATGTTTTCTAATGCAATACAATTTGAAGAGTGCTATAAATAAAATAATTATCTATTTTGTATCTTCATGTTCACATGTGAATAAAAAGATTTCTCTTGTCCCAGGAATTCCTGTTGTACTTTGAATTTCTAAGAGCATATGTTAAAACTAAAGAAAATTCCTTGCAGATCGAAGACACGGGCTGGTAGCACTTGCCTGATGGTTGCCTTTTGGTTAGAGGCTGCAGTCACCTCCCCTAACCACTGTCCCCCACCTGCCTTTCCTTTACATAAAAGGTTTATATTTCCTGGCTGTCCTTTACTCTCTGTTGTGGAACATGTTCCACAGCTTTGCTGTCAACAAGCAGTTCTTGGGGGAGGTGTCTGCGGCATGAAATTTCTTTGCATTTTATCACTTTTAATACTTGACCATTCAGACTGAAGGCATCTTCGGCTTAGTTTCAAAGACAGGGTAGGCAGCCCTCATTCAGAGATGTAGGACATAAAAGGTTTTTATCCTTCCCTGTGTAACTACTCACATAAAGACCGCATTAGCCAACCTGGATTTCCTACAGAGCGTGGGTTACCAAAACATTTCACTAAAAATGAACTTTTAAGAAAATAGGAAACCTGTGAAATTACAAAGTTTACAAAAGACTCTAATTCCTACAATGACCTGGAGGTTAAACACACACACACAGACACACACACACACACGCACACATACTGCCACTACCCTGCTAAAAATCCCTGAAATAGTTAATATTAACAATTTGACAGTGCCATTTATCCAGAGATAGTAATCAAATCACCTACTGTTATAGACTTGGCTTGGGGGGCAGTGAGAATATATAGTTTTCTTAAGATCTTTCCCTCCTTGCTTTGAAAAGTACATCCCCCCCTCAAGACTCTCATGCTCCCCCTCCTTCCAAAAAAAGAGAAAAGGGGAGGGGGAAGCCCTAGGGATGAAAGAGGACTCCTCACCCTAGAATGGGGTTATCTTAACCTCTTCTACGCTATTTATTTAACTTGTGTGTACAGCCAGAAGGAAGCCACTACTCTGGGGTCCCTGGGACAGCTTAAAACCCTAGTGACCCACTTAACACAATAGATTGTTTTAATCAGTTCGTGTCCTGGCACCATCTCGAAGGGGAACATAAACAGACGCGCACACCGCTCAGATTTGCTCTTTCCAGCAGGAGATCCAATTACCTATCGGTGGTCACCTCTCTGCCCTCGGACCGTTTAAGAGGGGGATTTTAACCCCTAACGCTGAGGCTGTATTTCTGTCTATAAGAGCCGAGATTCGGAGTCGGTCGAGGAGGGGAAGGCAGTAGACGGATTCGACCCGGGAATGCATTAGGGACAGCTCCGGGCGCGCAGGAATTTCTTCACAGCAGAGGCTGGTCACCTGCCGTCCGTCCCTCCCCGCCTGGCCCGGTGACCGTCGCCAGAGCCTGGCGCAGGCAAATAAACGCCAAGCTGGGGCACCCCCAAGGAGGAGCTGCGATCCGAAGGCAATGCCAAGCGAGAGCGGTGGCGCGTCTGTTCTTCCGGAGTCTGTAGTCTACAAATAACTCCGGCCAGCAAGGAGGTGACAGCCCCAATATACCTCCCACTCCCCTGCTATGGCCTTGCTCCGCAAGCTGTGGAGGGGCCAGCGGAGCCAGCCAGGCAGCGAGAGAGAACGAAAGACGCCCAGCTCGTTGCAGCCGCCAACCCGCCTCAGCCGCCAGTCCCTAGTCCTCAGGAGCTAGTGAGGCGCTGCAAGGCGAGGCTGGGGCCTCTAGAACACAGTTTAAGGGGTGCGCGCGGAAGTGGGAACCAGCCGGTGGCCGCTGCCCGGCGCCAGAACGTCTACCATTCAGCTCGGGCGTGCGCGGGGCGGGGAAGAGGCTGGAGTAGAGAAGCGAGCGCCCGCGAGTGCGTGGCCGGTCCGCGAGCGCGTGTGGTGTCTGCCTTGTGAGCACTGCGGGTTCGCTGGACCCCGCGGCCAGGGCCGCGCCCCGCACCGCAGCTGTCGGATTACCCACCGTTCGGTTTTCCGCTGTGGCTGAACACAGCGGCTCTGCCCTTGCCAGTCTCCATCTCACCTCGGGGATCGGCAAATGCACACATCATGGATTCTCCGGATGCTCCAACCCGCGGACTCCAATGGGCGCCCCAAGACGCCCCCAGACCCAGCGCGGCGCCCCAAGCACATGGGACCCTCTCAAGGCAACTCGCCGCGCAGTCAGCGGCCGACTAGCAGGTCCGGATGCTCCTGCGCTCTGGCGGCCTGGACTTCGCGCCCTCGCTAAGCGGGCGCGTCTGCCAGGCGCTGCTGCCACCAGCACCAGGAGCGTGTTCGGGGGCCTCCGGGAGGTGGAAACGGGATGTGGGGGTCATCCTGCCCGCTCCTGACAACTTTTTTTCCTACGTTTCCCTGCAGACCCAGAGCAGCGAGGTCACGGTGTCCGCGGCCTCAGCAGGAAGGACCCCGCGATGGTTCTTCACAATTCACCCCCGCGAACAACGCACCCGAGCCTGCGCGCACGGAGGGCTGCCGCGCGTGGAACTGAGCGGGTCCTGGGTTGGTTTGCGGCCCTCTTCCCTCCGCCCACTCACATCCCTGCCGGGTGCGTCCGCGCTCACCTGTCAGTGCGGCGGGTCCTCGGGGCCTGCGCTTTCGACGCGTGGCGCTGAGTGCGGCCGCGGCCAGAGCCGCCGGGGCTCGGCGCGGGGTCAGCGGGACCGAGAGTGACGCGGCGGCCGTGCACTGGGTCGCCCGGTCCGCGGAAGGCGCACCGAGTGCCAGGCATCGCGCCGTCTCCCGTTTAAATGCCGGCGGCAGAGCGCGGCGCCCGGGGCCGCGCCTCTCCATTGGCCAGGCGCCGCCGCCGCCGCCAGACCCGCTATCCGCCCCCTTTCCCGGTACTGCCCCCGCCCCCCGCACCCCTCCTGCTTCCCCGCGGGGTCCCCTCTCCGCCCGCCTCGCCTCTTTGTCTGCTCCCCCCGCCCGGGCCGGCTGGGAGAGGTCACCCCAGGGAACCGCGCCTGGAATGCACAGCAAATCACATTTTCCGCTCCCGTTGGAGAGGGAAGAGCGGGAGGAAATCCCCCCGGCTGGCGGCCCCTCATTCCTTCTCTGCCCCAGGTCTGGGCTTTCCCTGTCGGCCGCCCGGCATCGCCTGCGTTGGTCCCGCGCTCAGTAGCGGAGACTGCGCTGGGAAGAGCGAGATCTCCGTGGGATCGTGCCAGATTCGGCCATTCTTCCCCTCTGGAGGGAACGGGACTGCGGGATGCTCTGGTCGAGCGGCCGTCGTGGCTCCCCGGCGGCCCCGCCCGAGGCCCCCAACTTCGAGGGCGCTGACCCCGGCGCCCCCGTTAACCTGGCGGGCTCGCTGGCCGCCAGCAGGAGCCTGTCGCCAACATGACACCCTCCTCTCCTCGCCCGCCAAGGGTTCTTTCAGCCCAGATGCCGGCGGCCTCCCCTGTGAGTGTACAGAGGGGAGTCACGGGAGGAGAATAAAACTAAATGACCGTCAAAAGTCAAGGCTTCTGTTCCTAAATTATCTTAAGAGACAGAGAGAAAACAGCCACTGGGCGAGAGGGGTTTTCTGTAGCATATCAAAGACGAATAAGTCAGGAAAATAAAACGTTAGATGAGGAAGTAACTTCCCAGAAATTTAGGACAAAAACCTACCGACGTGTAAAACCAATGTCACATTCCGGATACCAAGTACATAAATAGTTTTCGAAAGATGAGCGAACACTTTCATTTGTTCTCTTAGCCTGAAAAATTGGTTCCTCAAAGAGGCCGTAAGTTTTGTGTGTTGAAGCTAAAGTCCGTGCAAAAATTAACACGTCTGCAAGATCTGCAGACCAGCTCCATCAGCCACGTCAAATGAAGACTTTGAAAAAGATTTGCTACAGAAGGAAATATGAAGGTGTCTGTATTGTCTAACGCGAAATAAACAAAACAATGAAATCCATCAAAAGATACTTACGAAACACCCGTAATTTAAGTACTTGACTAGGAAAACAAAACCAGACCAGAAAACAGCCTATTTTTTTTTTCTCTTTAGTCCGGCGTTAGGGGGAAGAAGCAAGAAACATCTACTAGATGCTGTTAGGAACGTGAAATGGATATTTTTAAATAAATGAAGCAAGAAGGACGTCTGCATTAGTATCCTTAAAATCTTAGTCCTCTCAATGTTTTGTTTGTGCAGATGGCAGTTTCTACACATGAACTCGAGGCTGCACTTTACAATTCTCAATCAGTTGTTGTTAAGTCATGCAGTGAGCCACAGTTTGTAGTTGCCTACAGAATGGGAGCATTGAACCAGCTTGAAGACCTGTCTTGCTCACGTGGGCTCCTGGAGAGATAGGTAATCAGAAATACACAAAATACTTAGGCGATGACCAGTTCAGTCGAAGCCCACCACCAAGCTGTATTGGAGCCAGCTGTTCTCCCAACGTGCAAACTGCTGTACTTCTCCCCACAAAAGGGAGCATATTTTACAAATTCATTAAGTCCTCCTCATCTAAAATAAAAGCTTTAGTCACTTCTTTTTTTCCCAAGACTTATATACTGCCCCAAATCAAAATACAAAGAAGCTGAAATTACCTCCCAAAATGGAAGTGATTTTTTTTTTTGGAGCCCTGACACTGTGGTTTTCTCTATCTCCATGTATCAAATCATGATGACTCTTCCTCATGCAGTTTCTCAGGCCATATTTTTTATAATAGAGCCCCCACCTCCTCCCCACAACACACGCCCCCTCTCTGTATCCCAAAGAGATAGAGAGGGCTATGCATCACTGCATCATTTTTCTTCATTCTCATTTCTCTCTCCCTTCTCCCTGGCATTATAGTATTTCCTGCCACTAGAATGTAAGGTTCATAAGGGCAGGGATTTTGTCTAGGTCACTTTGATTACATGAAGCACATAGAATATAGATTGTCTAACACAGCACTCAGATTCAATAAATAGTTGTGGATTGAGAATGTTGAGCACATTCCCACTAAGATTGTCAGCTGAACCAAATGCTGAGGGTATAACCATCGTGGATAGGATAAACACAGGCCCTCACCTCAAAGAATTTATAGTCTAGTATGTTTGTAAATATTTATATAGAAACACAAGTTTTTTGCCCAATATTTGTGTTTCCACAGCTCCTAACAAGTTCTTGCAAACCATTGTCCAATCAGGATGAAGGCATAAGGATAAAAACTCCCTAGACCGCTCTAAACATGGTTACATAACTAAAACCTGCTTTTAGTAAGGGGAGAAGAAGTAGAATGACTCGATGTAGTCATGCCTAAACCATGATGCCTAAACCACGATCACTAAATGATTAATTTTATTTAATGAAAGTACTTTCAAACTACTTTGAGGTTGTGAGAAGAGTAGATTCTGCTCAGCCACTGGTTCGTAAAAGTAAAGTCCATTTCCTCTTTTTTTGCCCACCTGTGTTTGGAATGTGCTAGCCTCTCTGTAACCCCAAGAAGCTAAAAGAGGGCTACTCCCCAGGTTTGGAGAATAACTTTGAAGACCTTTAGAGAAGAGTTTTTACTTAGATCTGCAAAAGCTATTTACAGCTGTTCATCCAATTGCAGAGACTACGTATGCTGTCTTGCATAGGATTAAAAAAGAATAAAGCCCTTTACACAGTTGGAACTGACCTTGTATGCCCTTTCTAAAGAAAAAAAGTATTAACCTATAAACTTGATAATGATTAAGTAAAAACATATTTACAAGAGTCAAATACCAGTTAAATGGATCATATTCAGAATGAATTTTTCTTATAAGTTAGTAAGAAAAAAATCCCCACAAATAACCCAATAGGAAAAAAAAATTGCACATGGCCAAAGCACATGGGCAGGTAATTCACAAAAAAGAAACCTGGACAGCCAGTAAATATAAAAAGATGCAACATTACACCAGTAAATCAGAGAAATATAAACTGAAATGAGAAGATACTGTTGCTTATCTACAAAGTTACCAAAGATCTAAAAGTCTGACAATATCCAGCAATGGAAAAGGTAGAGAGAAGCAAGCAAGCAAATGCATTGCTAGTGAGAGGGTAAATTAGTACCATCATTTCAGAAAGTAATTTGTCAATTTGCATTAATATTAAACATGCACTTAGTATGCCACCCAGACATTACACTTCTAGGTAAACACCTTAGAAAAATTTGAACGTGTGTATGAGGACTAGAAACTTGTATAAGCATGTTTATCAAGGTATTGTTTGTAACAATCTTAATGTCCATCAACAAATATAGGAGAAGGCATAAGAAATTATTTTATTCATATGGCAAAATGCTACATAGCTAATAAAAGAAATTGATTAGATTTTTATATTTTAACATAGAGCTCAAAACATAGAGATGCTTTTTTTAAAAAAAAAAAGGAAGCTGCAGAATGATATAAGTAGTATGATACCATTATGTGTATTTTATAGTAAACATATAAAAATAGCATAAATTGCTTGTGAAACATACGGTCATGTGCATGGATAAATAGTGACTTGGAATCCATACCTTTAATGATGTTCACCAGAATGAGGAGGGGAGGAGGTGGATCAGGCATGGACAACAAAAGAAACTTCAACATTACAAACCATTTAAAAATCTTATGTCTTAAAAAAAATCTTGAAAGAAATATGACAAAATGTGGACAATTTGAATTTCTGGGTGATGGGTACATGGATGTGTTTGCTAGATAACTCTCTCTACATGTTGATAATGTTTTAAACCCTCAAATTTAAAACAAATGTGATGTTTCTATTATGATTTCAAGAGTGATTTTGAGCATCATTTGTAAACTGAACATTTTTGCTTCCCATGTGTTCTTTGTAACAAGCTCCAATCTGAGTAGGCATGCTTTCAGAATGCAAACAAGCCCTTATGTAAGTGTGTATGTCTGCTGACCTGTCTGAGGTGTATGCCTAACCAGTTTCCTGTGTATGGAAAATGCACGTGCATGTGAAAATTCTGGACAATGTTGCCAAATACAGGTATATGGAATGAGTTATTCAGGACCATTGTAATACAATTCTTGCCCTATTTCATGCACATATTTATTGCATATACTCCACGTGCAGTGCAGTATCAAAAGGTGAAGGCTTCAAACTATGAACATAATCCTTCACAGTCAATAGTTCTGGCACAGTGGGAAAAAGCACGGAACTCGGAGTCAGGAAAGTCAGAGTAAATTCCTGATACTTCCCCTTAGAAGCTGAATGTCTCAATTAGGTATTTAAAGCCTCTGGGCTGAAATTCAACCATCTGTATTATAGGAATGGTGATAACACCCACTTCTGGGTAGATGCTGGAATTAAGTAAAACAAGCTCTGTGAAAGTGCCAGGCACCTAATAAACATCAGTGTCTGCATAGATACTAGAGTTCAACTGGGAGCTAACACAATAAAACAGTAAGTCTAATATCAGCGTCTGCTGGGTCTTATGTATCTTTTTTTTTTTTTTTTTTGAGGCGGAGTCTTGCTCTGTCGCCGAGGCTGGACTGCAGTGGCGCGATCTCGGCTCACTGCAAGCTCCGCCTCCCGGGTTCACGCCATTCTCCTGCCTCAGCCTCCCGAGTAGCTGGGACTACAGGCGCCCGCCACCACGCCCGGCCAATTTTTTGTGTTTTTAGTAGACACGGGGTTTCACCGTGTTAGCCAGGATGGTCTTGATCTCCTGACCTCGTGATCCACCCACCTCGGCCTCCCAAAGTCCTGGGATTACAGGCGTGAGCCACCGCGCCCGACCGGGTCTTATGTATCTTTATATTCACTCTGGGTAACGCAGGGGTGGCACACGGCAAATGCTTGACAAAGCTATGAAATGAGTACTTGCACAGGGAGAAGGAAGGAAGGGAGGAAGAGAGGAGAAGAAAATAAGGGGAAAAGAAAGAGATAGAGGAAGAGATAAAGAGAGGGATGGAGGGAGGAAGGAAGGAAAGAAGGGAGAGAAAGGGAAGGAGGAAGACAGGAAAGAAAATGAGTGATACCTTCCAGTAAATGGCACAACAACTTTTTTTTTTTTTTTTTTTTTTTTTTTGTAAAACCAGTAAACAGTTTTACCAAACACTTCTGGCTCTTTTTTGCCTGCACTACAAGAATCATGCTAACCTAAAGTTACCCTTCTCAGAATGGTTCCACTGCAGTGATAGAAGCTAAGAATAAGAGACCAGAAGATGCCCAAATGTGTAGTCAGACAGGCTGAAACTCCCATCCAAGAGACTGGGGAGTGAAACAAGACAGAAAGACAGAGACAGCAATGTATTTCTTAGCCAAAATTCACATACCCAGTGCCTAAATGTAACAGAGTCTGTGTGAAACAAGGCTCCTTCCTTTGTCTGCAGACAGGGTAACCTGTTACGTTTGAAAGGTTTATACCGAATGTATTTGTTTTGAGCTCTTTGATGTGACCTCACTCTTGGGAAAAAAATGTGATGGGACTTTATTCAGTTAATAATTTTGTGTTTTCCCTTATAGCTTGTGTTCTTCATTTTCTAAATTTTTTTTGGTGGAGGGTTTCTCTTTGAAAAAAGCTCATTTTAATGCAATTTTAAAATGCTAGTGCCTTGGGGAAGATCTGTTGAAAGTACCTATTAAACTGAAGGTTGCAAGGTTTTACCCCGCTGTCTCTGGCTATCCTGCTCCTCACTTTTTTTTTTTTTTTTTGACTTTTGGCTTATTTAGTCCCTTCCCAGTCTTTGTTTCCTTGATGTCTCTGCTATTTACTAGAAGTCATTTTAGGATTCACGTTTTCACTCTTGTGTCCTTTTTTGAAGGCATGGAAGTATACGTGTGATTTTGCTCTTGCTGCCGCTCTCCTAATATGTCACTTGGACTGATTCATTACATCTTATAAAATATTTTATAACATGAAGTTATTGTAAAAATATTACAAACTCATCACAGAAAACTTGGAAATAGAGAAAAATACAAAGAAAATAAAAGTATGCCGTAATCTCACAATCCCCAAATAACCACTGTTTGCTCACACACACTGTATATATATGTACATATATGGATTTCCTTCTAATTATATAGTGTGTGTATATGTGTGTGTGCATGTGTATGTGTGTGTGTGCATGTGTATGTGAGAGAAAGAGAGAGAGAGAGAGAAGATGCTGTATATAATAAGATGCTTTATTTAACTTTTAAATTTAACCTAATATTTTGATTATTTTTGCGGACATTATTAAAATTCTTCAAAAATATCAGTTTAAGAGTAGTATAATATTCTCTTGTATGAATAACATACTATAACACTTTATTTTTTCTTATAGGATTAACAATGTGTGTGTGTATGTGTGTGTGTG
Organism: Homo sapiens; assembly: GCF_000001405.40. NCBI lineage: Eukaryota > Metazoa > Chordata > Mammalia > Primates > Hominidae > Homo > Homo sapiens. Next base: position 4,926,070 of record NT_187660.1, on the reverse strand, counting down.
TGTGTGTATACATACATTTCTTAAAGTGGCCTTTTATTAATTACTTAATGTGTACCAAACACGAGGCTTTATATGCATTATCTAATTTAATTACCTTAACACTCTTACGAAATTGCTACTATTGTTTGTTCTGTTTTAAAGATGAGAAAGCTGATGTCTAGAGAGGTTGTATGACTGTCTCAAGGGCACACAGCTATATGAAGCAGTCACAGCTGCTGACCCCTGAGCCCCATACACTGAGCTTCTACCCTCTATACTGTGAACAAGAGTCTACACCATACACTGTTAGAACTGGTATTCAAATACCACTATTTTTTCATGAAAGAAAACTATTCCTAAGTGCGAAATGACTTAAATAATTTGATAGTTGGTATTGTCAAAACATTTGGTTGTGTAAAATATGAACACATATATGAGGAATATGGGTTTCGATATCACATGAGTTTACTCATAAAGAATGCTGAACACATGGCCATTGAAAACCCATATGCCACCGGGCACAGTGGCTCACGCCTGTAATCCCAGCACTTTGGGAGGCCAAGGCAGGTGGATCACGAGGTCAGGAGATCGAGACCATCCTGGCTAACACGGTGAAACCCCGTCTCTACTAAAAATACAAAAAATTAGCTGGGCGTGGTGGCGGGCGCCTGTAGTCCCAGCTACTCGGGAGGCTGAGGCAGGAGAATGGCATGAAGCCGGGAGGTGGAGTTTGCAGTGAGCCGAGATTGCACCACTGCGCTCCAGCCTGGGTGACAGAACGAGACTCCATCTCAAAAAAAAAAAAGAAAAAAAAAAAAAAGAAAAAAAAAAGAAAAAATGAAAACCCATATGGCCTGTCTTGAGGTTTCCTACAAAAACCAAAGCCTGCCTTATTGCCATTAGTTATTAATGACTGTATCAGTCTCTCTCTGTCTATCTCTCTCTCTCTCTGTCTGTCTGTCTGTCTCTCTCTCTCTCTCTCTCTATATATATATATATATATTTTTTTTTTTTTGAGAGGGAGCCTCACTCTGTCACCCAGGCTGGAGTGTATTGGCACAATCTCAGCTCACTGCAACCTCTGCCTCCTTGGTTCAAGCGATTCTCCTGCCTTAGCCTCCTGAGTAGCTGGGACTACAGGCACTCGCCACCACGCCCTGCTAATTTTTTTTTGGTAGTTTTAGTGGAGACAAGGTTTTGCCATGTTGACCGCGGCTTGTCTCAAACTCCTGACCTCAAGAGATCCGCCTGCCTCAACCACCCAAAGTGCTGGAATTACAGGCATGAGCCCCTGCACCTAACCTGTATCAGTCTACCTTTAAAATTAGGAGCTTATAAGTAAGTTCAGTATTTTGGGCTTCTTCTCAAGGTAGAGAAGGATGGAGCTAAAGGTGGAAAGCAAATTCAATACCTGCTTTCCCTTCTAAAGATCAATGTGAACTTGTACACCAATTTGCACTTGGCTCACAAAGGGTCCAAATTTAAATCTCTTTTCAATCTTGGTTCCCTCTCCACTCTTCCCTTCGTAGCGTAATAGGTTGGATCATCTGGAATACGATTTCTCATTCCTTTTTAAAAGAAAGATGAAAAATGTAAACTGTGGGCTCCTCACTGCTTATGTCAGAGCAATACATGTGTGCTTTATATAAACTAACCATTTGTCTATTAATGTTTGCAAAGAACTCCGTAGACATGAGGCATTTGGGACACACTCTCTGGAGAAATGTGGTGCCTTTGGAGAGAGGATCAGAGAAGGAAGAAACCAATAGTAAGAGAAATTCCTTTATATGCACATGTATAATAAAATGTGAAAGAAAATCTACCAGTTGAGCATCGAGCTGCATTTTCCCTTAGGTTGAAAGTTAGCCAGTAGGAAGGAAACCTTTTCAAGGAGACTAGGTAACCTTGCCTGCAGTGTTTGTTTCTACACTCTGTTTTACTTGTTCGTGTGACAGAGAAAGAAAACAAAGCTGATGGACTTTGGACTGGACAATGTAGCAGTGTGTCCCCAGATACCAGCTTCCAGATGATCTCTCTTGGGTCTCCCAGATGGAGCAGAGGGTTTCTGGTGACTCTGGTCACTGCATCAGCCAGAGCAGACAGGATCTTAGAAGCTCCCAGGTGCACATGTCTGCCTTTCCACGTCGCCACGATTTTGTAGGAAAGTGGCTGAGCATGGGATAGGCCCTTAAAGACTGTAAAGTGTGATTCTTGGTCATGTGGACATTAAGCCAAAGTAGAACAACTTTCTGAAAAAAAAAAAATCGTAATGATTTTTGCAGTGCTACTCTGCTAGCCAGAGTGATCCATGGATGTCTGTGGAATAATTAGGATGTACTTCCCCTAGAGAAATGTATGTGCTGGTCTCTTGGCACGAGCAACTCCAGAAAGTTTACCTAGCCAACACCTCAGGACACTAGCCAGAACCCCTCGTTATGTTTCCACTCTTCCAACGAAGGAAGAAAGAAAAAAGGGAAGGAAGGGAGGGAAGGAGGGAAAGAGGGAGGGAGGGTATTGGTTCTTTTCAATAAGAAAGACAAATTATTTCAGATAACAGCAGCTTCCCTTAAATGGTATTTAAGCTTTAACTCTATAGTCCTAAATATCTATTTTAACAGCAGTGATTACTATGTGAGCTCTGCACTGTCAATCTAGAGAAAAGAATCTTGCCACTAAGAAGAATTTCAAGGTGAGAGTTCGCTTTTAATACGCACATATAACACAGACATTCAATTGCACACATGTAGAAAAGAACATGAGAGGAGTGCACAGCTGAGTAGCAAGCATCCACTCCTGCCCCTGGTGTTCAGTGCCAGCCTGATGGTCTCCAGCTAATGTTCTCTGTGCACATGCAACATTTGAGCCCAGCAGGAGCTGAGCACATACCACAGACCACCATGTTCACACGTTTGCTCTTGCTCCTCCCTCCCCTCAGAAGTTCCCACCCTTCTCTCTTCTGGTTGAATTCCTACTCTGACCTCAAGCCTTCTTCTCAGAGCCTTCTGCCTTTTCTATTATTCTTGTCATATTTTTCCTTTATTGTAGTTACATGTATGCTGGACACATCTTCTTCAATGAAATGTAGACTCCTTGCATGGAGAAAGTGTCTCCTTCCTCCTCTTTGAGTCCCTGTGGCCCTAGCACAGGCTGAGTTGAATCGTAACTAAAGTGCTCCAGGTCTCCTCATCATTTCCCCTGCTGTCTTCTATTTTTATCCCGTCACCTGTAGGAACTGTGTCGGAAGAACTAACTGCTAGAGTTTCTCCAAAGTGTCGCGGCCAGTGGCAGTCCAGTAGCTGTCTTGAGTCCATCCTGACTCTTCGCGGCCCATCCCCAAGTCCAGGTCACGGTCATTTCTCACCTAAAAGGTTGCAATTGCTTCTTTATTGCTCTCCCCACTTTCACCGATGCTGACCCAAAGCCACTGGACACTTCTTCTTTTTTGTTTTTTGCTTTTTTGTTTGTTTTGTTTTGTTTTGTTTTTTAGATGGAGTCTTGCTCTGTCACCAGGCTGGAGTGCAGTGGCGCAACCTCAGCTCTCTGTAACCTCTACCTCCCAGGTTCAAGTGATTCTCCTGCCTCAGCCTCCCGAGTAGCTGGGATTACAGGCGTGTGCCACCACACCCGGCTAATTTTTTTGTATTATTAGTAGAGATGGGATTTCACCATGTGGGCCAAGATGGTCTCAATCTCTTGACCTTGGGATCCACCCTCCTCGGCCTCTCAAAGTGCTGGATTACAGGTGTGAGCCACTGTGCCCAGCCTGGACATTTCTTAACTTATATACTAAGCCATGTCCTTCCTTTGACTAACGCCCTTTCTTCCTGGCTCTTACCAAATTTTTAAATTATGCAATTTGTAGATTTGCTTGGTTTTTGTCTGTTTCCTCCACGTGCCTGTAAGCTCTGTGGGGGCAAGAACCGTCTCTGTGTGGCTCACTGAATCCCCGGCCTCTACATGGCACTTGGAGTACATAGATGCTCCCAGACCTTTGTTGAATGAATAGATTAAAAGTGCAGCTGTTCTTATTTTCCTTCCTGTTATAACCCTTGCTCTAGCCCCCTTTTTGCCTTGCTTCTGTTTCTGATTTCTCCTCCTTCATTTTTTTTTTTTTTTTTTTTTTTTTTGAGACAGGCTCTTACTCTCACCCAGCAGGCTGGCGTGCAGTGGTGAGATCACAGCTCACTGTACCCTTGACCTCCTAGGCTCAAATGACCCGCCCACTTCAGCCTCCCAAGTAGCTGGGACTATAGGCACACACTAATTTTTGTATTTTTTGTAGAGATGGGGTCTCACCATGTTGCCCAGGCTGGTCTCGAACTCCTGGGGGCAAGAGATCCACTCATCTTGGCCTCCCAAAGTGCTGGGATTACAGGCATGAGCCATTGGCGCCTGGCCTGGTTTCTGCATTTTACCTGGAACTCATTGGAGAACTGAAACTCAAGAGCCTCAAAATCTACAACTGAGCCTAGGGGAGCCTCAGTCCTTAGTTTTGTCGTGGAATCAGAGAGCACATTCCTGTGCTCCAGGTGCCCCACCCACTGAATAACAGCGGAGGCAATGATGGCACTGACTCACTCTGGAAACTGCAACTGCACCCCGATAAGTTCTCCCTGTAAAACCAGTCACAAGATGACATTCCTCAGACCCCAAAGAAGTGAGTAAGTTTTATGGCCTGTGTCAGGGTAACATGCACTCTGCTAAAAATAACATGGTAAAATTTCCTAAGAAATAAATAATGCACCATTGCTTTGTGTTTCTGGGAAACCTTAAGGATTTGTTGTAGAAAGATATTTTAGTTTTCTTAGCCTGGTGAAAAAGCATGCAAAGGAAAAAGTCATATTGGATAAGAGAAAGAATATTTGGGTATGTGGCCAGGAATGATGCACGTTTTGCCACTTATTTCTTTTACGTTTTAATCTTTTTGGAAACAGAGGCAAGTAACTAGCCAAGTACATTTGAAGGGCATCCATAGTTCCAAATGCCTCTCCCTTTACAATTTATTGATGAAGGACTAAGTAGCTCATCTAATTCATCTTGAGGAGATAGGAAAATGCTTATGGCAACAGCATTTTATCATGGTTGTGAGGCTTCTGAAAACATAATTCCAAACGATAGGAATGGTTTGCAGAGCCATCTGGGAGGAGATGGGCTGATTAGGAATGTCTGGGGCCTTAGAAATAAATTCAGGTGAAGTCGAAGCATGTTTTTCAGATCTGGTAGATTTTTGTGAGACTATTTATGGCTGGGTGTAGTTTAGCAGGCTTCTCGTAGAGCAGTGGAGTCCCTGTGTTCTACAACCTTCCCTCCGGGGCTTTTGTATTCACCCATTCTCACACCATTTCTGGTTGCAATTGTGTGCAATGTTTCCCCAAATTCACTGTGTATCAGAGTCACTGGAGAAACAAAACAAAACAAAAAATTGATCCCCAGAGCTTGCTCTAGACTACTGAATCAGAATTTCCTGGGCCAAGAATCTGTATTTTTACAAAGCTCTCCAGATGATTCTGATAAGCAGCCAGGTTTGACAATCACTGGTGTGGTGGAAAGAATTCTGTTTGCATCTAAGCTCAACCACCAACTACCTAAGCAACTTTAGAGATGGCAACTCTTGGGCTATCAGGAAACAGAGAAAATGATGCCTATGTCACAGGGTTATTGAAGAATTAAAGGAAATTACATATGTGATCTATCCCAATGCAAATTTAGTAGGCTGCGTTAGTTAATACTCTGCTGATGACCTAGAAGCTTAAAAGAGTTTTTTTCTCTAAAAAAGTGTTTAGCTTCCTCTTCTGTGTTTGATTCCTTATGAAACTTGGTTTCCCCTTTCATCAGTCACCAAGGATCAGGCCATATGTAGATGAATCATAATACCATTATGCCATGTGTTCTAAGAGCCTTCCAAGTGCATTGCTGCAAGAAAAGCTCAACATTTAATGTATATTGTTTTTCGATATCTCTTTCCAAATTGCCAGTACAATTTCCATTCCTGGGAAATTACATAGACATGTCTGGATCCAGTTCTTTTATCTTTGCATTTCCAACTGCTCTGTTTTCCTTCTTTCTTCCCATCAAATTCTTATATTTTGACAGTTTTAAGACCAGCTCTTCCTTGATCCTTTCCTTCCTATAATATATTGAATTGAAGTGAGCCCATTTCCCTTAGTGAGCCTTCTCTCCAAACACAAAATACTCTGAAGTTCAGATTCTCCTTCTGTGAGTGGGTTAACATCACACAAAGTTTGTGGTTTCATCCATCATAAACAAGAGTGTTTTACATGAACTCTGTTTCTTGTCTCCCAAGAATCACAGAAAGGTTGGGGCAAAGTGAAATAAATTTTCAGAAAGAAAAGTTACTTATTAAAAATAGCAGTGATAAAAATATGTAGATTGATTTAGTAGGAAGAATTCGTAAATTGTTTTAACTTAAAAGGAAACACTCTTGCAGGCATTCACAATGAATCAGGAGGAAAACACTTTGGCTTCTTCAAAAAGCTATTTACTCTCTTTGGTGTTCACAAAACATATCCAACAAAAGCCTTTTCTCTTATGATGCGAGGGAAGAAGGCAAATTGCATTTGGGAGCATCTGATCATACTTCACTCAGGAATGTTATGGGTTTTGGTTGTGTGCCCAGCTGATCTGAGCATATTAGCAAACATAGTAATAGTATTAGCTGCTGACAGTGTTTGGTATCAAACACATCCATTTGCAAAAATAGAAGAAATACTATATTCACATTTTCAATGCTCCCCTTTACTTAAATACCACAATGTGGTTTGAGTTGTGAATCTATTGAAGACATCTTTGATGAATCAACAGTCAAGGCATATGTAGAAAGTGATTTGGAAAATTTTTCCTGGGTTGTTGGTGGGGGAAGGGAGATAGTGTTGGGACATTTTCCATTCTCGTTCCTGCTTTTTCATTGGCCCCTGCCGCTTCCTAAGTCTATCTGCTGTTAAATGAAGATAACTCCCTCTCTCATACCCCAACGTCTCGTCTCTCAGGGCTTTCTGGAGTACGACAGACTAATTGCAAAGAAATTTGACCTTCTTGGATAACTGGTGCCATCTAAATACCACGCGTTATTCCCCTGTCAGACACTCTAACGTAGGATGAGCCAGGCTGAAATCTTCCAAAAGCTGTGGAGGATAAATAAGCTCACATTCCAACTCAAAAATCAACAATAACAAAAAAGCCAAGCATAGTGAAAAATGATAAAGATCAGCCTCCGCTGTCACCTTTTTCATTCATACCATTGTACTTTTGGGGTCTATGTCATGGGGATGGTTCCTATGTCAATCCTAATGATAAAGCTTGAGTTTGGTTTACGTCTGTGCTGCGATTATTCATCTTCTTTCAAGCACTATTTCTTACTTTATCAACCAGGAAGGCGGGAAAAAATGATCTCTAAAATTCTACGGTTTTTCACTTTTCTCCTTTGGAGCTATTATAAGATAGTAAATTGATGGTAAAACTGAGATCAGGACAGCTGGGCTCTACTTTGAATTTTCATAGAGCTTCAGCTTACCTGGGTTTTGGCTATCCCTATATGGAAAATATAGATCAGTGGTCTTCAGCGTTTTTGGCACCAGGGACTATTTTTGTGGAAGACAATTTTTCCGTGGATGGCAAGGGGCATATGGTTTTGGGATGAAACTGTTCCACCTCAGATTATCAGGCATTAGATTCTCATAAGGAGTGTGCAACCTAGATCCTTCACATGGACAGTTCACAATAGGGTTTGCACTCCTATGAGAATCTAATGCTGCCACTGATCTGACAGGAGGCGGAGCTCAAGCCGTAATGTTCACTCGACCGGGGCTCACTTCCTCCTGAATGGCCCAGTTCCTAACAGACCACAGACCAGTATTGGTTGGTGGCTCAGGGGTTGGGAACCCCTGATGTAGCTGATACCTGACTCCTCAGGAGACAGGCTTTTGGAAGCAAACTGGAACACCAAATAGATGCACTCCCACAGATGTTGAAGTTGGAAGAGAAAGAAAAACATCTATTTTTCTGCTGCTGTTTCTGCTATGAGAGATGGTAGCTGCAGGCAGACTCACCATTCTTGTGTCAAGACAATGACTTTGGGAGTATCACACATCATTGGTAGTGATGTGGTGGTGGCAGTGACACCAACCACTATTTCCTGACCTCTGGATTCCAGCTATGTGCGTGACCTTGAACTGGTTAAACCGAACTGTGGATCCCTGCCTCATGCTCCTCCACTTCTTTAAATAATTTTGTAAGCACATAATTCCTTGCATTAAATCCCTTTCATATGGAAATATCCAGAGTAAAGAGTTTGTTTCTTGCCCTGAAATCTGATGAATTCTGAATTTGACATCTAAATAGAGGTTTAACACAGGTGCCATATTGCAGGGAATTTCACATCACAGGATCTTCACATCAATATGATAAGGTAAGTATTACCTTTCCCATTGGTTACATGAAAGAACTAAGGTTTAGTGAGATGGAATTATTTGCTCAAGGCCACACAACTTGTAAGTCACAGAACCCGTCAAATGCAAATCTAATTACAAAGTTTTTGTATCTAACTACTCTGTTAAACTGTGATGCCATGGGATCAAGTGTGTAATAATAGTGTACAAATAGCTGAATATTTATGGTTGCAAATGTGCTTTAAACTCCATGAAGGAAGAGCCTATATCTTATACCTCTTTAGTAAGACTCCCCAGTCCCAGAATATAGCTCAGTATTTGGCACATAGAATAGATCCTTGATAAGTTACTGCTGAATGAATAAATGAATGGTATCGTGATGAGTCCTAACAAGGAAGGTGACACCTTGTGGGGAAGTCACTATAGTTTCCAAATGGGCTTTATTAAGATGCATCTCACTCCTCAGGTGTTCAGTTGCCACTGCTAAAAGCCATTACAAATATTTTTGTTTCCTGTGTATATAGTTATGGTTTCTGTTCGGAAGAATGGCTTATCAACAAGTTCTACTGGCACATAACATTCATCAAACAATAGAACATTCAGTCTATTAGGATGGGCTGTTAGGTTTTTCTAACTCAGCCCATCTTATAGCAGCTCTTTTCTAAAAGAGACTTTCTTTTGCAACTTATAAGTTAATAAGTTTTTAAACCCAAATTCAAGGACATGGTTCTACAAGAATCTTTGCAAACACCCTGCCTTTACTTGTGGCCTTCAGAAGCCGATGTGTGACACCCATAAATGTCTTACCAACTTTCTCCATGGATTCCTCTGTGCCCATTTGGAATCAAGTTTTCTTTTACTATATAGTTATGATAATTTTCAGCGGCCCTTGCCTTCTCACGGGGCTTTCTGGCCACCAAATCTGCCATATTCTACACATTTTCTTTTAATTGCCAAACACATGTGTATTTTAGCAGGAAATTTGATCCACATGTTTCTGATTCACCTACACTTAAGTCACCAGACAATTTTGGAAGAGCAGCCTGATGGCCAAAAAGGCTTGGTAGAGTCTCCTTTCCCTTTAGAAACAGAAAGTTGAGTATGTGAAGTACAAGCTCCCCGAATCTTGCCAGGACTAGGCTGTTGGTAAAACCCAGGCTTCAGGAGGCTTCAAAGAATACTACTTTCTCAAGATATACTCCTGGCTAGGTGTGCCAATTGACTTTCTAAATTATGTCCCGGAGCACTTTGAAAGTTGATGGCCTGGATACTTCCCTGACCCCTCCTTAGGACTTTCCTCCTACCCTCCAAGTTTGCTTCTCATTGAGTGGCCAATGTTTCCCCAGGTTTCTCTGTTCTAATCCCCAAGGCTGTTGCCACAGCACATGATACCAGTGAAGGGCTGGGATATGCCTTCTGCACTGCCCATGTGGCTTTCCCATGGTCAGAGAGGGAACACTGGTCGATGAAAACCCACAGCAGAACCCAATGCTCTGTCTGCCCACAGATCTGCCTTGATGGTGAGCAGGGCCGTCCCACGCATCTGGTCTGTCTCCCTAATAAATGAATCATGCACAACCGTCATGGTGTGCAGCAAACTGAGATATTTGGCAGGAACTCTGTGCCTTGACACTTCCTGAACTACCGACACTTGAGCAGTGACTCAGAAAAGAAGCGGGTAGTTCTACTGGCTGATTCTATGAAAGACTTGAGGGCCGGGCGCAGTGGCTCACGCCTGTAATCCCAGCACTTTGGGAGGCCGAGGCGGGCAGATCACAAGGTCAGGAGTTCGAGACCATCCTGCCAAACGTGGTGAAACCCCGTCTCTATTAAAAATACAAAAAAAATTAGCCAGGTGTGGTGGTGGGAGCCTGTAGTCCCAGCTACTCAGGAGGCTGAGGCAGGAGAATGGCGTGAACCCAGGAGGCGGAGCTTGCAGTGAGCCGAGATCGTGCCACTGCACTCCAGTCTGGGCGACAGAGCGAGACTCCGTCTAAAAAAAGAAAAGAAAGACTTGAGAACCATGTTCACAACTTCACATCAATCTGTAAATCCCACCAAAGTGAGAGGTAATTCCACCTTTCCCTCTGTACACAGTCTAAGATGATTTACCTTTTATGACGTCTTTAAAACATTCCATCATGCTCATTCATTCAGCAGTTATTATTGCCTTTGTTAGGCCGCGTGCAAGATATCAAGATAAAAAGAAAAATGAGACACAGCCTATGGCTTCAAGGAGCTTATAACCCAGTTGAATGAGGCACATATATAATAAGTAAACAAGTATTAGGTGTGCCAAATTAAGTTCAGCCCAAAGCTGCCTCCTTACATAGTGAAAGCTCGGCCTAAAGTTTTCTCTGTACATAGCAAACTGTAACCTAGCTGGATGTGTAAACAGGCTGTAACCTACTCTTGTGCCAATCACTGAGATTCGGCCAAAGGTGGCCAACTGTTCAAACCATGTTCAGATAAGGCAAACACTGAAATGTAACCAATACGGCTGTTTCTGTCCCTCACTTTTCGTGTACCTCACTTTCCTTTTGCTGTCCATTGGTTGTCTTCAACCACACGGCAGTGCAGAGTCTCTCTGAACCTGTTTTGCAAATTGCTCTTTACTCAAAGTCTGTTCAGTTTAATCTGTCTAAGGTTTCTCTTTTAACAGGTGGTAGTGTGGTACAGGGGAGAGTGTCTACTGTGGAGTCCCAGAGGCCTAAATTCAAGTTCCAACTCTGCCACTTACTAGTTGAGGAGTTTTGGTTAAGTCATGGAATCCGTCTGCCTCAATGGCTTCATCTATAAAATGTAGGGAGGGATGTTTAAATGAACAATGTATACAGAGCTTGTTATGTATATAGAGTAACTCTTATCATTATGCCCCGTTTCAGGGACTGTATGAAAGTATGCGTGGGGTCCCACAGGAACACAAAAAGGGATCATAAGAGAGAAGTAATTAACCATGTCCTCCCCTACCCACTCGCAGCTAGAAGAATGAGTTCCTCTAGCTGACAATCTATTTTATTTATTTATTTATTTTTGAGACGGAGTTTCGCTCTTATTGCCCAGGCTGGAGTGCAATGGCGCCATCACGGCTCACTGCAACTTCCACCTTCCGGGTTCAAGTGATTCTCCTGACTCAGCCTCCCAAGTAGCTGGGATTACAGGCATGCGCCACCAGGCCTGGATAATTTTTTTTTTTTTTTTGTACTTTTAGTAGAGATGGAGTTTCACCATGTTGGTCAGGCTGGTCTTGAACTCCTGAGCACAGGTGATCTGCCCACCTTGGCTGGATCACAAAAGTGCTGGGATTACAGGCGTGAGCCACTGTGCCTGGCCGACAATTTATTTTTAATAAATGTTCCCATTTTCCTGGCTCTCCTGTCCCCCTGGCCAAGGCAGTGGCACTTTAGTGATCACCATGTGATCCTGTGACAGATAGGGGATCTGGAGGGTTTCGTTCTCCAGGCCCTAACCCTGTGGCTGGTATCTGTGAGATTTATATGTGAAGCCTGGTATCTCTCAAAGGTTTCAAAGGAAAGAGGAGGAGAAAAGATGTTTCTGCTATTCCTTTGTGCCTAGCTGAGTAAATAGGAAAGGTCCTCGTCGCAGCCTTGCCAAAGAAATAGAATTCTGTTCCAGGAGTCTTGGGAAGTGTGGAGTCAGGGTCATGCTGCTCCTCATTGTGTGGCAGTGACTGTGGAACTGTGGATCGAGTGGATGACTCAGTTTTCCAAGCTCATATCACCTCCAGGTAGCTGCCCAACCCAGACAGACCCCCAACTCACTGGCAGAAACACTTCCAACTCTGAATTGCTCCCTTCAGGACCTCCAGGTGTGTTCCGGAACACTGCATCTTTGGGTGTAAACACATTTGGAAGAGCCATCCCTAGAAGACTCAGCCTGGTGACCTGGCACGTGACTCACTTTGAAGGCAGTGGGAGGGGAGGATGGCTTTGCACAAACGCTGTAGGAAACACTCAACAATCTATTTTCTCTCTCCCAGTAGCAAGAACGGAGGAAATTCTCTTCTAGAATGACCCCATTGTAAACCCCTCCTCATGCTGTGTGACTGCTCTGAGGCTCCAGCTGGCTGTGTCCACAGTGGGAGTTCAATCAGGATGAATGGCTGTGGTGCTAGCACCATCCTCTTCTTTTGTTCTCCACATGTCTCTGGGGTGACTATAACCACCTTTCTGGTTTCAAAGATCCTCAGCTGGAGCATTGTGGGAAGACTGAGATAGGAGTAATGACCCTCTCCAGCCCACAGGCAAATCCCTCTGTCTGTGCTGCAGATGCCCAGCTGACTCCATTCAGAAAGAAAGGGCCTTTCTGAGTCTGTCTAATGGAGGTTCTCCTTGTCTCCTGCCTCTAAGTTTCCTATTTTTTTTTCCAGGAAAATCCCTTCTCCTTCCAGCCACTCTGACTTCACTATCTAGTTCATCACCACTAGCCCCAGCCAGATTTTCTCTCCCGTGGATCCCTCTGCTACTTCCCTAGCACCTTGGGACAACTCTTCATTCACCTTCCTTTTTGGCTTCCTCACATTGTCCACAGCCTTATGTAGCCTTATTCTACCTTGTCCAACATTGCTATTTCCAGGCCAGTTTTTTGTTGTTTTTTTTTTTTTGAGACGGAGTCTCACTCTTGTCACTTAGGCTGCAGTGCAGTGGTGCCATCTCAGCTCACTGCAACCTCTGCCTCCTGGGTTCAAGCAATTCTCCTTCCTCAGCCTTCGAAGTAGCTGGGATTACAGGCATGCGCCACCACACCCAGCTAATTTTGTATTTTTAGCAGAGACAGGGTTTCTCCATGTTGGTCAGGCTGGTCTCGAACTCTCGACCTCAGGTGATCCGCCTGCCTTGGCCTCCCAAAGTGCTGGGATTACAGGCATGAGGCACCACACCTGGACTCCAGGCCAGTTCTTACCATGATCTACTCTTACTTTTTAACCATTAACTGTGGTTCTATTGTTGAATTTTTCAAATACATACAAACATAGAAATAAGAAGTGCAAGCCAGATGCGAGGGCTCATGCCTGTAATCCCAGCACTTTGGGAGGCCGGGGTGGGCGGATCACTTGAGGTCAGGAGTTTTGAGAGCAGCCTGGCCAACATGATGACACCAAGTCGCTACTAAAAATACGAAAATTAGAGGGTGTGGTGGTGGATACCTGTAATCCCAGCTATTCCGGAGGCTGAGGCAGGAGAATCGCTTGAACCCAGGAGGTGGAGGTTGCGGTGAGCTGAGATCACACCAGTGCACTCCAGCCTGGGTGATACATCAAGACTCTGTCTCAAAAACAAAAAAAAAAGCAACAAAAAAAAAGATATAAGAAGTACAATGAACTCCCAAGTACCCTTGACCCAGCTTCAACAGTTATCAGTGTATGGCCAGTCTTGATTATCTATATCCCCATTCCCTCCTGGCCCTCCACCTCATCACTACCACTGGATTATTTTAAAGAAATCCAAGACATCATATCATCTGTAAATAATTCAATATTTATCCCTAAGATATAAGGGCTCTTTTAAAAAAATAGCCATAATATAATACTGTGTAACACTTGAATCATACCAAAATATTCAGTTACTACTCAAACTTCCCTGACTGTCTGATCAATGCTTTTCTTTGAGTCAGGATGCAAATAAGACCCACACACATTATATTTGGCTCGTATGTCTCTTAAGCCTTTTAAAATCTATGATAGTACCCCACCATTTTTCCCTCCTATCATTTATTTGTTGGAAAAATCTAGGCTACTTATCCTGTAGAGACTCTTCATGCTGGATTTTGCTGATGATTCCCAATGGTGTGTTGAACGTATCTCAGTGTGTTGAATGCATCTCAGTTCTACCATCTGTAAAATGGGGATAATACCAGACCCATTAAGTTCACAGCATTATTGTTTGGATCATATACTATCATATATGTAGATCAGGTTGTTCTATTAAACAAAGAAATTGTTCTTTATAATGCTTTAAAAAGAAAACTCCATATGCCAATGCTTGCATTCATGTTTATTAAGACGCAGCCAAGTGAAATGTGTCAGCTCCTCCTCTTGAGTACAGCCTTCTTTACTGGTGTATAACAATGCCCAAGGGCTGGATGAACTACATAATCAAAATCAAATGACAGCTTTCTACAGACTTGGCCAAAATAGTACAACCTCAGACACCATTTTAAACTGCAAGAAATCTGAGCCTTTCATAGTCTTGCTTTTTATTGTTGACATTCACATTTTAATTTTTATGATCATTGCAGATTCACATTTTAAAAACCCAAGAAACAAAAAAGCTCTTATTCTAATTTAGCAAAAAGCAGAATCATCGGTGTGAAGACAATACACTATCTACATACAGCTGCTTTGTATCCATAATTATCTATGTAAGAAACATGCTGTCATTCACAGGGACTCCATTTACACGTGCACATAAGCCATGCTGAGGCCTAACAGGTAATGTGGGTTTTCGTCTAGCATCTTCTCTTTACTCTGGATCCTTATCCTCATCTGAAAAATGGGGGACAGACTTCTTTGCAACAACATTATCCAGTCTCTGTCCTTGTAGATATGGATTGACACTCTGAAAAACAAACAAACAAAAACCATGTGGTTTGGTGTTATATGTGAACATCAGATACAGACATCTCAGAAAAGAAATGAACAAGAATCGTTTCTGGGGCCGGGCGCGGTGGCTCACGTCTGTAATCCCAGCACTTTGGGAGGCCGAGGTGGGCAGATCACGAGGTCAGGAGATCGAGACCATCCTGGCTAACACGGTGAAACCCCGTCTGTACTAAAAATACAAAAAATTAGCCGGGCGTGGTGGTGGGTGCCTGTAGTCCCAGCTACTTGGGAGGCTGAGGCAGGAGAATGGCGTGAACCCGGGAGGCGGAGCTTGCAGTGAGCAGACGTCATGCCACTGCACTCCAGCCTGGGCGACAGAGCAAGATTTTGTCTCAAAAAAAAAAGAAAAAAGAAAAGAAAAGAATTGTTTCTGGCCTATTAGGTTAACAACAATGTAACCAGTGGCACCTACCAACTACCAAACAATTACTCCAGTGTACTAATTAATACCTCAGTGGCCTATGAAACATTTTCTGACTGATAGATGTCTCTAATTGTGTTTTTCACACAACTATAGAGCTCTTTATCAGATGCAATGTGGTCTTTTTAAAAATTATTATTTTTGGTGCAAAGATGTGCAGTAAACCAGCTCATAAGTCCTTGCTACTAATTTAGATACCAAGACCCATAAGAAAGATAATTATTATTCTATGGCCCTATTTAGGTAGGAAGGGGAATCTGAAATGCATTAAATTATATTTTGCAAGAAAAACGTTCTAAAGGAGAAGAGTAGGGCCAAGTGGGAATTAACATCTGAAGACTGGTCCCAGATCATCCTGTTGCTGGGATTGATTCTTCCTCGCCAGTATTTTACTAAGGAGAATTCATTAGGGGCTCGAGTGATCATTTCCACCTTCCTTCAGTCAAATTCAAAAACTGAAGCAAAAAAGGAAGCTTCCGGGAAGGGTCCTTTGTTTTTGACTCAAGACTCCATACTCTGAAATCACTTTCATGTGTTGGTATTCTTAATGAGTAAATATTTTTCCATTCCTTCTCTAATACATATCTATTTATTGAGGTGTGGATTCGAACTAGTAATTGAAACTTTACAAAATAGTATTTAGCAAGCAGAAGAAAAATTCAAAAGTTTTGGAAGATGTTTGTTCATTGAAGTTGCCTTCCAATAATGGAACAAAAATATAAGAAAGAAGCTGTAGCCAGGCGCGGTGGCTCACGCCTGTAATCCCAGCACTTTGGGAGGCCTAGGTGGGCGGATCACAAGGTCAGGAGATCGAGACCATCCTGGCTAACACGGTGAAACCCCGTCTCTACTAAAAATACAAAAAATTAGCCAGTCGTGGTGGTGGGCCCCTGTAGTCCCAGCTACTTGGGAGGTTGAGGCAGGAGAATGGCAGGAACCTGGGAGGCGGAGCTTGCAGTGAGCCGAGATTGCGCCACTGCAGTCCAGCCTGGGCGACAGAGCGAGACTCCATCTCAAAAAAGAAAAAAAAAAAAAAGAAAGAAAGAAGCTGTAGTTACAAACGATCAGCAATCCCTGTTGCATGCTCAATCCCCATGTATGAATGGAGTCTGTTCACAGGTGGAGCTCTCTTGCCCATGAAATAACCTGCCATGACTCTTGAAAGGTGAGCAGACATTCTTCAAAAGAGAAGGAATGAAACCTGAGTTTAGCATTTACAAATGTTCTTTCACATTCTGACTGCTAAACGCATGAATCGTGAAAGGTCCGACTCACTCTACAAAGATGCATCACAAAGTAGGTGAGAATTACAAAGTGAGCAATGTCCTCAGACATTTGAAAAGTGACATGCCACAAGACAACACCTTGCTGAGAATTCATCTTAGAAATATTTAAAATAATAAAAATTCCTTTTATCAATTACAGTGGTTTGGCCTACCCCAGGGGATCATATCAGAATTTTGTTTAGTAATATTTATTCCAAAAATTCTAATATGTTAAAGGAGGATATGAGAGGTTCAAGTTTATCAAATATGAGATTAAAAGGTTCATAAACTGTTTAAATAAGATCAATAGTAGAGCTCAAATATTAACAAGATACAGCTTAAGAGTTTAAAAGTTCACAGTCATTTAAAGGTAGATTGACATTTCATTTGTGAAGCAATGAGGAATTCAATTGGATTTGGGTGAGTACAAAAAGTTGTTCAAAGCCATATGGGGCTTGGTTGCAACTTTGAGGAGAATCTATCTCTCATGGGAGAAGTCCTGCCCAGACCTACAACATGCAAAGGTTGGAGGGGAGGGGAAAAATTAATGAGGAGGTAAAAAGAGGAATCAGGTGAACTTTTTTGATAAATATTTAACTGAGTATTGAATCCGGCACTTAGGAATAATAATAATGAGCTTTGGGTTTGTTTTTGTTTTGTTTTGCTTTGTTTTGAGATGGAGTCTCACTCCATTACCCAGGCTGGAGTGCAGTGGTATGATCTCGGCTCACTGCAAACTCCACCTCCCAGGTTCAAACGATTCTCCTGCCTCAGCCTCCCGAGTACCTGAGATAACAGGAGCATACCACCACGCCCGGCTAATTTTTGTACTTTTAGTAGAGATGGGGTTTCACCATGTTGGCCAGGCTGGTCTTGAACTACTGACCTCAGGTGATCCACCCTCCTCGGCCTCCCAAAGTGCTGGGATTACAGGCGTGAGCCACCATGCCTAGCTGAGCCTTGGCTTTAATTGTGCTCTGAAAAACTCAAGGCACTTCTATATTTGTCTTCTCTCACTTGGGCAAGAGACTGGGTAGGGCACACAGAGAACATGATTCCCATTTCACAACTGGAAGAACCACTGGGATTGGATCTTTGCTTACAATGTCCTCTGGAAACTCACAGCAGATGCTGAGCTTCACTGAAGGAAGACTTCATTGTTCAAAAAAGAAAGCGTATAGTTTCTTTATATTGATTCATGTACTGGGGGTGGTGGTGGGGCAGTGTTAATGTCTTTAATCAAGATGGGAACATCATCTGAGACCTCATGATGGGCAGGGCCAACGTGCTTCCTTATCAATCCAGAGAGGCCCATGGTTTATGGCATGAGAATGGGTCTTTGTAGATGCCCAAGAACAGGAAGAACTTGATATCTCTGGGTCAAAGTGACCCTTCTTTTCCTAAATTCTAAGCCTTTCCTATGTGGAGGAAATTGAGGCTAAAGTAAAATCCTTTATAGCATGTGTCTTAGCCAGCATTCTGAGTTTTGGTAATCACTAGTCTCACGGAAAAATGACCTAAATCGTGACCATGGTCATTCACTGAGTCAGGGCAGAAGGAATGGTGGGCCAGGAAGTAGAGACAATTAAAGTTTCAAGCTAAGTTATTGATTTTGGGTCAGTCATTGCTCTTATTTGGAAATGTTCTTGTTGTGTTGTAGGGAGATATTCAAGCCGTGTTACTGGTAAATTATGTGTATTTTGAGTTCCTAGAATAGAATTTCTTGATGTTCCCTCAAGACCACATTATACCCTTTGGACCCTTTCTGTCACCATCTGCTATTGGAAGCTGTAATCACCAAGAAAAACCCCTAATAACTCTGTTAACTCTCCTCAAAAAAGATTTGTTTCCAGAGGTAAAAATTTTCTACTTCTCGCGTAGAAAATTGCTGTATGTCTTCTGTGTTTTGTCAGGCAGTACAGGGGCTTGGAACCTTCTGTTGTGGGGGCCTGAGGACTGATGCTGAGGCCAGAAAATCCACACCTCTTGAAGCTCTCTCTGACCGGATTTGGCAAAACCCTTCAGAATGGCCACAATTACCACTGCCCAGATTCCCAAATTTTGTGAGGATCCAGGCACTTGCTCTTCTGAATAAATAGTCAGTGGCTTTGAGTACGTGCTTAGGTTTGTATGTTTTAACTAAAATGGTCACTATCTCATAGCATTTTACCATGTAACAGTGGGGTTGTTTTTTCTCCCACTTTCATCTGATCAGATAAAGAAGGAGGTAGGTGGCCAGGCCCTTCTGACTAGTAAGGTACCAGTGGATTAGCAGAATGGACCTTGATCACTTATCAAGTCTTGATGCTATAAAATACCCTGGAAAGCCAAAGCAAATGTGACATTGAGTTTTACGTGAGGCAACACTGTATATGAAGTAGCTAAATGTGGAGTATCTAGACCAAGTTCCTACCTTGGGCAGCCCTGGGATGGTTAAAAACTAAGCCTGCAGTAAATTCAACAGACAGCAAACAAATATTACAGATCTAGTAGATTTTACATCAGTCTGGCTAGGCCAAGAAAAAAAGATACATAGGAGAAATTAAGTTTGTTCATCTCATCTTTTGCTCCCGAATTCCTTCAAAGTTATTTCCTGGAGCATGCAGTTCAGCACTTCCCTGTTTCTGTCCTGTGTTTTTATAGAATTGATGCAGATGTGTGATCAGTTTTTCCCCACTGGCCTACAGACCCTGGGAGGGCAGACAGACCCTCATGTCCCCCCAGATATGTCCCACACTGATGGGGGAAGCAATACACATTTCCTGAACGGAATGGAGTTGCTAGAATCGCTACAGACTGCGCGTTCCACTAAAAATCATCTGCTAAAGCCTGGGGAAGCCATCGCAGAAACCAAGGACAGACTTTCTGGGTGTGGCCCTTGTCACATGGACCAGTGTTTCTCAGGACTACACAAGGGAGGATTCTGTGACTTCCCAACAAGCGAGGGTTTCAGCCTGTTCACTGCCCCACTCAGAAAGCTCCAAGCATCCCCGCAACAATCCAGCCAGGCACGTGTTACCCTCCGCTTTCGTCTCTCTCCTCCCTTCATCTTCTCGTAAAGGAGTTTCTTGTTCTAGAATGGGGAGAAAAGAAAACAAAAAATGCAGAAGTATGGATCAAATTTGGTGAATGTCTATTTTAAAAGCAATACTTGGTGTGTCCCCTAGATATTTGCATACGCATATTTTGGAAACAAAACTAGATGAAAGGAATGTCGTGTCAGAAAGATAGACCACAAGAGTAAAGCTGGTGGTGGTTCGGCTTTTAATAAAGTCCTCTGCAATGCCCTGAGGCACACCAGTGTCATCAACAATCACATAAACAGGGAAATACGACATTTTAAAACATGAAGGGTGCTGGAAACCCATCTCCTCACTTTGAACAGCCTTTGTTTAAAACAAATGATTTTATCTCATTTATTTTTGTATCTAACTCCCTTTTTATAAACTGCTCTCTAGAGTAGCGTCTGACTATTAACAACAATCCCCTGTGTAAATAAACGAGACATTCTGACTTCTGCAACCATTTTGTCTGTGGCGTTAAGTCAGTGCCCCCAGTCAAGACAATTGGAAAACCATTTGGTCTATAACATTTTTAATAGAGTGAACCTTTTAAAAACTGCCAAAAAACTTCTTGGCAGAAAGGAAAGTTATGTTGGGTCGGGGGGCAGGGCTCTGTTACCACAGTTTGTGTAAGTGTTTCCACACATTGCTGTATTTCAAACACATAGTGGGCTTCAATGAGCTCTAGAATATCAGACACATGCTCAACAGATTTCCCTTCTATTGAGATTATAAAAGACAGAACACTTAACCTGAAGGCAGAAAGGGAGAAGGGGATTTGGTGGCGGTGGGGGGGGGGCTTTACTTGTGTTGTTTTATTTATTTGATTTTTTTTATCTGGAGGAAAATGATGTATAAAAGAGGTGATTCGTTTTGTTCTAAATAAAATACTCTGACATTAAGAAAAAAAAAAAACAAAGACAACCACAGAGTTCTGGTAAGGAACAAGTTTATACAACATGTATCCTCTGAGCTGTCCACTTATAAAGACTTATTTTTAGTGATAGATTTGGAATTGAAAATGACAAATGCCAAGAATGAGCTTCATCATTTTTCACGTTCATTAAAATCTACCCCACCTGCAATTTACAATGCATATCTCTTGCCCAACCTCAACTATGCAAGGAGGCGGTGCCAGAGTGAAGGAGCCTCTACTACCAAAAACACCAGTACTGGCTACAGCCTCTATCTCCTGCTCACTTGGGGAATAAATCAATTTAATATCGGAAGGGAGAAAAGGCAGACTTGCAGATCATTTCCTTGAGGAATGAGGATATTGCTGTGAGGCTCATTCTCTACAGTCTGTGGTTGCCTTTCTGTGAACGTAAAAACTCCTGAGGCAGAGAATATCCGAAGAGCTGGTGTTAGAGCTGGGAAGGCCGGGAAGGGGTGAGGACATGTCTTCTTCATGTGTACCATTGTTTTCAGCTGCCTGAGCTGGATGGAGTGTGGAAGAACCTGAGAGCTACTACCATGGGGTGGGACTGTCAGCCAGCTCTGGCAGAGTTCCACTGTGCCATCAGCCAGGTAAAGCCAGCATCATTTAATTCTTTAGGAGATCTTGGGGGCAGATCCTACCCATAAGAGTCTTCATTCAAAAAGAAATGTGCCCCAGCACTTTGGGAGGCCGAGGTGGGAGGATCACGAGGTCAGGAGATCGAGACCATCCCGGCTAACACGGTGAAACCCCGTCTCTACTAAAACTACAAAAAATTAGCCGGGCGTGGTGGCGGGCGCCTGTAGTCCCAGCTACTCAGGAGGCTGAGGCAGGAGAATGGCATGAACCCAGGAGGCAGAGCTTGCAGTGAGCTGAGATTGCGCCACTGCACTCCAGCCTGGGGGACAGAGCGAGACTCCGTCTCAAAAAAAAAAAAAAAAAAGAAATGCAAAAGGCCTGGCTAATCTTCCTCTCAAAGATGGTCCCTGTGTCTCCTTAAGAGCTAGGGTTAGGATTAGCAGGATAATGCTTCCCTACCCCTGCATGAAAGTGTCTGGGACATTCTTAATTAGCCCTATTATTGTATGGACTTGAAGGCATTGGCAGGTATGGTATGGGTAAGAGAAGCATACAAATTGAATGAAAAGAAATCAGCTATCTCTCCTCACGCCCATTCCTTGTTGATTCCTTGGGGAGTGGTGAGCCTGTTTTCCATGTGAGTAGCAGGTTCAAGTTCATTAAAAGGGCTTTCCATAGTGCCATCAAGATTTTGGACAACTGTCCAGATCCTGGTTTCAAATTACACTCCTAAATACAGCCAGGGAGCTTCCTGGAGAAAAGTCTAATTCCAGGGCTAGGAAGGAAAGTGCAAGGATGGGTGAAGATGGAATAGCTAATTAGGTCAGAAAATAAAGAAGTGCTCAAAAAAATGATGAGGTCCTGTCAAAAGGAAAGAAAAGAAAGCTTGAGGAGACTCGCACTGGCCAAATTTAGGACAGTTTGAACACCAGAATACATAATAATATGCATTATGGAATCCATGAATCCATACTTATACTATATAAATAAACACATTTATAAATAAATAAATAAATAGAACAGCAGGGGAAACTCTTGCTTAGAATAGAATGTCAACTAGTAAATGCAGAAAGAATAGCGGAGTAAGAAAATCATCATTTTGCAGCTATCATCATTATTGAATCTGGTAAGCATCATCAATGGATGTTATATTTGTTGGTTAAAAGTTGAACGAGGAGCAGAATATTTACACAGCCCCAAAACTTCTTCCCACAGAGTAACTATTAATTTCTTTTTTTTTTTCTTTTTTTTTTTGAGACGGAGTCTTGCTCTTTTGCCCAGGCCGGACTGCAGTGGCACTATCTCGGCTCGCTGCAAGCTCCGCCTCCCGGGTTCACGCCATTCTCCTGCCTCAGCCTCCCAAGTAGCTGGGACTACAGGCACCCGCCACCGCGCCCGGCTAATTTTTTTGTATTTTTAGTAGAGACGGGGTTTCACTGTGTTAGCCAGGATGGTCTCGATCTCCTGACCTCATGATCCGCCTGCCTCGGCCTCCCAAAGTGCTGGGATTACAGGTGTGAGCCACTGTGCCCGGCCTATTAATTTCTAAGGGAATTTTACACCAGAGAAACCTGGAGGGCAGCACCTTAACAAAGTGAACACTGCCAGTCATGAGACAAACTTCCCTGACATCATGTGCTTGCTGATGTAAAATACTAAGTAGGACATAAAATACTAAGCAGGTCTAATCACATGGAAACCTGAGTCAAATCCACATTGAAGAGCATTCAACTCATCAAACATGTTAAGGTCAGGAATGACAAAGCAAGTCAGGGAGGGGTCTGGTCCCTCATATCCCCGTGGCTCAGGCTCTGGCTGTGATCAGCTACTGATGAAAAGGTGTGAAAGCATTTGGAAAGGAAAAATATTTGCTTTTTGAGACAACTTTTTCTTAAGTAAATAACACTCAGCAGTTAATGTGTAAAGGGGGAGTGGGTAGCTGGCATGTACAGGAGCCAGCCATTGGTGTGGTCACCACTGGTGTAGTCACACACATTGTCTGGAAGGCAGCCAGCCCTCGGTAGGACTCAATAGGACTACCACACAGGACAGGTTAGGAGCAATGAGCCATGAAAAGATAGGGAATGTATTCAGCTTGTAAAGTACTCTGGAGTCAGATGATGGGGTTCAAATCCCAGCTCTGTGGGCTGAGCAGGCTCCTCAGCTCCCCAAGCCTGCATTTTCTCATCTGGAAAGTGAGAATGACAAGGATGGGCAGATTGAATAAGATTACTGAGTATTTAGAAAGGAGTCTGGCATATAGTATGTGGTCAATAAATATTACTATTTACTATTGTATTATATAGTATTATGTATTATGTAATACAATTACTATTATCATTCATCTTTGTATTCCCATTACCTAACACGGGGCCCGGAAGGCATATGATGTGTCGTTAATAAATGTGTCTTGATGCACTAACGAAGAGAGAAATGCAGGAAACAAGACAGACACTGAAATGTGTAATATGTGAATCACTGTTAAAGATGCAGCTCAGCTCCAGCTACTGTCAAAAACAAGGAAGCGTTATTAGCAGATAAGGAAGCAGGGTCTTTGTGCTGTTCTATCATGAAAGATGATGACTCTGTTAACTTAAAGGATGGCTGGGCTGAAGACAAGCTTGAGACTGTCATTCCATATAAGCACTGAGGAAGGTTTGTGGTTCCCAGTTTAGAAAAGCAAGACATACTCAATTCCCACTTCCATGTGAAAACCAAGGAAACAATGTTTTACTGGTAGGTAGTAATGAGAAAATAAACAAGGAGACCTAAGTTTAAGTAAACACATAATTGCAGATGATAAAAGGTATCTAAACATTGTTCCTGGTCATTGATCTCTAATATTTTCCTTTTACATTTGATCCTAGATTCTAGTCTTTAGCTCTAATGTGGACAAAGAATAGGAAACACTGAGAGAAACTCAAGTCAGTGTTTCGAGAAGGAAGCACAGAGAATGAAGGACCGTGGTTGGCCTCATACTGGGGCACTGGAAGTGAGTGGAATTTGATGAGAGAAATCTGTGAAGATTTTCAAGAAGAGATGAAGAGAGCTGAAAAGAGATGTTTTCATCCCTCCCACCTCATCATGCCACCAACTGGGCTCCTTGCCTTCACTCACACCTTGACTCAGTCTCCCTCCTTTCTTTCTCTCATTCCTAGCCTACTGGTGAAGCTGAAGACTTTCCCACCTGAAACTTCAGTGCTGCCCTCCTTAGTGCCTTTGACTTCCTCTGTGGCTACTACCCCAATCAGCCACACCAGTCCTCAGTTCTGGATCTTCCTCTACCCTTGTCTTCCATCTTCCCTAATAATTGCCCCTGGCCCTCAGAATACAGACGAAACATGAAGTGGAGCGGTGCTAAGTTGGGTTCATTTCATTTTCATGCAATTCATCTCAACCGTGGGACTATAAGCTCTCTGAAGACCAGCACCATGTCCTGATGACTCCTGCATACTGAGCATCTAGCACAGTGCCTGGAACACAGCAGGCTCAATGTGTTCTCTTTGTGCCTTATCGAACCTGGCTTTTGCTTCTGTTTGGCAATGCTTCGATCACCTCTTGTGGATCTCTTCCCAGTACTCCTCCGCAATCTACTCTTTCCCTCACTCTCTCTTCTCTTTTTTATGTCCTTCCTCCCTCTATTCTTCTCTTTTCTTTCTTTCTAAAATGCATTCAAAGAAAAAGTTCATATTGTCCATTTCATATGAACCTGACATATCTCTTCTTTCTTCTTCATGTTATATTTATTCCGTATACCAATTCTAGTTAGTTTTTCCCCCTTTAAAATGTCTTGGATTCTCACCCTTCTTCACGGTGTTCACAGTCATCATAACTGAAATGACTCCCCATATTTTCTTCCTGTCTAGGGTTAGTCTCTTCTCCTTTTACTTCATCCTTTAATATGCCATCAAAATAACTTCTTTTATAGAAGGCTTTTATTATTTCAGTCTCCTATTCGAGAACCTATAGATGTTTTTCTATTTAATTCAACATGTTTAAGCTCTACTACTAGGCTTGAAAGTGGCTCCACAAACCAATTCTTCCAAACAGAACTGTTTATGAAAAAGAAGGAAATGGAATAATGCAAATTGGAAGAAGCAAAATTAACTTAGGAATGTTGTTGCTTTGTTGTTTTAAGACAGGAAATGTGTGTACGTTGAAGACAGAGGGAACTGACAATGCATGTTAAAGCAAGACGCTGAAAAAAATAAAAGTGGTCATTAATGAAGATTTCTCTAAAACAATGTAGGAGGAAAGGAGGGAGTTTAGTTTTGAAATTTCAGTGTTCCCAGTAAAGCAGTAAGCAAGGCCATCTGCCAATAATGAGCTAAGAAGAGATGAGGACTTTAGAAGGGCTGAGGGAGTTGGAATATTTGCTCATTCACTCACTCATTCATTCCACAGACGTACTGGCCACCTACTGTTACATGTGAAGGAACACTCCTAGGTATTTCCCCACTTTTCTCCCATGGCTTCAGCATCTGGCCCAACCACAGAAACACAGACATATCCCCACTCAGTTCTGATCTTGTTTGGCTCATTGTTCTAGTCTGCTGGGATCTTCTTGAATCCCAACTCTGTCATCTGATGGTATCTCTTCCAACTTCATGTCATCCTCTGGGAATCTGATAAGTACAAGTTCTATATTATTACAAACATTGATAAAAATGTGGAGTGGGGTAGTGCTAAGACACACAGAATACCATGTGAAATCTCCCTCCCTATTTACATGGACTCTTTAACAAGCCCCATTTTGGTGACATTCTGTTGCCTAGGCTGTATCTTTCCACCTCTTCCAATAGGGGAACATAAAACGATCTTGTCAAATGCTTTGCAAAAGTCCAAATGCACCATGCCCACTGCATTTCCCTCATCAAGCTGGCAAATAAATGAATAATGCTGGCAAATGGAAGAATATAATTAGATTGGCAAGACTTGTTTTTAGCACACTGATGCCAAATGGTCATGATTTATCTTTCCAAGTGCTTATAAACAACTCCCTTAACTGACAGCTATATGCACTTACCTAGGACTGACAGCAATCTCACTGCTACACATCACGGAATATTTTTTCTCTTTCTATAAAGCAGAATTATATATATCTGTTTCTAAGCTCTGGCATCTTTATTCCCTTGATTCTGCAGAGATCATCTCCCTTAGTTTAGAGATCACATTTGCAAATTTTCTGTGTCAATTAAAAAAAATCATATCCTTTGATAAAACCCTATAGAGATGCATGAAACACTGGTGAAATTTAGGATGTGTATGACACAGGCTGTGAAGCAGACCAGAGTAGAAGACTCTGGAGACTACGGTCAATGTTAGGTTGCTGTCTCTTTAGTTGGATTTGGTATAGTGCTGCCTGGACACATAAGTGTGGTTTTGAGTAGTCATGACTTGAAGCTCTGTCAACCAGAGATTTCTGAAAAATTAGCTTCTAAATAATTTTTCTTCTCTCCTTCTGCCCATATTGCTCATCCCTGCCATCAGCACCTTCAGAGTACCAAAGTGCAAAATCTACTAACAATTGAGATAGGACTTACCCACTTGCCCAAGCCTGGATAGTCATGTTCCGGATCAAAGAGATGCTGGTGCAACTGGAACTCTCGACTGAACTCTGCAGTGTCAGGGGTGTTTTCTAGACATCCATCATCTGCTGCAAACAGCCAAAGGTTTTTGAGGAACGGCCAAGACATTCATCATTATTCTAAGAGTTAATTTATCAAAAACAACTAGGCAGCCAAAGGTCAGAATCTGTTCACATCAGTAGTAACTTAGAACACTAGCAGCCACCTTCCCTCTAGGATCCAGTTAGATAGGATTACTCATCTCAAACTCCCACTCCTGTGCAGAGACTCACTGGCTGTTCACCAAACCCACTTCCCTTTCCTCCTTAGCACCCAGCTAGACTAATTTCCCAGCCTTGCTTTGCAATCACGTGGAGTCATTTGCCTGAGTGGAGGCCAACAGAATGTGGGCACAAGTAATGTATTCCATTCCCAGGCCTGGAATTGAAATACATCACCTAAAAGCATAAAAACCTCTCATACCATGCTCCACTTCTCCTCATTCCCCACCCCCATCTCCTGGTCAGCTTGTTACATGTTGCCAGGGCAACTGTGGGGGTCAAGTGTAAAGATGGCAGTCTGGGGTGCCGAACCATCCACCGCACTACAGCCTCACGCGCCTCTGGCAGGACTTCACACGGGTGAAAAATAAACTTCTATTGCGTTGAGCCATACAATGTTTTTATTTGTTACAAGAGCAAGTGTTTCCTTAGGTAACATACTTCTGTTGCACATGACCCACTCTGTTTTCTCCTGAGCAAGCAGTTTAGAAACTACTTTGGCTTCTTGGAGAAAGTACATTACACAACAACAACAATCTCCACACAGCACTTGATGTTGTGTTTTATTGTGATAACAGCTTAAGCTTTGGAGTCAGACAAGAGCAGAGCTCAAGGATCAAATCCCAGCTCCTAAGATATAGATAGGCTTAGTTCCTTTGGAAAGTTAACTTGGTCTCTCCAAGTTTGTTCATGTATGTGTGAGATGCAAATAATCAAATACTTACCTACGGGATTGCTGTGAGGAATAGAGATGATTACATTTAGAACACCCGGCACATAATAGGTTTGCAATATGTTTTAGTTCCCTTCCCATTATCTCCCTTTGACTGACAGTTTATACTATGACTTCCCTTTGAAATCAAGCAAGTTTTCCATTCAAACCAAAGAAAGAAGGCTATCTCTCTCAGATGCTGCTTTTATGTAAATTCTATTATTACTAGGCATGATGCTCTAAAAATGAGTCATTTTTCCCATGTCTAATATATTTTAGACAACAGCAATAAAAAGGGGGACAGAGGAGGGATTGTGAATTTTGTGCAGGGTTAGGGGGAGGAAGGAGGGTCTCATTTGAAAGACATAATGAGACATCAAAGTCAATGCTGAAAGGGGGGCCATTTACAATTAGCCAGGTTGTCTAGTTCTTGACACTGCTCTTAAGCTTTCAGTACACAGTCTCTCAGCTCTTAGCAGTATACAGCTAGTGTGGAAGTCATCAGCATTCTGAACAAATCCCTAATGCGGCTCTCCACTTTTCAGTGAGCTATTTATCTAACTTACACAATATATAGCAATTAACATGTAGGAAAATATACCAATTCAAGAGAGTTCAGGCAATCTGCATATGGCACCTTTATAACCTTTCATAATTGTTTCTGGTGTACCTCTGAGTGGGCCCTGACTGAGATGCAGATAAAGCCTGCTCTGGGAACCGAAGGTGTCTCCGGGCTTAAAAATGTGCCCTAGAATTCACATCCTATCTCTGAGGCTGAGATGGACTCTTTGAGCTCTGCTGCTCTATCCAGGGTGAGTGGGCCATGATTCAGAGGACAGCATGGCATGAAAGGAGAAATCAAGGTTTTATTCTTGGATTGCTCAACTGTGCTGTGTTGTGTCATAATTCAAGCAATTCCTCACAAATAATGGCTAAATTTAGCAAGCGATTTCATTCTTGGAATGCAGATTGTGGCAGAACAAAGAATGAGGGAATATGTTAGTTTCATGGAAGAACAGCAAAGGAAATGGCAGACAACCTGTGACAAGAAAGTGTCTGGATTTGGGATTTTGTCCAATTCTACCAGGCCAGCTTGATTGCTGTCCTCTCAGAGCTCCTAAGTGCACAGACTAGAGCTTGATTCCACAGGTCTGTATGATTTTGTGTTTTTATTGTTTTTGTTTTCAGACAAGCTAGAACTACACTGTATGCTCTTTGGAGGCATTGCCTATGTCTTCCTTCCATAGGTGAAGACATTAAGGCTCAAGAAAGTGAAAGTGGCATACTACAGTCAACACTAGAGGTCAGATCTCTTGGCTCAAACTCTGGACCTCTTTCCATTCTCCTATAATATTCTCTAAGTTCAGTGTGCACTAGAACCATGAGGAGGACTGGTTGCAACAAATTCCTGGGTCCCACCCCCAGAATCTTCTGATTCAATAGGTTGAATCAGGGTAGGGACTGAGAAGTTGCATTTTTAGCAAGTTTTCAGGTGCTGCTGCTGCTGGTGGTCCTGGAATCACACTTTAAGAACCACTGCACTGTACCACATCCAATGGACTTAACAATGGAGACTGTCGCTCTCTAAACTCTGAACTAGTCTTTCTTCCTACCCATCCAAAACCCTACAAACAAGTAGAAGGTGGCTGAAATGATTAGAGCCAGGCAGGGATTCAGGTTTTCCTGCCTTCCTGGCCCAGCAGCCACACATTGGCTTGGTCACATCCAACTACTTTGGTTGTTCTGCCTCAAGATGGAAGCTTTGTGCCCCACGGAAAACAGAGGCCTCATCCTAAATGAAAGGAGGAGCATATTTTCTAAGACAGTCTCTTTCAGAGACAGCCTGCATTGTGTTTAAGAAAAGCTGATGTCAGACTAGTTATGGGTATCATAAGAAAAAAAAGTCTCGGTGTGGTAGCTCACACCCATAATCCCAGCACCTTGGAAGGCCAAGGTGGGAGGATCGTTTGAGCTCTGAAGTTTGAGTTTAGCCTGGGCAACATAATGAGACCCCACCTCTACAAAAAATTTAAAAATTAGCTGGGCATGGTGGCACACACCTGTTGTCCCAGCTACTTGGAAGGCTGAGGCACAGAATTACTATAATTGTGCCACTACACTCCCACCTGGGCAACAAAGTAAGACCCTATCTCAAAAAAAAAAAAAAAAGAAAAAGAAAAAGAAAAAAAGTTGAGTAGTCAATGTTATCACAATTTTCAGAGCAAGGCAGTATGTCCTGGTGGTTGAGTACACAGTCCTTAATCAGGTAGACTTGGGTTTGAGTCTTGGTTCAGCTACTTGTTACCTGGATAACCTTATGCAAGCTACTCTCTAAGCTTCTGTTTTCTTAATATAAAGTAGAAATAATATTAGATTGGTGCAAAAGTATTGCAGTTTTTCCTATTGAAAGCAATAGTAAAAAGTGCAATTACTTTTGCACCAACCTGATAAATACCAACTATTATTATTATTAGGCTTGCAGGAAAAGACTACTCTGGTGCTAGAAGCTAACACAAGCCCAAGGTAAGAGGTGCATTATTTACTAGGGGCAGCAAAGCTAATTATAATCAGGATGACATTTAAAGAGTCCTTACTCTGTGCTAGGTGCTGTGCTAAAATGCTTTACATGGATAATTTTATTTAATTCCCACAATGACCTCCATTTTGCAAATAAGGAAATTGAGGTACGAAGTGGTTAATTAACTTGTTTAAGGTCACACAGGTTGACCTGGAGTTTGAACTCAGGTAGTCAGAGTCTAGAGCCACTACTCTTAACCACCAAGGTCAGCTGCTCAAAGCCGGATGTAAGTGAAGCCCACTCACCATTCTCTATGGCATTAGTGGGTAGGAAAGTGGGTTGGATGCATGAACAACATGGAAAATTTCAACCTTCTTCCTTAACCAGCTTCTTCCTGAACCTCTTCTCTCCCATGCCACCTCCTGGCCCCCAAATAAACAGGATTTTAGGATAGATGCTAACTCGGTGTTGATGCATGACACTGTTAGAATGTTGACTGTCATGATCAACGAGGAGAACAAACAGGCATGGATAATCCACAAACTAACTAGTTCCAAAGACATTAAAACTCAGCAGAAGTTGTATCATGGAAAAGGAAAAAAAAGTGTTTCCCCTTTCATTAAAAGAGTAGCAAGTGCAGGCCGGGCGCAGTGGCTCACGACTGTAATCCCAGCACTTTGGGAGGCCGAGGAGGGTGGATCATGAGGTCAGGAGATTGAGACCATCCTGGCTAACACGCTGAATCCCCGTCTCTACTAAAAATACAAAAAAAAATTAGCCAGGAGTGGTGGCAGGCGCCTGTAGTCCCAGCTACTCGGGAGGCTGAGGCAGGAGAATGGCATGAACCTGGGAGGCGGAGCGTGCAGTGCACCAAGATCACACCACTGCACTCCAGCCTGGGTGACACAGCGAGACTTTGTCTCAAAAAAAAAAAAAAAAAAGAGTAGCAAGTGCAGAAAAGTGCATCAATTCCCAAAGAAGGGGAGACACAGAAAGAAAGTAAAGCCTTGGCAAGGGAAAATCCTATGTGGGTGTGTCTGAACACAGAGCTCATATAAAAATTCTAGAATAAATTTCCCCTTCCCATCTACTTACAAATACACATGGGCTCATCAGAATGGAAATAACAATTTCTGGGAATATTTGTAGCTGATGTTAGAATTTCTGATTTCCTTCCAAAGCCCCAACTTTTCATGGGAACCCAAAGGCATATCTGTTACCTGTTTTTCCAACAGGACAGGGATTTGGAGGGTCTGGGTACCCCTGATCCTCACTAAAGTCCTTAGGAATGTTGTCTCCAGTCAACTCTGCCACGATGTTGGGGATGTTGCCAAAAGGACCCAAATGCTGAAGTCCTTCATGAGCTCCACCTGCGAGGGAATCAGAAGTAGTTCATTGCAGTACAATTCAATTAATTTCAACCAATATTTATTCAGGCATATCACACAGGAAAAGCCCTGTGCCTTCTGCTGTGGGGAGAGAAAAATAAATGAAATGGTTCTTGCCCTCTAGGGGTTTAGAAATTTAGTTGCAGAAACAGACACATACTGTACACATATTATTTCCATACAAGGCAAACTGTATATTATCCTGTAAAAGAAATGTTAATACAGCATCACAAGAGCATGGGAAAGGGGCCAGGCCTGGTGGCTCATGCCTGTCATTGCAGCACTTTGCGAAGCCGAGGTAGGCGAATCACCTGAGGTCTAAGTGCAAGACCAGCCTGGCCAACATAATGAAACCCCGGCTCTACTAAAAAACAAAAATACAAAAACTAGCCAGGCATGGTGGCAGGTGCCTGTAATCCCAGCTACTCAAGAGGCTGAGGCAGGAGAATCACTTGAACCCGAGAAGTGGAGGTTGCAGTGAGCCAAGATCATGCCACTGCACTCCAGCCTGAGTGACAGAGCAAAACTCTGTCTCAAAAAAAGAAAAAAAAAAAGAGCATGGGAAAGGGAGAGTTCCATTTGGCTGATGGGATGGGAGGGCTTCTTGGAAAAGCTGGAAACTAAGTGGCATCAACACAGATGGGTAGGGCTCTGGAAGCTGGGCGTGGAGCTTGGGCAGGACTTGGGTCAAGAAAGGAAGGCAATTGCCATCCAGAAATACAGGCTGAAAGCACATTATGAAAAAAGATAAGGTCACTGTTATCCTGCTATTTTAGCTCAACCACTTAAAATTTGGTGTACTGACTCCAATTGTTGCTACGTATCTTTTTATACTAAGTATATATTCATTTCTATTTAATATTGAAGCACAAGCATCTTTCCATTTGGCTGCATGGTCTCTATTCCTGTAATTATAAATGGCTATGTAGTTTTTAGTCCAATGGCTGTACTACAACATATTAACCAATCCCCTATTGTGAGACATTTAGTGTTTCCCAATTCATTTTAGACATTTAATGTTTTCCATATTTTGGATTAATTTTCCTCAGGATAGATTCCCAGAAGTCAAATTACTAGGTCAAAGGCTATAAAACATTTTAATGACTCTTGATATTGTATTGCCAAACTGTTTTCCAAAAACGAGGTACCAATTTATAAGCCATCAGCAGCAAAATATGAAATACAACTTTTGCAACATTCTCACAAGCATTGGGTTTTATGAAAATCAATTTTTAGATTTTCTTTGCTAATTCAAATTTTTTAAAATTACTGTTTTATTTTGAATGTCTTTGATTACCAGCTGGGTCAAATATCTTCCCATATATTTACTAATTTTAATTTCTTTTATGTGAGCTGTTTGTTTATGCTCTTGGAATTTCAGTGTTTTTCTTATCAATTCGTATGAACATTTTACATAATAAAGATGCAAGGCCTTTGGCTGTCGCATTTTCTGAAAATATTTTCCCATGTTGTCTGAGTTTGAATTCTGGTTACTATTATAGTATTTTGCTAACATACGTTTTTAATATTTATGTAGTCAGATTTGTCATTTTTATTCCCCTTGTGATTTCTTCTTATCCTTCTAAATGCACAAAATCGTTGCCCCTTCAGAAGTACTACTGACATTTGGATCATTCTTTTAATTTTCTATTTGTAAGTTAACTCTTTAATCCATGTTATTTATTTTAGTGTATGTCAAACAGTTAATCAATTATCCCACCAGCATTTGCTAAATAATTCTGTCCTTCCCTACTTGTTTCATGTCTCTACCAAATACTTAAGTGTCTCATACATACGAAAACCTACTCTGAGCACCAAAACACAGCAGTGAATAAGAACAACTTCTACTCCATAACTTGTTTTACTAAGTTACCAAGTTAACATACCAATGCATGTTAATTTCTGGACTTTCTTTCCTTGTAGCCTTAACATTCTATAAGGCTCATGAAGCTTCCTTTTCCAGGACCACAGCAGATCATTTCTTAGAAGGATTTCATACTTACCAACTCCATGAGGACAGAGGAGCCCCACACTCACAGCTCCCCTAAGGGACAATCATGGTGTACGCAGACCAATACAGGAAAGGCTGGTTTACAATCAAAAGGTGCCTTGGTGTGCATGACATTTGAGCAAAACCAGGCAAAAACAACACCATGCTTCCATCTTCTCATGAAGGAGGATCCTGCCACAGGCTGGATTAGTTAAGTCTAGTTGAATGAGGCTCCCTTGTCCCTGGATGAACACTAGCACTTGCCTTTGTTTGTTTTGGCTGAGCCAGCTCTTCGTTGGATTCACACTTTTTTCCCCCATTGGAAATGTTAATATATTCAGTAGAATCATGACTAGATCTCAGTGTCCTGGGGATCATATTTTCTCTCTGAAGTGACATTGCATCACTCTGGCTTTGTGTGCTGTGTTGATTAAAGTTTAACCTTAAAAGGACAATCTTACCTCTGCTGATTCCTCTAGCCCCCGCATTCAGGCAACATCGAGTGGTTGTTCGCTTGTTTTGTTTACATTTATATTATATTTCATTGCTTTGTAATGAGAATGATGAGAAGTATCTAGCCCAGATCTAGGTCACTGCTTTGTAATGAGAGAAACTGTAAAATATCTGCATTTAAAAAAAATGCTATTTCTTTTGTAAACTACCATATTATTTTTGTAAAATTTCCATGTGAATATGTAATATAAGGTATTTTATATAACCCATAAACATCTAAATATAGCCAATTTATCAACATTTATAATTATATTCTTTTTATATCCATATTCATATTTTATCTCTAGTCTATCATAATCTGATGGCTATATGTTAAAATCTACTACTAACAATAAGTGACTGTCATTCTCTTATTTCTTACTGTTTTTATCATTTTGATGCTGTACTAGTTAGCATATCCAAGGGTATAAATGTTTCATTTTAATTGTGTTGGCAATTGGCTGCTAAATATAAATTGATAAATCAGATGTTGATTTATAGTTCTATTAGCTTGCCACTCTCACTCTGTTGATTTGTGTTTAATGGGTAAATCTTTGATTATCCTTTTATTTTTAACCTTTCTGTATCTTTCTGATGATTCATCCAGCTCATTTGTGATAGCTACCTTCAGAGCTAGTGTAGGGATACCTATGATTCCACATTAACCCAATAGATGCAAAGGTTAGACATATCAGTACACTTGGTATTGATATATTTGAAGCTTTATATAATGTTGGCACTATAGACACCACTGTGCTTGCTATAGGGCAGGCTCTCTGGTGTGTCAGTACATGTCTCAACTTTTGAAAGCACCCTAGCATTAAGTGCCAGGAATTATCCAACTTGGCTCAAGGCAGAATGCGTGTCTTAATGCTCCATTAGTAATTAATGAAGGAAGCAAACAGTTTCTCTTATGGAAGGCCTGCCAAAGCTCCGTTTACCTCTGTGCACCAGTGCCATTAAAATGAATGCAGCACTTGTTAGGAAGCAACAGATGTTTAGCACTAAGCAGACAGATTAGAACACAGACTCTTTTTAAACTGCATTTAATGATGTCAGATCAAGAAACACTCACTGAGGTAGGAACTGAGGGAGATATGCAGAAGTAAAAAATGCTGTCCTTTGCACTCCAGGAGCTAGAATTTTATAGACAATTAAACAGGTATAGAAAATATAATAATTTTAATATTATACAGTTGCAAAGGGCCAAATGCAGTTATCTGGTTCATTATAATATTTAGGTTATATTGATCTATTGTACCTGAAGCCAAGTCAAACAAAATAATATGATGCTATGGATGCCATTTGGTCTATTCATCCCAGCCTCCTTAACTATCTTACTGCACTAACCAACAACAAATAATCTAAAAATATGCATTGAGCACATAATATATAATCAAAACCTGGGCTAGGTACTAGAGGGTCAGTGATGAACCAGATAAATGTAGGCTCTGCTCTCATAGTTCATAGAGAAACAAAAAGAAACAAATGTAATACAGCCAGTTGTAATGCACTGATAATGTAACCAGGATACGGCAGTGTGTCACAGTTGTGTAGAGGAGAAGTATCTAGCCCAGATCTAGGCCATGGAAGACTCCCTGTAGCAACATACTGTGTAGCAATAATTACGTTAGGTGCTATAGACGACATAAATGTGAAAGACATAGTTCCTGTTCTCTAGTTCGTTCTTCATTCTAGTTGGTTACCCATGACTAACACAATAAGCCAGTAGTACATAATAAGATATATTCCCAACATAATGTATTGTAGTATAGACAATAGATGGTGGTATAGAGAACAGACCATTGTACAAAGCTAGGTTGGAGAGAAATTAAGAAGTTCTTCTCTAAGAGTGTTGCTGAAACTCAGGAGTGAAGTGACAAGGATTGGAATTAGGGTGGCTGCAACATGAGTTAAATAAGATTTCTAGCAGTGCACAGGAGAGAGATGAGTCAAAAGCTTGTGAGGTTTCAAAATCTGATTTGAGAAAAGAATACCATTAATAAAGATAGGATCTTTCACTTACAGCTTTGAAATTATTTCAGGCAATTAATTAATCCTGTCCTGTGATGATGCTTTATTTATGTTTCCACCACAGCCATGGCACTCTAAAAATGTCTCTAGAATAAATGGAAAATATTTAATTCTTGCCAAATGAGTTTTAAGCCCAGTTGCGTTTATATAAACTTTGCTTTATATAATAAAATTGGTACCATGCAGCTGTTTATTTCTAAGCTCTAGATATCAAATCATTGGTAGACTTTCTTTGTATTGCCATGGCAATAAAGTTGCACTCAGATGTAATTGTCAAGGGAATGAGAAAGAAGGACAGTTGGTCTTATTTGAGTCAGAACCCTTAAATCTCTTTCTTGGCCTGTGCTGGAACCCTCCATAAAAATCTGCCAATCTTTTGACCGCATCCTGCTCTTCTCTGCATTCTCACCCTCTGCTATGTGCCTCCAATTCTCCCTTCTGTACGTATCCCTTTGAGGTTGGCAATTCAGCTGGGAAGTTGACCTGGTTGGTTTGAGTCTCTCCCTGGCCTTGGAGACCTGATCAACCTCAGCTCCAAGTTTTGCCACTCATGGTCTTGTTCGGTGTTAACAAAGCCCCCAACAGCACTCCCAAGGACAACCTCTAACAACTCCAATGATCGCTTGTCCAGAAGAGGGCACTAACTTTTCTGGTTACTTAAAAACTCCCTTGGGTTTCAAATCCATTTTCCTGTCTCTATGATTTTGAAGATCAGTTGTTAGTACCTAGTAAACAGAAATATGAAAATTAAATACCTTCTGACCCCCAAAGTTTTACTTGGCTCTGAACAGCCATGGCCTTTTTGTTGCACTGGTAGGGTTTTTTTCATTGTTTAATTTTAGAGTAAATCTCTGTTATCATATTTTATCTTGATATAATTTGACTCTCTAAAATGTGCATAAAAAACAAAATCCGAATTAACAGAGGTTTCCGATTATAGTACCATCTCACTTATCTCTTTAGAGAGAACGTGCTGTTTCATGTAGTATTCAGATCACTGAAGCATCGGTTTAAGATCAAGATTTATTTAACCATTTTAAAGGAGAATTTTCCACTATGAACATTAGGTAAATACTTTAAACAGCAGGAGAATATGACTTTGCCTGTTCTTGATAATTTGGGACTATTACTGGGAATATCAATGACTATACAGTGTTGTAACAGTGTATTCTCAGAGTATTAAAGGGCATTCGGATATAAAACTATATTAAATGGGCCGGGTGCGGTGGCTCACACCTATAATGCCAGCACTTTGGGAGGCAGAGGCGGGTGGATCACAAGGTTAGGAGTTCAAGACCAGCCTGGCCAAGATGGTGAAACCCCATTTCTACTAAAAATACAATTACAGGCAGGCGCCTGTAATCCCAACTACTCAGGAGGCTGAGGCAGGAGAATCACTTGAACTTGGGGAGTAGAGGTTGCAGTGAACCGAGATCATGCCACTGCACTCCAGCCTGGGCGGCAAAGTGAGACTCCGTCTCAAAACAAACAAACAAACAAACCTATATTAAATGGTCCCAGATGCAATAGTTTTTAATGTTCTTTGTCACCTCACTCCTTCTAAGTTATTAATTCTAGTCATCCCAAATCCTTTCCATAATGAAATACAATAAATTGAGAGTGCGCCTAGGCCCTGCAAGTCTCTTCTAATTTTACCCTCCCCCGCACAACACACACACACACACACACACACACACACACACACACACGGGGATCTTATCCAAATGTGGATTCTGATTCAAGGTGAAGGGTGGGGCCTGAGATTCTGCATTCCTCACAAGCTCCCAGATAGTGCAGATGCTGCTGGCCCATGAGCCACATTTTCAGTAATAAGGGGCTAGAAAATGAGAGAGCCAGGCTTATTAAAATTATATATAAAATGAGATAAAATTAGCTCCGAGAGAGTGCCTAGGTGATCTTGCTTTATGGAATTTGTGACATCGGTGTGGCTGCTAAGAACCTTCTTAAAAGTCTGCAGTTTCAGATAAAGGAGCTGTCACTGCCGTTGTAGTCCTTTTACTTAAAGTTTTACTCTACAGAGGCACTTGCTCACACTTTGCAAGGAAAGGATCCTGCTGCCCCATTTTTTACTTACGCTAGTTCTGTGGGAATTAGAGGTAAACACCTCCCTTGAACGTGAGTTCTCATAGTATAAGCGATGTCCGTTGGAGAGCCTGATGATGTCCCACCACGATGCAACGGCTCTCCTGGCTGGGGCTAGTGGAAGCAGTTTTGATGGAAGTTAAGGTTGGTCAGAAATTAAGAACATAAATGGGACCTGCGTTACTTCGTCACTCTGTCTCTTTTTTTTTTTTTTTTTTTTGTGATGTTATGGTTTCAACAGTTTCAAAGTGCTTTCATCCTTATTAAAAACGTCCTAGTGAGGTCAGTAGGACAAGAATCACTATTCATCATTCTAAGTGAGAAAGTGAGACCTGGGGAAAGGTTTCTTGCCTAAAGCCACTCAGCAAGTTGGTGCTATTTTGGATTCCAGCCCTGTGTTCACTCTACAGTGGCACTGAGAGAGCCCCCACGAGGCCTTCTGCGTCCATTCATACCCTTTCCAGTGCGTTTCCGTCTTCCAAAGATGAGCTGGAGCTCCACAGCCACAGTTAGTAGAATGACCTGTCGGGGTACCTGGGGTCTCTCATAGTTTCCAGGTCACTCAGGGGATCTCCGGTGTCAGTGACTACTGCAGAGCCAGGCCCCGGCAAAATGGCTCTGGGATGGGACGCCACCTGTGGGCCTCGCCACCATGGTTCCTTCGCACCTGAGTGCCCACCTCACGCTGGAGGTTTGGAACATCCGGACAACCCCTGCCCTCCAGACTCTGCCACACAACTTGGGAACACCCTGACAAGCCCGCAGCCAGCATCGTCCCATTCGCACCCCTCACGCTGCCTGCAGCCCTGGGGATTCATGCAATTGGGCACTGGCGCTGGGCAATAAAGAATTGTGGTGGGGCAGCCTGGTGCCAGGGAGCCAGTCGCCCACCTCGTAAAAAGGGAGTTCTGTGAGGAGCGTCTGGCAGGGAGCGGGCACAGGCCCCTGAATACCAGCCATTCAGCTGAAGGGAACGGGTCCAGCAGTTTTCACTTATGTTACCACAAACAGCAGATGCTAAAAATACACTGCGGTCTCGATACATCATTCAGAAAGCGACGGACCAGTTTTCCTTTTGTCAGCGGTCTGGGAGCCTGAAGCAGTCGGATGGGGCATTCCAGACACCGCCTGGCCTCCTTTGGTTTCCCCTCAGACTCTGACAGAGCTGAAGGTGCCAGCGCGAGAGCGCCCGAGGAGACCAGGAGAGAAGGTGGAGAGGCGGCAAGGCTCCCCAGGCTAAGGGAAGGCAAAGCGGAGTGGGGCGAGGAAGGGGCGGGGTGGCTCCTTCTGGAGGCCACAGAACAGCCTGGGACTCCCTGAGGCGACACCGGCCGCAGGCACCAGGCACTGGGGGCTAAGAGAAACCCCGAGACCCAGAAATCTCCTTCCTAAGGTCCAACTTGCCCCAAAAGTTGTTTTTTCTTTTTTTTTTTCACTACTTGAGGTAAACACATACACAATTTTACAAAAAGCGCCATCACTTGTCCACAATCAGAGGACTCATTCGTCAGCTTCTGTACAATCTGCGCTTGGTTTCTCCTTCTCAGTAAGCACTCAGGCAGTTCCACCACACGCTACTGTCTCCACAGGAAAGAAGAAGACAGAGGCAAAGAGAAAGAGCAGGAGAGGGAGAAACAGATTGGCCCCTAGGAATGGGGAAAGGAGGCTGAAAGAAATGGCCAACATGAGGGTGGAACTTCATATTTTAGATGTCTGACTCCCAGTTTCTGCTTCCTCCATCCCAAGTAACTGAAGTGAGATAAAAGAAAAGAACAGAGTCATTTTCACACATCCTTTCTCAAAATTCACTCTTATTTATAAGACCTTTTGGCCTTGACTCCTGGTGAGAAATGAGGGTCCCAACATTCAAACCTATTTATGAAAAGCAAATATTTTCATTTACTGAGGACCCACAGAAAGAGAGCACTTTTTATACAAAGAGGCTTTTATAGCTTCCTGTTGTTAGGGCCCTGAGTTCAAGTCCACATTCTGCCACACACTGTGGGATTCTCATAACCTCCCAATCTCACTGGACCCCAATTCCTCCCCTTTTAACCCGGGGATAACATGCTTGTGGGAGGATACAAATCGGATACTGTATGTAAAATGCTTACCTCAGTACCTGGTATGTAATAAGCACTCCATGAACGTTAGCTGCTTTTCCTATCTAGTCAACATTTCCTAACAGCACAATTAACAGAGCCGAAATTAATGATCCTGCATATTTTTCATTGTGGTGATCATGGTCCTGTGTTTGAGGTATTGAGCAACAGGGCTCAGGACATTTGAGCTTTTTACTAACATCAGTGCCTCCTCATCAATTCAAAACTAAATAAAGTCATGCTTTGCCTAACAAAGTTACAAATCCAGGCAGCATAATCCCTTCTCTCAAGGAGCTTGCTCTCCAATAATAGGGGACAAAATATGTCCACATAAACACACATCTGATGTTTGTGCCTGGTGGAAGAGATCATGAGCACTAGCGGAGAAGAGAAATTTGTCTCCCATAATGGGAAAATGAACACACAATAGTTTATACTTAGAGATGGATATTATCACCTCAGCTCTCCTCCCTAGTAACAGAATTTAGTTTAAGCTGTTTAGAATGGTGAGGGTTTATGTTGCAATATCCACATTCTCTAAACTCACATGACAAGTGACCCCCAAAGCACACAGCATTTGGTAATTGAGAAAAACAAAGGAATGATTCTATCTGTGCTGAATTGGCTAATTCATTGACTTGCCTCAGGGCAGAGGGCTGGCCCTGGCAGTTTGCTAGAGTGATCCTTCTGCTCTGAATTCGAGCCTGGTCCCTCACAGGGACTGCCCCACATAGCCGGCAAGGGCAGACACCCTGGCTGGCACTATCCTGTCCTTGTAGGACAGATCTAAATTGGGTTGAGCCTGTTGGCAGATAAGCAAAATGAAACCCATTCGGATATTTTGTCTTGAAAGGCATTTGTTTTCATTCCTTCTCTTTCTTCTTCTGCTTTTCCCCCTCATACTAGGATCTAAAAAACTCAGGCTCCTTGGGGACCAAAGCCAACATTATCATCATCTACTCAGAGGCACGCAAACAGTGAAGGCAGAGACGCAAATTCTGAGTGCACTGCATTTGTAGCTTTCACATCTACATGTGGTCCCAATTTAGGATCACAAGCAGAGTTGTTTATTTTAGAAAAGCTTTTTAGTTAACTTTTAAGGTATTTTGCTTAAGCATTGCTTGCTTTTCAAAAGGAGAAAACGTGTATTTTTTTTTTTTTTCTGAAGCGGTGTTTGTTTTGGCTGTTTACTCATTTGCAAAAGTTCAAATTTTATCCTATGAATTTAACTAATTTTTCTGTAGTCACCACAAACCCCACCCCCTCTAACACATACACACAAAACCCCAAAATAAAATAATCTGGAAGTGAAGCATTTTTAGGAGAGCTGTGAATTTAGCAGGTTTTGAAAAAGCCGTTTCAAATAGGTAATTTGCAATAGCACTTTTAGCTCCTTCATGTAACTTTTATTTGCCGTCTGAAATGAAGTCTCAACTTGGCAATTTGTATGAAGGCTAAGCATGTCTTTATACTAAGGTTAAGGCTCATGTTTGTCCTTTAAAAACTTTATTTTATAATTCTTGCTGAAATTATATGGCTTAGCTGAGGATCAGAGTGGAGCTTAAGTTGAGGTATCAGTTATTATTGAAAAAATAACGGGATATAGAACTGTGGTGGTGGTGGTTGGGATTCGGTGAGGATATGGACACAAAACTGTGAAAAAGTAAAAATATGGACTTGGGCTCTCTAGCATCTGGTTCCATATACAGGCCTACCGCCTCCAATTATCTAAAGCTCCCACTTCATCTTCCTTTCTGAAACTACACTTACTTATGACATCATTTGTCCAGAACCTGAGCCCCACCTCTCTGTTCTCAATGACATAGCAGGTCCTATGTATCATTCCTTTGGGTAAGCTTCTCTACTAACATGATAATGAGTGCTAATTAACATGTAGTACTCTGCTCCTGTAGGATTTGCAACTTAGAGGATTTCTGGGATAATTCTCTTAAAGTAGTGACTTCACCAACAGGAATTCCAGGCCCCCTGGTGTGCCAGCTCAAGGGATAAGCAGAGTATGTCGGGTTCCCAGGTAAGGAAAAGGGGCAATGGCAATGACAATCCTGCAGGCAGAAATAAAGACATTAGGGGCCAAACCAGAGCCAGGTAAATGCATAGGAAGTTTATAATTAGTGACCCAGCATCCAAGGAGATAGCTTCCTACACTTAAGAAACGAGTAAAGGAGATCTGCAGGAGCTTAGGGAAGAGAGAAGCAATGAATGGCTGAGCCAACAGATGACATTAACACCAAGACACCACCGTGAGAGTGGAGGTGACCCTCCGCCCCAGACCCAAAGCTCTCTGATGGTTTCTGTTGAGGGTCACCTTCCAGTCAGCCTGGGCTTCACAGAGGAAGCAGGTCACTGGGGACTATGGTTGAGGAGGTGTGGATAAGGGTTAGCAGGAACTGTGTTGGACCCATTCTGGATGGGATGAGGTGGGAGTGGCAGGGCCTGGCAGCGCTGTGCCCATTCAGAGCCCCTTCCACCAGCTGACCTGGTTCCGCACTGGCCAGGGGAGTGGTCCTAGCACAGATTTTGGGTACACGGCTTGGGAATGTAATTATTCCATCATGTCACTTCCACCCATATGTCTGTAGACTAAAACGAGGAGACTCCATCTGAGTCTGACAAGGCCTTTTGGGCCACGACAAGGAACGTGATTCTCACTTGGCCTTACAAATTCGTACCTGAATTAATTACCATTCCTCTACTTCTTTTTCACTATCCTAAGCTGCTGTAAATCCATAAGTGTTCTTTATAAATGGCTAGAATAAACATTTGTTTTAGACAGTAATCTCATAGAAAATTCTTTTCTGTTTCTGAGTTCCCAGCAGCTACTACTATTTTTTGGCAGCTGGTGGTGGGGTGAGGGTTAATTCTAGCCTCGAGAGGAGAAGGCACGTGGTGTGTACGTTGGGGAGGGGCCCAGACTAAATCCTCTACAACCCTTTGGTAATGCTTTCCTGGCCTGTGGTTTCCCATCTCATACAAATATTCCCAATTTCTCTCTTTTATATCCATGTAACCTCTGCCTGGCAATAGGTATTAAGAATAAAGTGGGTCCGGTGGCTCATGCCTATAATCCCAGAAGTTTGGGAGGCCGAAGCGGGTGGATCACTTGAGGACAGGAGTTTGAGACCAGCCTGGCCAACATGGTGAAACCCCATCTGTAATAAAAATACAAAAAAGTTATCCAGGCATGCTGGTGTGTGCCTGTAGTCCCAGTTACTCGAAAGGCTGAGGCAGGAGAATCACTTGCACCCAGGAGGCGGAGGCTGCAGTGAGCCGAGACTGTGCCACTGCACTCCAGCCTGGGCGACACAGTGAGACTCTGTCTCAAAAAAAAAAAAAAGAATAAAACTACAACAAACCAAACAAAACAGTATTCACTAGTTATTATCAACTTTGTGCCAGACCTGGAGCCAGAACTCAATGTTATGTTAAAAGAGATAGACTCAAAGGCGGCCACAAAGCTGTGTGGACAGT
Organism: Homo sapiens; assembly: GCF_000001405.40. NCBI lineage: Eukaryota > Metazoa > Chordata > Mammalia > Primates > Hominidae > Homo > Homo sapiens. The sequence goes on along the minus strand of NT_187660.1, from coordinate 4,882,124 downwards.
GATGAGCAATTCGTGCCTTAAAGTCCAAAGGAGGTGCCTCCGGCAATACGCTCAGACAGCTGCAGCACTACACACAGACACTGGAAATACACCTCACAGAATTCTTCTGATTCTTAAAAATGGCAAGTCTCTTACCCACACATGGTAAAACGGGTGAAGAAAGCACACATAACTCAAATTCATAAAAACACCAAACTTATCTTTAAAAATGGGCTTCAACCTTCCCATCCACCCACTTCCAACCAAATTTTTAACTAGAACTATTGATGAAAAATAATGTTGGCCTGAGTCAGTTCTAGTCCCCTTTATATATTATTTTAAAATAGTATATAGCAGTGCTGTTCTATAGAAATAGAATATGAACTACATTTGTAATTTTAAATTGTCTAGTCTTCTCACTTCAAAAAGTAAAAAGAAATAGTGAAATTAAATTTAATAATTTTTAATCCCAATATATCCAAATTATCATTTCAACATGTAATTGATATAAAGAATTGCCAAAGAGACTTTTTATATTCTTTTTTGCATACTGTCTTCCAAATAGGGTGTGTAGTTTATACTTAGAGTACATCACAACTCCAGCCAGCCATATTTCAGGTGTTCAGTAGCCTCTTGGGCGTGGTGAATACCAAATCGGTCAGAGCAGGTGTATAGAGGAGGCTAGACATGGCGATCAAAAGTGCAGCCTGCAATCCAGATGCTTGAGTTTGAATATTGGCCTCATCACCTTAGCTGTATGACCTCATCTGTAAAACAAGAATACTTAAGTAATACCATCCTTAAGCCGTTGGTATGAGGATAAAATAAAATAGTCCTTGTAAGGCTTTTTGCAAGAATTCTGGCAAATATTGTGCTTAATAAATGTTAGCTAGGGTGGTCACTTTATAATGCATGAGCTCTATACTTAAAAACATATGTGGTCCTGAACAAGTTATCTTACCTCTTTGAATATTAGTTTCCTTCTCTGTAAAACAGGGGTGATAATAATACTTCATTGAGAAGATTAACTGGTACAAACATAGCACTTAATAAATGTTCGTTTCTTTCTCCTTGACTTTAGGTGCCAATGAACAGAGAAATAGCCAAAGGGCTCGCTGAGTGGGAGCAGAGGTAAATGGGCCTGGATAATTGGAAAACTGGATAGTCACGAGGTTAACTATGCCACAGGCAAGAATCCAGATGGTTCCAACCTACCTCAGCCAGTGTGAGAATGCCCAGTAGATGTGTTTCTTTTGTAGTTCCTTTACTAGAAGCTTTATAAGAGCAGGCATGTTCACTGTTTCACAGGCTAATAGAAATAAAGTATGTATGTGCATCTTATGTAACATATCCCTACGTATGTATGCTGAATTCAGTAGGCAGCCATGTTCAGTATTTTAGAGCTGTAGCCATCACTCAACTCCCTTGTGTTGATAAGAAGAAACATTCGGGGAAAAGAAGACCTATTTGTTTATTGTAAGATTCAAAATCTCTAAGGGTAATGGCCTTTATTTCTTTCCTACTCAGAAGTTTGTTTTTCCCTATTTAATAGCTCATACAGGATTTTGAAAAAGGAAAACTTAAAAATTTTAATTAGAACCATATCCTAAATATCCTTCTGCTCTTCTGCATGTTTGTTTATTTTTTCTTAGGATTGATTTGTTCAGAGTTTTGAAATTACCAGGGAAGAGCTTTTGAGGATGTTTGAGATCCATGATTCAAAACAGGGAGGGACACATGAGTGGCAGGTGACATCAGAAGCCACCAGCCATTCCTCAAATTGCCAGCTCTGGAGCCCTCCATCCTGCACTAGAAGGAGATACTGCAAACCCTGCCAAGGTGTTCATGCTTCTCGTGCTTTAACATTTCAAAAAGCTCAATTCCCAAAGACAGTGAAACTGCCACGAAAAACAAAATGAACTCTGGATGACAAGGAGGCCCAGTCATTTCTCCTATCAATGGAAAGGGCAATTTTGATCAGAGACAAATAGTACTTGATTTTACCTATAGGGACTTATGACTTATTCACAGCTCTGACTCCTCTTCTCCACAGGAATTCAATAATGTAAACCTAATAATAAAAAATGACATAAAATGAATGTAATGAGAACACCCTAAAACTAGTTTCCCTCCTGGCCTATCTCCATGTTGCATCTTTCAGAAAGTGTCAGAAACGAAACTTAAACAAACAAATAAAAAAAAAAACCCCAAACCAGAACCTAATGCTGATGTGATCGTTTAAATAAACTAAACACAACTGGATAAGGAAGCTGTTTTACAAAAATAAAAATAGAAAAAAATTTCTTGACAAGAGGCATGGATTATTCAGGATCCCTGTGTTATTCTAATTGTTTCAGTGCTATTAGGTGCATTTTAGGGGAATGTGGCCCTGATGGATAAATGCACCTTTAATTCATTTCTAAGGCAGTGATGTGAGATATAAGACTTTTTTGGGTAGGCACAACCCCAAAAATGTCATGTAAATCTTGAAAAGTTTTTCATCCAAAAACCCCAAAGGGTTTACTCATCTCAACATCTGCATTTGATAGGCAGAGGGAGAAGAATGACTACAAGAGGAAGATTATCTGAGATTAAAACTGGAGACCTCCTAGAGGCTGGGCTCCCATAGGCACCCTGGCCCAGACCACAGCAGGGAGGGAATTCCTCCATTCTGCCTTTGTGCCTCATCTCCTGAGTTAGAGATGGTAGCTTAGTTTCCTTTCTTGGTTCCCTTCTGTATTCCTTACAGATAAAGAGATGTTCAATACACATGTGTTGGCAGAATGGCCTCCATTTTATAAGAGTGGAGGTGACTTAGCAGGACACATGCTATTTATACAAACAGAAGAACCTAGCAGCACAAACATGAGTAGGGATCTCTTTATTACTGCTCCTGGAGGTGGATTTATAGTGAAGTGAATGAGGGCCCCTCATGGGCGCAGACTGCTTCCAAGGCCTGGAACCTAACTTTTCATTTGCAATTGTGTGTTATTTTTCTTGAAAAAAGTTTTCAAATTGCATGAGTTTCAGGCCTCACAAAACTTGAATCTGCTGTGGATTGCTCTTAAAAGCGGTATACAAACGCCATCTTGGATTTTTCACCTGTCATTATTTTAACTCCTAGTCATCCAAAGCAAATATAAATCAATTAGTTTTGTAGCCATGGACAAACGAGGCCTGGGTTTCCTCATTTCTGAAAATGAAAGGTGATTGAATATGATTCCTCAGATCCCAAAAGAGAGCAATGTAGGGAAGGAGGGCACAGTGAGAAACAGAAGGAGGCAAAGGCTAGGACACCCTGGTGCTGGCTACACTACTAATAGCTGGCATATGACCTTCAGTGAAGAACTTTACCTCTCAGGGCCTCATTTTCTCTACTATGAAATGAGGCAGGCAGACAAGACATTCTCTAAGGTCCCATCTTGTCCCATGATTCCAGTGCCCTGACTTGTGCAGTGTGTCACCTCTCATGGCCACTCTCACTGGGTGCTCACAGTAGCCCTGAGACTAGTCAGTGGAACACTCTGGTGAGCTTCAGAATTCAAATTCAGTGCTCTTCTTACTATACCACATGGGAGATATTTTCCAGCTAAACAGTAAACAAGGCTAATATCATTGGTTTGATGGCCTTCAAATATGCACTGTTGTCATGCCGAGTCAAAGATGATAGTCTGACATAAACCAGCGTTGCAGTGTAGATGTGGCGAATGACAAGGGAGTGGCTCCTTTCCCACAAGAGGCACTGGACTTGAAGCTGCAGCTGGTACAGCCCATCTGCAGGGAAATGCCATTTTCTTCTCATGCCTCTGTTCAAAACTTGAGTCCCACTGCTTACAGCTAGACAATCATTAGAATCACTGGTGGCACTGAAAAAAATCCCAAGCAGCTCAGACTCCCTGGAACTACCATATTTGAATTCCTGGAGAGATTAGGGGCCAGGAATCTTTCATTTTAAGCTTCCCAGGTAATTCTGATGATCCACCAGGTAGGAAAAGTATTGTTCTAGGTAGTTTTCTCTGTCCTAGCCAGCCTGGAAATGCTGTTTCTTTTAAAACAGTAAGTCTATCTGGATACCCTGATGCCTCCTGCCACAAAGTCAAGCTGGTATAGCATTGGCTAGGACAAGCAGTGACAGCCACAAAAGACCACCTATTCTGATTCCATTTATATGAAATGTCCAGAAGAGGCAAATTCACAGACATAGAAAGTAGAGTAGTGGTTTCCAGGGTCTGGGGAAAGGAGACTGAGGGAAGGAGTAAGGAGGCAGAGATGGGGGGAATGGCTAAGGGGAATGGAGTTTCTTTTGGGGCAATAAAAAATCTAAAATTGATACTACTATGTGAATATACCAAAAACCATTACATTGTATACTTTAAATTGTTGAATTGTATAGTATGTGAATTATATCTCAATAAAGCTGCCATTCATATATTATATATGTTATATATGTATATATGTATACATATGTGTATATATAACATATTATATATTATATATATATATATATATATATATATATTCTTTTTTTTTAACAGCCCTAATCTTCTCTTCCCCGCTCTACACACAAACACACGTGCACCAACTCATGATCATTGACAGGTTAATTACAGAGGCCCAACTAATGTCCCACATGTATGAATGGCACTCCAATCACCTCGCTTGTGACCACCTTATTAATACTCTCCCCAGCTCTCCGCTCTCCTGCACCAGAGACATCAAATCGTCCCGGGCAGATGGCACCACCTGGTGGCCATTACAGGAAATCCTGACCGCACACCTCTGCACTACCTCCTCTCTCGCCATTCTTCCCTCTTCTTCCAACTTCAGGGCTCAGTTAATTCTATAGTTGAGGTGATCTCCAATTTATACAAAAGCACTCCCCTTCATCTCTCCTCCAACTTGCCTCAAGTCTTCCTCTACTGCTGCTAAATAGCTTAAAGAACTGTAGTTTTAAGTCTACATGTGAAAATGGAAAGAAACAAATCTTAAAGTGGATAGACAAAAATTAGATCTAATAAAGAAGCAATGCATCGTATTAACAAATATTTCAGAGACTAAGAAAAGCAAAAAGCTATATAATAGGAAGAGATGTTCTGTTTCATTGGTCATCAAATAAACACAAATAAAACAATGAAATGCCATTTTTGCCTATCAAATTAAAATACTTTAAAAAGTTAATACTTATAGTTAACAAGTGAGACAAGACACCCACAAACAAGTGAGAGAGAAAGCACAGCCATATAAGTCCAACACTTACAGAAAGCAACCTGACAGTATGTAGGAAATGCAGCCTAAACAATAGGTACAGAGCTTGACCCAATTATTCTTCTTTTCATAGAAATATATACCCCAGAGAATTTATCAAGACTGTACACAAACGTTTATGCACAAATATGTTCATTGAAGCTGTGTTTATGATGGGATAAACTGGAAAAACTCTAAATGGCCATTTGCAAAAATGCTTGAGTAAATTGAGGCATAAACATATAATAGGATATAATGCAGCTACTAAAAATAATTACACTGATTTTAATATAGGGATAGGTTCTTGATATAATATTAAGTATAAAAAGAGATAAAAGATTTACTGTATGATTTTAAAAACTACCTATGTGTGCACAGAAAACAGACTGGAAGAAAACATAGCCAAATGCTGAAAGTGGGTATCTCTAGGTGGTACGATTCTAAACAATCTTTATTTTATTTTCGAAATGATCCACGACAGCTTTTATTATCTTCATAAGAAAAAATACTGAAACATAAGTTATCCATATAGCATCCTTAAAGTTACCCCCAAATTTCCCTCCGAGTGTGTGATGGCAGAAAAAACAAAGCCTCTAGAGCCATGGGTCTCCACAGCGGGTCTGATTTTGACCCTCAGAGGACATTTGACAATGTCTGGAGATGTTTTCTTTCTTCTCTTTTTTTTTGTTGAGACAGAGTTTCGCTCGTTGCCCAGGCTGGAGTGTAATGGTGCAATCTCGGCTCACCGCAACCTCTGCCTCCCGGGTTCAAGTGATTCTCCTGCCTCAGCCTCCCTAGTAGCTGGGATTACAGGCATGCACCACCACAACCGGCTTATTTTGTATTTTTAGTAGAGACAGGGTTTCTCCCTGTTGGTCAGGCTGGTCTCTGAACTCCCAACCTCAGGTGATCCGCCCGCCTCGGCCTCCCAAAGTGCTGGGATTACAGGCATGAGCCACCGCACCTGGCCTGGAGACATTTTCTGTTGTCACAAATGGGGGAAATGCCACTGGCATCTAGTGGGTAGAGGCCAGGGATGCAGCCTCCACCACAGAGAATTATCTGACCCACATCTAAATGGTACCGAGGGTGTAAACCCTGCTCTGACTTGAATCCAGGTTCTATGCCCCTTCTGTTCCATCTTGGCATGTTGCTCACCTGCTCTAAACCTCAACTTTCCCTTGTAAAATAGAATCATCTGCATATGATTTCTGAGGGCAAAATACAATACATAAAGTGTTTGGCACATAGTAGATACAAAATAAATATTTGCTTCCTTCTCCTCCAACACTATTACTCAATTTTGTATTTCCTTTTGTGAGTTATAGCAAACTTTTGCAGTTATAGAAAGAATATATTCTACCCTTTAAATTATATCTCAATTATCCATTCCAAATATAATAGTGGAGTCAGTCAGGTAAGCTTTGCTGTGCTCTTCCCAGATTCTAGAGCTTTAATATCAGATTGATACCATGAAAAAATTAAATTACTGGCTGTACAATATTGATTACCAAAAACTCATGAAGGCAAATGTCTTAAGTACTAGGGGTAATCGAGGTGAAAAGCTGATCTCCTTTTGGGGTCTGCCCTGCAGTCAGAAGGGCTGACTCTGGAGAGCACCTGAGAGGGGTGCAGGGCACCAAAGGACAGGAGCAGGGGTATCATGCGTGCATCTCTCATTACTCACCAAAGCTACATGTGAATGACCTAGGCTCATGTAGTCATCTGGGTTAGTTGGATCCTTTTCCTTGGCTGAATGAGCTCTATTAATAGATCTAAGGTAGGCTCACTCTTACTGCTTCTCCATCAGAATAGTGCTGGATACCTGATACCTTTGGGTAGACTGGAGAGAGGCTGATGGTCATTCACACAGTCTCCTTGATGTCCAAACCGAATGAGGGAGGTGATCTGACCTGCCTGGAGCATGGACACATTGAGGCAGTGTCAGAAGATGGCCTGGGTGGGTAGGCAGGCTGCAGGAGGAAGCTCTGTAGGTACTGATAACTCTCTCGTCAGAGTCACGGATCTGGCAAGCTGAGAGCAAGCTGACCACTCCCTGCCTGCAGGTACATCTCGCCTGTCCACAGCCCAGACCCCTAGGCACCAAAACTCTGACTGTAAAAAAAGCCAGAGGTCCTTACCAGGCTCCAGTGTGCTCTATACAGACCTAGTTAAATGATAGACGACTGCCAAAAATTCTATTCACTGACCACACAGGGAAAAAATAATCCTTCCAATATTAGTATTATGTATCATTTACTGTCAGAATAACTGCTCTTTCCTCTCCTTCCTTTGCAAACATTTTCAGACCATAGCACCTGCATTGTTGCCATGTTTTTGCACACTTCAGTGACCAAGGGCTATTCAGAGTCTGGACAAACTCAGCAAATAATTCCTCCCATCATCTGCTGAGGATTTTTTTTTTTTTAAAGGAAAGCAAGCAAGATACAGAGAAGGGACCTGCTGGTTCAATTCAGGAGCCAGGCGTCTTAGGTAGCTCACAGCAAAGGGATTCTTCCCAGCAGGCCCATCCATTCCTGCTGCTCCAGAGGAAAACGTTAGTCACTCACATCTTGTCCAAACCGTGCAGGGCTTGTTGACACAGGCCTGCTGAGCTGTCATACCAGAAAGATGGCATCAGGAAGGTCCCCTGGGCTTCTGCAGGGCAGGCTAGCCTCCTGGCCTGGCTGTTTCCTCAGCCATAACCTCTGTCTCATGCAAAGAAAAACTTGAACAGGCCACTGGGGGAACTGACCAGTAGTGCCAGGAGCCTGCCACAGATCCCTTCTGGCAAGGCCTATTGCTATGGTTATTTTAGGCCCTGGATAAGTATCACTCTGTCTTGGTCAGACCAAAAGCCAGCAGGAAAGTTTTCCTCCTGCCACTCACTGCACTGCCACCCACTGGGCACCTGGGATCGTCTAACTTGCCATGAGAAGTCCGTGTCTGACACTCTGGGAGCTTATAATCAAATATGTCCAAGTGAACAATCACCTGGAAAAGATGGAGCTCCCAGAGGAAAGATCCATTTCACAGATGATCCGGCACATGCTGTGCAGTGCGAGTGCAGGGGCACATTTCTCCTATTATCTCTCTGACAGTTTTTTTGGTTTTTTTTGTTTGTTTTTTTTTGAGACAGAGTCTCGCTCTGTCGCCCAGGCTGGAGTGCAGTGGCGCCATCTCGGCTCACTGCCAGCTCCGCCTCCCAGGTTCTCGCCATTCTCCTGCCTCAGCCTCCCGAGTAGCTGGGACTACAGGTGCCCGCCACCATGCCCAGCTAATTTTTTGTATTTTTAGTAGAGACAGGGTTTCACCGTGTTAGCCAGGATGGTCTCAATCTCCTGACCTCGGGATCCACCCGCCTCGGCCTCCCAAAGTGCTGGGATTACGGGCATAAGCCACCACGCCCGGCCCTCTCTGACAGTTGTTAAGTGCTGAGTGACTGAAGAAATACCTACCTTCATCTCCAGAGATCCCCGTGGTGTTGGTGCCATCTGTGCATGTATTTGACCAATACAAAGGGAAATATCCAACCCACCGTCCCATCCAATGCCACTGCTACTACCCCTGCCACCATCGAGGGTATCGCTAGATTTGGGGCAGCCTATTTATCTGCAAGGACAGAGAAGTGTTACAGAACATTCTGTGGGCAAGGTGCAGAAGGGAGGCTGGAGCTTCTCAGGTGAGCTTAGGGCCCTGAGTAATATAGACCATGTGCCACTGTGCCCAGATGCTCTTTAAGCAGAAAAACTTGGCGACAGCCTTAAATGCATCCAGCCTTCCCTGCCACCCTCCCTTCCCCATAACCACCCTCCACTCAACACATACTGGTTAAAAAGTATGTTTCTTTTCACTTCTTACTGCCTGAAGCTGAATCTTTATCATCTACATCCTACCCGTCCTCAAGGAAGTCTAGCTCAAGTTTGATCTGTGATGTCTTCTCTAGGGGCCAATGCCTTATTCCCCTCCTGAACTCCAGTAGTGACTGCCTGATCCACATATAGGGTTCTCAGCTTCTATCTAGTAGGTTGCAGCTATGCATTTTAAGTTTGATGTCCCTTTCATCCACCTAGACTTCAAATTCCTTAAACAAGGGCTGTGAGTCATGATAAGAGATGATGGACAGGCCCAGCTACTCCTCTTTGCCATTCCCTGGATATCAGTTTGTATCACATCCTTTTAGCCAGCCCACCTCACTGGGGTGCGGCACTGCATGAAAACACTTCGTTACTCCTAATCTTTGTTGTGTTTGGTTATTCTTACACCTCTGGATGCCTCTAGACTCAAGTACCAATGGAACATGCTGTAAGGGAGTGGGAAGTAAGGGGAAAAGCAGTCTAATTCTGTTCCATTCCTGATTTTCTGTAAACACGCTCAATTCCTCTGGTCAGAGTTTAACCTTCACTGGAAAGGTTAAAAGAAGATAGTGCCTGATGGAGATCCTACATAAATAAGTTAGATGCATGTTTATGGGTTTTGAAACATATCAGGGCCACAGTTCCTGGCATGTAGTAGGCACTCAGTAATTACTCATTGAGTAAATAAAAGTAGAAATGTATTAGATAATATTTTGATAGGCTATTTGGTTCAAGGAAGTGTACCGATCATGGGCTGCCAGAGACGCCCACAAGAGGACAGTGTGTTCTCAAACCACGGAGAGCAAGCTTTTCAATTCTGCACACCTTTCTTCCACTGACATCTGCTATATCCACATGGACAGGTTTCACTTTTGGTTTGGCAGCTGAATCATAGTCTCCTTCACTTTAAACCTGCTTCTATAACCTATTTCATGGCAGAATACAACATCTGTAAAGTCACAAGGGCAAGAATGGAACAGAGCAAATTTCAGTATGAAAAAGTTGCTATTTATGAGCTTTTAGAAAGCATCCATCCTCATTACAGTCACATGTTTCTCACGCCTAAGGTCAACACCAATACAGAGCAGAGCACTTAAGGCCAGGTGGGAAACTGATTCTGGCAAAGTTTAACATGCAACTACTGGGGGCAGTTTTCTGAGGCCACGTGAAGGAAACTTAAGATTGAAAGATATGACTATCTTCCAATCCCAAAGCCACTTACACCTGGAAATACATACATACATATATATATATATATATATATATACAGGAGGATGAAAGAATTAAGGACCATGAGAATGATGCTTTGCACCTGTGTACCATTTTATACTTTCCAAAATACGTTTATATATATTATTTAATTTGACTGCCCTGTCAAACCTGTGAGATGGACTGGACAGTTTATCTCTATTTTTAGATTGGGAAGCTAAACTTTGCGGAACTGAAGGGACTTGTTCAGTGCCATGCAGCTGGTCTGAGCTAGGACTAGAACCCCTGGGCATCCTGCCTCAGTGCTCTTCCTGCTATGCTGTACAAACCAAGTCCCCCCCAGCCTCCACCGCCAGTGCCCCTTCCTCTACTAACATCACACAGCACACCATGGTCAAAAGTGCATGCTCAGTTATATTTGCGGTGCGAAATTGTGGTCTGCTAAACCCTTCCAGCCGCCTTCGACAGTTCTCTTTACGAACTGTGGTGCCCAAGGTATTTGCACCAATTGGTTCCAAGAAGGCAGTTTGTCAGAACATTTGCTTCCAGAAGCGGCACATCTCTGAAACACCATCCACCCAAATCCACATGTGGTTTACCACGACTCCCAGCACATTATAGTTTCTCAGCTAAATATCACAGGATTGTACTAGTCTACCAGGATAGAAGACAGCTGGATGGGGAGATACATTTAAACCTAACACAGCTGTCCTGCCAACAGGACATTTAACTCGTAAAGCTTAAGCGGTGTGATTGTGGGCAATGATAAACGTTTTTAACCTTTTTAAAGGCTGTATCAAATGAGACAGAATATAGAAAAGTATTTCTGCAAGCCATAAAATATATAAAATTTAGTTACCACAATTCCACTTCCTACATGTGCCTGATCCACTTTGTCAATTACCTGTGGGAAATTGTTGATTGTGGCTTCCCTGGCGACTCAGCACACTTCCTGTTGCCTCCCTCTTTTTCCAGATGACGTGAAACAAGGTCCCAGCTTGAACACTCTGAGTTTTGAACAGATATGTCTGAGAGGACATCTGCCAGAAGCCTATTTGCATGAGGAACTTAGAAACCTCCAGGAGAAAGCTCAGACTGAAGGAAAGAGGAGTCGGCTTGCCAACTGCAAGGCACCAGACAATAAATAATGCCTTAGTGGTCAATGGAAAGGTTGGGATTTTTAGAACCTATGGTTCCCAGTGCTTAGCTTTGTCTCCATGTCCAACACCCCCATGTGAATCCTACAGAAAGTTGTGGGGCAGAGGGGCAAAAAAAATAAAGCTATGTTTCCCTAAAAAATCTCTAGTATTTAGGGATATCAAGGCACACTGTCTTGGTCCATTCAGGCTGCTGTAAAAAATACTTTAGACCAAGTGATATGCAAACAGCTGAAATTTATTGCTCACAGTTGTGGGGCTGGGAAGTCCAAGATTAAAGTGCCTGTAGATTCTGTGTCTGGTGAGGGCCTGTTCCTCACAGTGGCTCCGTCTCCTGTGTTCTCCCACGGTGGAAAGGGCAAATGAGCTTCCTCTGGCCTCTTTCATAAGGGCATGGATCCCATTTGTAAGGGTGAAGCCCTCAAGGTCTAATCACCCCCAAAGACCCTATCTTTTAATACTATTGCAGTGGGGATTAGGCATCAACATATGAATCTGGGGGAGACACAAACATTCAGACCATAGCATACACTGAGGGGATTTCCCGTTGCCCTCCCAAGTCAGCACCCACTACAACAGAACACCCTGAGGCTGCATAGCTTGGGGGCACCCACCAGCTGTAATGGGAGACAATCATAGCTGAAGGGCATGGTGGTGCTGAACTTAAGGGGACAACGGGAGGAAAAGGGGAAAATGGGTAACTGTCCCACGGAAGTGGACCAATTCATTTTGCTTAGGATCATATATGGTGTTTGCTCTATGATCTCCAGAATTTTTTTTTTTGTTGTTCAGACAGAGTCTCGCTCTGTTGCCCAGGCTGGAGTGCAGTGGCACGATCTCGGCTCACTGCAAGCTCCGCCTCCTGGGTTCATGCCATTCTCCTGCCTCAGCCTCCTGAGTAGCTGGGACTACAGGTGCCCGCCACCACGTCCAGCTAATTTTTTGTATTGTTAGTAGAGACGGGGTTTCACCGTGTTAGCCAGGATGGTCTCGATCTCCTGACCCTGTGATCCGCCCGCCTCGGCCTCCCAAAGTGCTGGGATTACAGGCATGAGCTACCATGCCCGGCAATCTCCAGAAATATTTAAAGCACTTTCCAGGAAATTGCAGTCCTAAGTGACCAAGTGTGAGAAATGCCGGTGACTTTTAGGTTATTACCGTCAAAATGCTCCAGATATATTTACATGTTGCGAAGGCTGGATAATCTTGACTGGAATAACACGAGTCCCACTTGCTGGTGTCTCAGAGGTCAATGGCTATTTCAAGGGAGCAAATATGGCAAGGTTGTTTCAACAAATATTTAGTGGGTGTTATTTGCCTGGCCTTGTCTAGGCACTACAGACACAAAAAGCGAGGCAGATACTGTGTGCGCATTTGCAAATCTCAGTCTAGTGAGGAAGGCAAGCTCTTCCTCATCATCAATGCCAATTCACAATGAGGCTAAAGAAGCAAATACAAAGAAGTATCAACAATGAGCCCAGGAGTGAGGATCATCCTTAAGGATAAACCTTGTGGTCAAGGTTTAACCCTTTCTGCATCTGTACAGTACCTATAATTAACTAGATCAACTAGCCAAAGAAGCAGTGTGATGTGCTGGACAGACAGAAGAGGAAAACACCGGGGTCCAGCTCAGGCTCTGATCCCACAAATACTAGCTGGGCTATGGATGGAATGTTTGTGTTCCTCTTAAAATTTACATGTTGAAGCCTAATCCCCAATGTGATGGTAATAAAAGAGGCCCCAGAGAGCTCTCTCATCTCTTCTGCCATGTGAATACAATGAAAGACAGCCACCTATGAATCAGGAAGCAGTCTCTCCCCAGGCACGGAATCTGCCAGCACCTTGGTTTTGACTTCCCAGCCTCCAGAACTGTGAAATAAACCTTTGTTATTTAAGCCACCTAGTCTGTGGAATTTTTGTTATAGCAGCCTGAACAGACCAGAAGACAAGCTGTATCCCTAGATAAGTCTCATCTCTGAGTTTCTTTTTCCACATCTGTAAAAGGTGGCAAGGAATACTCACCCTCCTTGCCTGCCTCCAGTAAGTGATTGTGAGGGTAAGCATGACACTGTGCATGAAGACAATTTGAGACCCAGACTCTGTTAGAGAGATTCAAAAGCAAAATACCATATTTATGTGGATTATAATAATTTTCCTTAGGAAATGGAGGCTTGATGACAGCTGTGTTAATTTTATTCCCCAACACCCTATTAATTTCATGTGTCAGACTGCCTAAGTTATAGTACCCAGTTGTGTGATCATAAGCCAACACTAGATTTTTCTGTGAAGGTATTAAAGTGAGTAATATTTAAATCAGTGAACTTTAAGAAAAGCAGATTACTCTCTATAATACGGGTGGACTTCATCTAATCACTGAAGACGTTAAGAGAAAAGACTGAGGTCCTCTGAAAAGGAAATAATTCGGCCTCTGGACTGTCTTCAGACTCAAAATTATCAACTCTTGCCCAAGTCTCCAGTCTGTCTTACAAATTTTCAACTTGCCAGCCCCCACGTTTATATGAGCCAACTCTTTAAAATAACTGTCTGTCTCTCTATACATTCTATTGGTTCTGTTTGTCTGTTTCTCTAGAGAACCCAGGATTTACATCTGGTTCTAGTGACTTCCATGAAAATACACTGGGGCTCAGACTTACCCAGGCTCCAACCCATATAGAAGTGAATATTTCACAAGGATTATTCTACAGTCAGACAACTGGCAGAGCAATTAGTAGTTGCCATACAGCAAACTTAATTTCAGGAGTTGTTATCTAGTTTTCTGTGTCCCTCTTTGACATTCTAAGATAGTCACATGTTATTTAAGGAATGGACTAAAGATCTCACTCGTGATTGAAAATTCACAAAATTCAAGAACAATCCTAATTGAGGATGATGACAGATTCTACCGATCACTGTTTAGAATTACTAAGCCTACTACTTTGAAATTGTGATTCTTGACAAATTGTTATTTGGGGAAGATTCACATTATTTCACATTTTGTGCATGCAATAAGGCTGTGCTAATTTTTTACATTGTACTGTTCCAAAGACACATGAAGTGTTCACATAAAATTCCCCAACACCCTATTAAGATTATTTTCTATTTTTGTTCTAGGTTTATGCTTCACTAAAACATTTATTACTATTAAACAAGATATAAAATAGACAAAGATGACACTTTAGATCTTTTGATCTACAAGACATCTAGGAGTTATAAAAAGTAAATATTAAAAGTTTATACTATAACTAGTAAATAACTAATAGTTATAGTTGTAAAAGTTAAAAATAGTGCTGTCCAAAATTTTAAAACATCAAAAGACATATCAGTGAGGTGTATAAATGTATAAGCTGGCAAAGAAAAGAGATTTGGGAGACTGCATTTCATTCTTGTATTCTTATTTTAATTGAGAAGGTGGCTAGAATTAGTACAGCGCTTGCAAACACCTGAGGCCAAAACCTCCAAAGCTCTGTATCCCAGCACACCTTTGCCACTTTCCTTTTTCCCCAATGGAGGAAGGAAAGACCTAAGACACAGGCCAACACCTGTGCTCCAGTCCTCATCCTCTCCCACCTCCTCAGTTGCTGCTCCCCATCCCACATCTTCAACTCTCCCTCTCTGCTGGTTCTTAGCAATTAGCACTTCAGCAAGTTCAATTTCTCACATCCTAAAACAACCTTAACAGAAACCGTCCTCAGCTCTAAATCATTCACCCTTCCCCCAATCCTTCCACAGCTATTACTCATCTCCCCTTTACCTGACATTCTGGGAACACATTTATACGTTGCATTTCTTCCTTGTTTATCCCCTCAATGCCCTGCAGGTATGGTGGGCCCCCACTACTCCCCAGAGCCGGCTCTGCCCAAAGCCCCCACAAAGCAGTAACTTCTGTGTTGCTACCCCCAGTGAACACTTGACACCCAGTGGTTTTTACTATTTCATGTGACCTCTCTGCTGATCCTGACAGTGGTAACCACTGCCCCTTCTCAGAACACTATTTCCTTGTTTTCATTACACTCTATCTTTCTGGTTCTTCTCCTTTCTGGCCGATTTATCCCAGTTTCCTTTGTGGATTCTTCTTCATCTACCTGGCCTTTGTCTTAGGTGCCCTGTTGTTCTCAATACCCACCCAGGGTGACCCCATCCACCCCTACAGTATCAGCCACCACTAACACGGGGATGACTCTGAAACCCTTCCTTCTCCCAGACTTCTCTCCTGTGCCATATACATCTAAGTGCCTTCTGGATACCCAGGACACTGTAAACATACACAAACATGTCATCGTGTTCATCTTTCCTATCCTTTTCCCCTCCCAAAAAGAACCTCCCCGTTTCTTTTGAATTTCTCATTACTATCCATGCAATTGCTCAACAGAGAAAAACTGAAAATCATCCAGAGACTTTAAGGATTGAAGTTCAAGGTGGACAAAATGCAACCCCAAAGGCATGGGCCCATTGGGGGGTCCCAGTCCATTCATAGATGGCCTACAAGCCCAATGTTCTCATTGGTTCCTCCAGGGTGAGGATAACCTAGAAACAGATTTTAGTCAAGACACATAAGAGTCAGCTGCACTGCTTTCTCCAACTGCAGAGAGAGACTAGCCAGAAACGGAGTGTCCCCTACAGTTCAAGGTTTGCTTCACCCCGCCATCCTCAAATGGGAAGCAACTGTTGCCACCCTGTGGCAAAGCGGAGGCACTGCAGCTCCTTTACCAAGGCCAAAGCTTGGCAGAGTAGAGGCTCCTAGGATCTGCCTCTTCAAGTAGCCTATCATCCACAGGACTCTTTCTCCACTTGATATTTATTAAGAAAATAACCTTGGGTCTCTATTTCTAAGTGAAAAATTTGAAGTCCAACAGTCAGTGTTATAAAAAAGAACGTATTTTATTTTATTTTATTTTTCTGAGACAGAGTTTCGCTCTTGTTGCCCACGCTGGAGTGCAATGGGCGATCTTGGCTCACTGCAATCTCTGCCTTTAGGGTTCAAGCGATTCTCCTGCCTCAGCCTCCCGAGTAGCTGGGATTACAGGCACGTGCCACCATGCCCAGCTAATTTTTTGTATTTTTAGTAGAAACGGGGTTTCACCATGTTAGCCAGGCTGGTCTCGAACTTCTGACCTCAGGTGATCCGCCCGCCTCGGCCTCCCAAAGTGCTGGGATTACAGGCGTGAGCCATCGCGCCCGGCAGAACGTGGGTATTTTAATGTTTGGCAATATGGATTTAAAATTACTCAGAGCCATCAAATGCTAATGTTTATACATTTCTATCTTAATGGCTAGATAACTGGTGTTATCACAGTGCTAGATAGCTGGTGGCCTAGAACTGTGGGGAAAATGAACAGCTGGCACTGAGCAGCCTATCTTTTACCTGAAGCTGTTAATGTTCTGAAAACGAAAGCACATTTTCTGGTTGGATTCATCCAAGGCCATCCAAGGCCATCATCAGTGTCAGCTGGCACAACCAGTTCTAACTCCCAAGAGCTCCCATCTCACAGCACATGGTTCTCCGAATCAGTCCCCTGGACAGTTGGTGGCTTTATTTGTTTCTGGGGATAATACAACAGTAGCCATTTAGCTATGTCTTGGAGACCAGTGAGCAACCGTGGGCTTGGGAGAAGATGGTTACTGCTGAAATATATGGTGCACTGAAGCATATCTGAACTGTATTGCTAACTGATGAGTAATCAAAAATAAGACTGGGGCGCCGGGCGTGGTGGCTCACGCCTGTAATCCCAGCACTTTGGGAGGCCGAGATGGGCGGATCACGAGGTCAGGAGATCGAGACCATCCTGGCTAACATGGTGAAACCCCGTCTCTACTAAAAATACGAAAAAAAAATTAGCCAGGTGTGGTGGCGGGCACCTGTAGTCCCAGCTACTCGCGAGGCTGAGGCAGGAGAATGGCATGAACCTGGGAGGGCAGAGCTTGCAGTGAGCTGAGATCCCGCCACTGCACTCCAGCCTGGGCGAAAGAGCAAGACTCCGTCTCAAAAAATAAATAAATAAATAAGATTGGGGTAAGCCATTAAAGACTGAAAACATGTTGTTGATAATCCACAAAGTGAGAGGAGGAAGGCCTGCAATTCAGTTACTAATGGCACCCACTGATTGCATGTAAGAGTGGGCTGGAAACCCCATTTTATTTTATTTTTATTTTTCAAACACCAACTCGAACCAGACAAGCCCATTTTATTTGGGCCGATTTTATTTGAGAGAACTAGGCTTAGAAAGTTGCCAGGATTACACATAGCTAGAAAATAGTACGGCTACGGGTTAACCCGAGTTCTCTGCCATAAACATACACACTCTTTTTTTTCATGTAATGCCAAGTAGGTCCCTGTTTGTCTTTGTGTTTTTATTTGCTTTGGACTAAGAATTTACACATTTGAAAGATGCTCCTTACCAAGCTGTTTTTAAGGCGCCCACGGAGAAGTTAAACATAACCCCCAATCCTCTCTGGATGTTTTGGCAAATGCTTCTACCCCAGCGACCACTTAAAGCTATTAACGACCAGGAGGCTGGCTACCAGGGTTCAGGAATCTTCCAAAATAAACTTCTAGTCTAGTTGGCCCTCTGCTGGTTTAGTCCCAGGACTGCAAAAAGTCCTTCTAGCTCCTTGGTAGGCGCTGTACAAAGGGCACAAACCTTGCACCATGGTGATCACAGTCATAGTCAATTCTAGATAACAGACATTTTTGCTCACCACATTATCACTAAGCTCATGGCAAGAACCTCTAGGCAGAGATTTTTAAAAACAGAATAGAAATGGAATATTTTCCTTGAACTAAAAGGCAGAAAGTCTTGACAGATCCAGATGTAAAACAGTATTTACATACTTATTGCCATTAGGTATATTTATTTCCCCCTGATATTATACATTAATTCCTCAAATATTTACTGAATGCTTACTATGTGCCTGGAATATAATGCAGTTAATAAGCAGATATAGCCTCATGGAGCTTACATTCCAGTGGAGAGATAAACAATAAGCAAGAAAACAAACAATGATTATAAATGACAAAAAATGCTATGGAGCTTTAAAAAAAAAGGCTGGACATGGCGGCTCACGCCTGTAATCCCAGCACTTTGGGAGGCCAAGGCGGGAGGATCACGAGGTCAGGAGGCTAACACGGTGAAACCCCGTCTCTACTAAAAACACAAAAAATTAGCCGGGCGTGGTGGCGGGCGCCTGTAGTCCCAGCTACTGGGGAGGCTGAGGCAGGAGAATGGCGAGAACCCGGGAGGCGGAGCTTGCAGTGAGCCGAGATCGCACCATTGCACTCCAGCCTGGGGGACAGAGTGAGACTCTGTTTTTTTTTTAAAAAAAAAAAGGAGACTGCAACAGAGAATGTAGGGGGGTGCTACTCAGACAGGGCAGTCAGGCAGCCCTCTCTGAGTGGGTGACTTTGAAACTCGCTACACAAGGAATGGGAGGTTGATAGCCTCCCATTGTTGATCCCATCCAATGTGTTGATAGCCTTGAGGTGGGAAGAGGCCGGTGTGACTCAGGGCCAGAATGCGTGGAACAAAGTAGGGAGTACGATTGACTGGAGCTGTGGATCCTCGTAGGTCATGGCAAGAAGGGTTATTTTTATTCAGGGTACGATGGGAAGCCACCAATGGAATTGTAACTACGGAGATGACACTAATATGGTTTAAACTTTTCAAGTTTAACTCCTGAAAAAAGTTTAACTCCTGTTCTTCCTGTGAAGAACAATCGAAAAGGGATCAAGAATAGAAGCAGGAAGATGAGTTAGGAGGCGATTTCAAAACTCCATGCCAGACATGATGGTATCTTGGACCAGGGTGTTTGGAGTAGAGCTAGAGAGAAGCAGACAGGAAATTGCACATGGATTTTAGAGATAAAAATGAAATAAATTACTTAAAATTGAGGCATGAAGTGTGATGGAGAAAATCAAGGGCTACTGTAGGTATTTAGTTTGCATATATGGCTAAGCAGGGGCACTACTCATTTAGACAGAAAAGACTGATATAAACAGGCTGGGGAAGGTGGTGGTTTGAGAAATCAGGATCGAAACCTGGCAATTTAGCAATTAGTGTAAGCCTATGGATATGCAAGAAAGAAATGTGGGCTGAAATACAAACACCGGAGTCACCAGCCAAGAAATGGATTGAGAGTCAAGAGAATGAATGAGATCAAGTAGATAGAGAATTGAGGGAAATAAGAGAAGTGGACCCAGCACTGAGCCCTGGAGAACTTAACTTTTAAAGGCCGCCAGAGAAACCTGTAAACGAAACTAACAAATGGGTAAAGAAAAAAAGGAAAAAAGGAAAGCCCAATACTTATTTGTTTATTTAAGGACTACATTTCCTCGCCCTGCTACTTTGCTGTTCACGTTTATTTCCTCAGTACCTAAAACAGTGCCTGGCACTCAATAAATACTAGTAGGTTTAATGAATGAGCGGTGAGAACAGTGGGCTACAATGGACCAGGAGAGAATGAGAGTTGAAGAAGTACAATTGGCATGTGAGGAAAGGCTGTGAAAGGCAGCTGTGAAAGGTTGCTGTGAAAGGCAGCAGAAAATTGGAACAGTAACTAGAAGGGATATGGAATCAAAGAAGATATGTTTTTTTTAATGGGATATATGATACCTCACTGACCTAACATTAATTTATACTGATACTATATTCCTATACTAAAAGGCCAATTTATAATTCTATATTTGAGAGCAAATATACACATTTGTTAAGATCCATTGATCATACAATTAATTTATTTAAGTAGACAAGATAGATATTTGTCTTCTATGTACCATGTGTTGGGCAGTGAACAACTCTGCCTGCAAGGAACTTAACATCCAGTAATTATCTAAAGTGATGATGATGATGATTTGTTTAGAAATTATTTCATCGTAGCACAGTTATCCATGCTAAAACTTTATTTTTGCTTCTGTGGACTGGAACATTACCTGCTTACAAGTAAGTGAATTTAAATCCTACCCCTAAGCTAAACAGAAGGTTATAGGAGTTAAGTAACTTGCCCAAGGTCATATTAGTAATAAATGATGAAGCTGGCATTCAAATTCGGGTGTCTCTGACAATGGTTTGTGCTCATAAGCACCATGTTAAGTGTATTTGAAATTCACACCAGAATACAGTATTACTATAAAATATGATAATATATTATGTATATTCTTTCTGTAACAATTAAAAATAAACTTTCCCAACTTGGTTCTTCACAATAAAATCCTAAAATCAATGTTGGAAGGGTATGGAAGATACTCCATGTGTCTGTCAGAGGGAATTAGCATCAGGGAGTGTGAGCAAAGATAATGCAAATAAATGGATGAGGTGAAACAATAACTAACTCACATGAATAAATGATCAGACCACCCAACAAATTCAATGCCAAGGTCCCAGACTGGGAAAAACCCAGGCTTTTTATTTTGTTGTTTTTGCCCCAAGTATCTTTGGACTATTTTCTTTGTTAGTTTTCATCCTAGCTATAGTATACAATTCTAGGAAGACTCCCAAGATTCCCACCTGCTGGGAATATAATGAGATATCAGTCCCTTGTTATCTGAAAAAGGTCATGGGATAGTCACTCCCAGGATCATATTACATTATAATTAGAAGACTAAAGAGATATTCTCCTTCCAGCTATGAGAAGGCATGTGGCTTACAACCTGAGGCGGCCTCTAAGAGCTGAGAGGGGCTTTGGTTGGCTGACAGCCAGCAAGAGAAAGGGAACTCAGTCCTACAATATAATTCAAATGGAATTCTGCCAACAGCCTTAACGAGCTTGGAAGAGGACGCAAGCTGCAGCCAAGACGACACCTCTGGTCAGCACCTGAACACTAATCCGCACCAAACTCCTGAGCAGTGGAAAACTCAAATAATAAATGAATGCTGTGTGAAACTGCTAAATTTGTGGTAATTTGTTATACAGTAATAGAAAACTAAAATTCAAGTCAGTATTCATCCCTTCCACAGATACTGATAGGGGAGACTTAAGATTGCTATGTTAGGCCGGGTGTGGTGGCTCACGCCTGTGATCCCAGCACTCTGGGAGGCCGAGGCAGGCGGATCATGAGGTCAGATGGAGACCATCCTGGCTAACACGGTGAAACCCCATCTCTACTAAAAATACAAAAAATTAGCCGGGCGTGGTGGCGGGCGCCTGTAAACAGCTACTCAGGAGGCTGAGGCAGGAGAATGGTGTGAACCCGGGAGGCAGAGCTTGCAGTGAGCCAAGATTGCACCACTGCACTCCAGCCTGGGTGACGGAGTGAGACTCTGTCTCAAAAAGAAGAAAAAAAAATTGCTATGTTAAGCACATTATTCCAAGGGTAATAAGGGAAACAGAGTTTTTAATTCTGAATTGTCCTAATCCATGATCTTTCATGTCTCCATGCCTTTTATTTTTTTAGTTTTTGTGGGTACATAATAGTTGTACCTCCATGCCTTTACACTTATGGTTCCCTGATGAACTCTTACTCAAACTTCAAAACCCAGGTCAAATGTTGCTTCTTCAAAGCAGCATTTCCTTATAGCCACCCCATCCACTCCTAAGCAGACTAAATTACTCCTGTTTGCTTCCACGGCGGCAGCTTGTGTGTACATCTATCAAAACACCTGCTGGGATGCACTGTCATAACTTTTGATGTGTGTCCCCACTTCCCTCTCCACTCAGACTGTGAATCTTTAGGGCAGAGCTGCACCAGTCTCCTGCCTAGTGCCTGGTATATAGTGGGTACTAAATAGTTGGATACTGGAGGGAATGGAGTCTCTGGATAAAGAGGCTTTTGATGCCCCGGGAGTGGCTGTTTCTTTTCCAGCACAGCTGATCAGGCCTCAGGTATTAGTGGAAACTCAGAGAGCTCCATGACAACAGCTTAGGTGAATAACCAAGCACTTCCTGCCTTAAAAAGGTAGATATTTATTGTTTGTCTCAAAAGAGCTGGCCTGAAATATATAGGTGTGCTTGAAGTAACGGTGACAGATGCTGAGAAGGACTGAGATTCTCCCTAAAAGGGATGACAGGAAGCTCTGTCGGATTTGTTCTAATTCAAGCCATGTGCTAGGTTTGCATGCTTGCCGATTCAACGCATTTGTGTTAATCCACTCCTGAAATCAAATGTCAACCTAAACAGACTACAATCTCACCGAATTAGTTTTACTCAATGGCTTAAAACTATGGGTAACAAAACAGAAATAAGAATCATCTATCAACAATATTCATGGCATTCACAGAACCCTAGGGCAGATAGCATTTTTAGAAAATCACAGACTCTGGCAAAATAGTGCATAATCAATCTGTAGGGAACAAACAGCATTTGGTTGGTATGCTTTTAGAGATAATTCTCATTTTCCTTCGGACCCACTCCATGGGCAAATCCTTGAACTATAAGGAAATGCTCCCTTGCATTTAACTGAAATTAACCATGCTACTTCTTTAGGATTCTGCCTTAGTGGAGAAGGAGATCATTAGAATCAGAGGATAAAAAGCAAAGCATGGAAATAAGGAATCTGTCTAACGCTGCATCACCAGCTCATAGAAGCTAGATTCTCTTTATAAACAAATCATTAAACAACAAACAAATGAAGTACTGCTTTCTAATACAAGTATTATGACCACATTGCCAGAAACTTGGAAAACTTCAGGGGGAAAATGGTCTTGCCACCTTAAAACGATTTAATTATTCTTAATTTATTATTTAATAAAATTGTTATATTTTTAAATATTTTCAAAAGCTTTCACGTAAACTCTTAATGTCAGTACCTCTTTTGTCTCCTCTTGGGTATACTGGAGTCATTCCTAGGAATCAAGTCAGATCCTGTAGGTTCTACATTTTGAAGCTCTTTTACAAGTACTGGCTGGCATTGACTCAAAAGGCAGCTATCTGATGACACAATTTCCTGAAGATCAGCAGTGAGGAGAAAACATCATGTCTGGGTTCTAATCTTTCTTTAGTGATAACACTAGATGCTCCTTCATTCATTCAACAAACATTAATTGAGCACCTATTATGTACCAGACATTGTGCTAGGTGCTAGGGCTACAGCTATGAATTAGATAGATAAGGTCCCTGCTCTCACAGGACTTATAGTCTCATGTGGGTGTGTATATGTAAGTATGTAGACACTGTGTAGAAGAAGAAAGGGAAAACCATGAGAAAGTAGAGTCTCTTAAAAATTAGCTTCCTCCTCTGAAAAAAATAGGATAATAAAGGCATCTACTTATAAGGTTGTTGTGAGAAGTGTGCAAATATATTATTTAAAATGCTAACGGAAACTTCAAACCATCAGAACACAGTAAATACCTTCAATGCTCTGGGGGCCCACAAGATTCATGGCCTGGTGAGCTGGATATTCCACTCGGGGCCTGGCAATGCCCAATTGCTCCATAACACCATGAAGCAGCCTCTGGATATCTGCTTCTGAGACCCGGTCAGGGGTCCGGGGGCTGTAAGCAAATGCTGGAGTCCATCCAGATGCCAGCCAAAACAGTAGGCCAGATAGCATGGTAGAGACCATCCTGGAGACCATTGTCAACCTGCAGATAAAAGACCAAATGTATACTGATAGGCTACAATCGGCAATTGTGATAATACAATTATAATGATGCAACCACTCCAGGTTGTGGTTCGAGGACCACCCAGAAAGGGGTTGTAACAAAGAATCCTTAGGAGGTTGCTTTTGTCTTAAGTTTCCATGCTAGGCAGAGCATCATTGCAGAAAGGTATTAAACAAAACAGTTGCAGGTATCCAATTCCCTCTGTTTGCATTCTTGAGAAAGCTAGGCTGGAATGGCGGTTCTCACTCATAATTTTTATCCTCCTTGTAGCTCCCTGAAAGTTCTGCATTACTCCTAACTTCATCACTCTCTCCCTCTCTTACTAAAACAAATAAACCAAACTTGCTTACATTTTGAGAAAGAGATAGTGGCATCTTGGGTTTTCCCAGTCTCTGGGAATAAAAGTCTAACAGGAGGGAGTCAGGAAGACACAAATCAAGAAGCTCAGGAAGGTTGGGAGTGGTGGCAGGGAAACATTTCAGTTTAGCAAACATCCAATACGTTTGCGATCCTGAAAGGAAGGAAAATGTTCCTTAGATCCAGCCCTGCAATCTGCTGGGGTAGTTTGAGGTTTGTTTGCTCAGCCACATGCTGAGTGATCGTAGGCAAGTCCCTCAGTTTCCTCCTCTGCAAAACGGAGATAATTAAAGCATTTACCTTTTAGGGTTGTTGTGAGGGTGTGTGCAAATACATGTTAAGAGTGTTTAGGACAATGCCAGGCACAGAATGAGCCCCTATATTGCTATTATTATGTTGCTAACATTGCCTTAACAGTTCTGGAGGTTAGAATATGGGGAGGCAGTGGTGGTGAGAGGGAGTTAACTAGCCTGGGGGTGGGAGGGTCAACCTGTCCAAAATGTTGGTTTCTATGGGTATGTCTGCAAAACAAGTGAACATTATCCTTGCAGCTTACCCCACAGCTGCTTAACGTGTTTGGATGCATGCTTCAGGCAGCGGCCTTGCAAACCCTTTTTTTTTTTTTTTTTTTTTTTTTTGAGACGGAGTTTCACTCTTGTTGCCCAGGCTGGAGTGCAGTGGCGCCATCTCGACTCACTGCAACCTCCACCTCCCAGGTTCAAGTGATTCTCCTGCCTCAGCCTCCCGAGTAGCTGGAATTACAGGCGCCCACAACCAAACCCGGCTAATTTTTGTATTTTTAATAGAGGCAGGGTTTCACCATATTGGTCAGGCTGGTCTCGAACTCCTGACCTCAGGTGATCCACCCCCTCCCCTCAGCCTCCCAAAGCGCTAGGATTACAGGCGTGAGCCACCAGGACCGGCGCAAACCCTCCTTCTAATCATTCTTCTACTGAGGATGGGGGATGGAGAGGTGGGAGGAGGCAAAATCGTGCATTTCCTTTACTGAAACAAAAATTTTTATACCCTCCAATTTCTTTTTCTGCAAAGAAAAGGCCTTTTCTAGCCACTAGATATAAAACCTTGCTCTCCAAAGAGCTGAGAGTAGCTGTTTAACAGCAAAATCTGCAATTCTGATGGAAAAGGCTGGAGGCAGACACGAGGCTCTCCATCTCCATCTTTCCCTTGTCCACTCTGAATGCAGGATGTCATCCCAGCAAACGCCGCTCTGATTTGATGAACTACACAATCTCCTCCCTCAGTACTCCCTTCCCCTTACTGATAGCCAAACATTCTAATCCCCTACGCATCCTTTGTCTGACCCCAGCCTCCACCTCAAGGATTTTAGCAGGACGCCCTCCCACAACTGGCAATACCAAATCTCGGGTTGGCGGCAGGCGGCCGAGCCGACATCAAAACTGTACTCACCGAGGGGCAGCCCGAGGAGCCTACTGCGGTATGGGCCTTGGTGGGGGTCAGGCCAGGAACGGGCGAACTGGAGAGCTAGTGCGTCACCCTCCTCCGCATCTTAGCTCCGCCCCGGCCCCTCCTCCAGCAGGTGGAAGCTGCCTCGCCAGGACTCCCCAGACTGCATCCCAGATAAGTGTGCCTCTCACCAGGAGCCGCACAGCTCTTCAACCCCCACATTCTGCATACAAACCTCTTGACTATGACATTTCCTAGAGACCCTCTTCAGCTCCATCGACCTCCATGTAAGTCATTCACCTCCTCAGTCTCAATTACAACGTGCCAGATCACCACTACAGCACACCTTTAATTTTGTCAACTTCTAGAATATGTTTTTTGTTTTTGTGTCTAAAGCCTTTCAGCTTCAAGAGGGAAGAGGCAATGAATGGTAGAGAGACAAAAGATGAAGTCCTAAGAACTTTTAATGGTGGCTATGATAAGGTATACCCTGCTCTGAGGGGCCTCTTACTAATCAGGAAAACTATGGGGATATTTAATACAAGAAGCCAGAAACTTCCATTAAAGTGATAAACTTGAAAATCTGTAGAAATATCAGCTCTGAGTGTTATTTCTAAACGTCCACACAAACCATCAAGTAAAATTCCACTTTGGCCTGAAGAGAAACCATACTCCCAGCATACTGTAGAAGTATGTCCAGGTAGTCCCAGATTCTTAAATAAGGGTTTATGGAGCACCTACTATGTGCAATCTTGAACACTGAAATTTGTTCAAATACTAAAATCAAAATGTAAAGCCATACAATAAATATGGCACTACAAATTTGATCAAGATGGAGGATGAGTAAAGAACCTGGGGGTCTCAAAACAAGTAACCTGATGAGGTTAGAATCCAGATCTATTTATCTTAGCTCTAGAGAGCAAATCCATTATCATCTACAGCAATTTTTATGCAATAAATAGAGGCTGGCAAAATTCATTTATGAGACACATGGCCTTTCATTTTGAAGCCAAGCCTCTTTCCCAGTACTTTTTCTTTCACGGATGCTCATCTGCTTCTTGCTTCTTGTTTCAATGCATGCTAAATCAACAGGACAAACACTATCCATTAAATGGCTCTAGGCTCACTGGCCATGCTGGAGTTAGTATTTATTATTGATGCACAGAGACTTTTTTCAATTCTGAGTTTTACTTTAGCTTTGTTCATTGTTATCTTCATTTTGTGGTTGAAAAAAATGAAGTCACTACAATTTACTGCTTTTGTGTTAAATTTAACTGAAATAGATCAAAATGCCTATGCTTCATTTGAAATTTGGTGTTTCAAAAATAAAACTTCATATATATTTAAGAGATCACAGAGGTTAGGTGCAGTGGCTCACGCCCATAATCCCAACACTTTGGGAGGCCAAGGTGGGAGGATCACAAGGTCAGGAGTTCGAGATCAGCCTGGCCAATATGGTGAAATCCCGTATCTACTAAAACTACAAAAATTAGCTGGGCGTGGTGGTGCATGCCTGTAGTCCCAACTACTTGGGAGGCTGAGGCAGAAGAATCGCTTGAACTCGGGAGATGGAGGTTGCGGTGAGCTGAGATTGTGCCACTGCACTCCAGCCTGGACGACAGAGTGAGACTCCGCCTCAAAAAAAAAAAAAAAAAAAAAAGAAAAGAAAACAAAAAACAAACTAACTAAAAAAGATCACAAAATTAAGGTTTAAATTCTGCCACAATTAAGAAAAACATGACTATTAAAATCCTACATTAAGTTCTTAGTGATCATATTATAGAATGTGGCCATGCAGTCTACTAAGTTCTATGTATTAAGTTGTTATTAGATAACCAAATTAATATTAGATCTTTATTTACATTTATAAGACAGTGAGAAGAACCCATGAGGTTACTGCACGTCCAGACACTTTCATATCATTTCCTCAAATATTCCATGAAGTTAGCAACATTATCTCTATTTTGTATAAGAAAAAATAAAAACGCATTAAATCAAGTTTAAAACAAAACTTTTCTGGCTCTCTAGTTACCCTACCTTCAAGCTAGTCACCTTCACATTCCTGTAATACTCCGTATAGCAGCTTTCAGCTAACAAAAATAGGAGTCACATGTGGTAGTTTTTAAAACAGACATGTTTCATTATTGATTCATCTCTCAGAAAAGCCAGTTCAGGTAGTATGTACAGTTAAACCCCTAGGACTTCTTACTGAATTAGTCTTCAAATTCAACATTTCATCCTTCCCTTGATGGATATAAAAAGACGTTAATGCATTTTTAAAATTTAAAAATTGTTTAAAGCAGACAACATATATCTGACTATATGAATATTTTGTCTCTACTTACAATTAGAAATGCCATAAACATCTACAAACCTATTTGATATCAAATAAACAAAGTAGAACCTAGCCAAGCAAACATCTGATGATTTGAAATTCCTCGTACATACTTATGCTGTAAGTCTGGTTGCTCCGAGTGGCATGAATGCTGCTCTAATCTGCTCCAACATCTAAACATGACATTCTAACAACCAATCTGAAAAACTACCTTTAGTGGTTGATTCTGTCTGCTTATTCCTTCCTCTACAACCTAGAGAATATGTTCTATTGTTCATAATACTCTTTCCTCAAAGATGTGTAATTTGTAATAATTTAAAATATAAATTTAGACAGATTTACTTGACAATTTGGTGCATGTTCTAAATGGCACTTTGAATTTCATGAGAGCCTTAGTCAAGTCATTTTCCAGAGAGTTATCTTTAATGTCTATGCTAAATAAATAACATTTACACACAGGACAAAATCATCATAGGTTTTTATCCAAGTAAAAAAGGTAAAGAGGTGCATCTACTATTTCAAATTCCAAAATCGAGCATCTACATATAAGAAATCACCTTGGTTAATTTTTTTCAAGATTATCCCTCTTTAAATAATTGCCAAATCTATATTGGACAGAACAGACACAAACGTGTTTGTGCAAATTATCTTTAAAAACATAGTATGGCTTAAAAGTTATCAATTATTTCCACATCATAATATATGAACATATTTTAGTCATTATTCTGCCTTAACCATTGTTCTTAGTTCGAGTGAACACAAGGTACACCTACTGGCACTATAAATGAAATTACTCTGCCCCAAATAAAAATAGAGTTTTAGGATGCTATTGAAGGAAATTAATTTCTAGGAATTTTGGCAAGGACAATAAACATTAATATAATTCCAGACATAAGATTTGCAGAGTTTATCTCTACCCTTTATATGCTAGAAATTTATTTATTTTAGAAACCTTATCTGACTTGGAGGAAATAGGCACAACTTGCTCCATTCTTTCTATCACACAAAAATATGTCATTTTCAAAAATTAACTTCTTATAAATCCAGTAAACAATTTCTTTAGAAAGGTAAAGTCTAGCCGGGCGTGGTGGCTCATGCCTGTAATCCCAGCACTTTGGGAGGCTGAGGCGGGCGGATCACAACGTCAGGAGATCGAGACCATCCTGGCTAACACGGTGAAACCGTCTCTACTAAAAATACAAAAAATTAGCTGGGCGTGGTGGCGGGCACCTGTAGTCCCAGCTACTCGGGAGGCTGAGGCAGGAAAATGGCATGAACCCAGGAAGTGGAGCTTGCGGTGAGATTGCGCCACTGCACTCCAGCCTGGACGACAGAGTCAGAAAGGTAAAGTCTAACCTCTGCTTTAAGAGATCACAATAAAATTAAAGTTTAAAAATTGCCATCATTAAGAAAAACAAAGAAGTAATTTGTACAAATAAAAATCTAAGTTGCTTGTACAGTGAAAAAAATGAAACATTTTCAATAGAGCAAATCTATTGCTTAACAATCATCCTGAGCTACAAACTAACATGTACATCATCCTGCAAGTCATACCAATTACTCACTTTATTTACATTAATGACAAGTATAACATTTACCAATTACAAATCTACAGGTTTACTTGTTGGTAGTAATTGAGTTTTTCCGATAGGATGTTTTGGAGAACCTTTGTACCAGGCCCTTCCTCTTTCTGATGGTCTCCTAAGGACCCTGTTATTTATCCCAGAAGAAATGCCCATGTTGTTATTTACAACTGGTTTTACTATATCATGATTAGTCAGATCATCCAAGGGAACCTTAACTTGGCCATCAGATAAGATCTTCTGTTTATAAACTGTAGTAGACCTAAGAGAAGCATTCACTGAATCTGGGTGCTTCCTCATCTTTAAGAAAGATTTCGAGGGTAACTCCATGCTTGACTTTGAAATTGCACCAATATTTGACTCTTCACATGACATGGACTTCTGTTCTTTAGGACCTGATTTGATACATGAAACAGAGGAATCTTTTGATGCACTTTCTATACAAGAGGAAAGAGCACCGTCACAGCTCACTGATTTGACCAAAGGAGAAGCTGTATCACCAAGACTCGCCAACTTATGCCCTGTAGGTTGTCTGCTATACTCCAACAAAGAATTAATTCTTCTGACGGACTGACGAACAGGAGTACGCTGAAACTTAAGAGGTGACTTGACTTTTATTCTATTTGGTTCATTTAAAGAAAGCTTGTTAAACCACTGTATGTGATCAGAAACCTTTCTATGTTCTGTCATTTGTGAACTTTCAGAAACTGTTTTCTCACATGTTTCCAATGACTGCTGTTTAGCAATTCTCATAGGCCTAGGTTTTGACAAGTTTGTTACAACACATGTACTCTGCTGTGAGAAAGAGGATCTAGCCTCGTCCTTGCTATGTGCTGCACACTTCGGTAAGTTACCTTCCATCATATTCTCATTCTCTTTTAATTTATTATTTAGTTTATCCTTTGGGGACTGCTGTTTCTTTATTTCTTCATCACTGGAGAATTCTTGCTTGCTTAAATAATCTTTTGGCATATTTGAATGAATGTCTTTTTCATGTTCCATCTTCATCTGAGTTGAATAACATTTTATAGTTGTTTCTCTATTAAATGTTTGAGTTTGAAGGGGTGAAAAGTCCCTCTCTGAAAAACATTTTTCACCTTTACCAGTGTGGTGTTCATATTTCTCCTTTGATTCTACTATAGTCAAATCATTAGTTTCAAATAGATTTTCCTCTGGGCTATCTTCTAAATAAGATGGTTCAGTTAATTTTACTTTCCCCACATTAGTTACTGATGACTGCCTCTGATTCATCAATGCGTGAAGATTACTTCCAGATTCAGAAAACGCTTTTTGAACTTTCACCAAAGTCTCTTTGGTCATGTTATTTTCATCCCCGCTAAGAGGGCTACTTGTTATGTTGCTATTATGCTTATTGTTTAAATTGGAAGGGGTGAGTTCACATGAAGTAGCAGGTGACTTTTCTACCATAATATCAGGCTCCAAAGAGTTTTCTACCTCAAGATTTTCCACCATTGAAGAAGCTTCATTTGCATCTACTTCTTGAAAACTTGAATTATTAGGTCCTGTCCAAGACATCCGGTAATTTGTTCCAACTAGTCGCTCTGGAGTTAGTAAGGTTTCCTCAGACTTACTGATCTTTTCTGAACCTAAAATAAAGCAGTTCAGTGCTTAATCCTTTGTATTTAACCTTGTTTTGAAATAATACCCAAGCACATGGCAAATAAGTCACTAAGCATTTAATTCTAATAAAGTATTTGTGTTACAAGAAATAATTTTTAACATAAGAATGTCAAACATTTTCATATTTACATGTATAAGCATTTCCCAATTGTTGATAGAAAAATACATTGCCAATTCTAATATTTTCACTATTCAAACATGAACTTTTAATCTCTAGAACAGTAAATTAATTAATATGTTTTGCCATTAAAAAAGCAACTAAAGCAGGATTTTTAGGTAAAACTCTAACAGTAGTATGTAAATGTACCTTTCTTTGGTAACTTTTCATCAACATCTGGGCTAAAAAGCAAACCTGTTTTTACAGATTCAATTCGATTTTTTAAACTTTGTTGATTTGCAAGTCGCCAACCAACACTTTCATATCTATTGACACCAGAACATCCATTCTGTACAGAAAAAAAAAAGTTTTAGTTAAGAAATAAGCCTAGTTAATTCAAAATATAAAGACAGAATAATTTTTTGTAGTTATCAAAATCTTTAGCTGATTTAAAAAGGGATATATAATTGAGAAACAATTCTTAACAATGACAAACATTCTTGCCTGCTAATGAAAACTGTAATCATTTGATTTTGCTATTAGTTGATATTTTATGATCTATTTTTAAAACAGTCTCACATATTAATTAAAATAATTTCTGTGTGTGCTCTGACTCTGTGCTAGGGCCTGTTCACAAATAGTTGGGGCAGTGGGGTACCTAGACCAAAATCTTATCCTTATGTAATTTACATTCTATTTAGATGGGGAAATTTAGACTTAAGATAAACAGTAAATTATATTGCATAAATACAATATACAAGGTGAAAAGTGCTACGGAGAAAAGTAAAACAGAGTAAAAAGGATATGGAGTGGTGAAGAATGGAGGTTTAGTTTAAAATAGGGTGATGAGGAGATAATTTGTGAGTAAAACAAAACAAAGGTGAGAGCCATGAAGATTTAAGGGGGAAGAACACTACAGAAAGAGCAGAATGCCAGTGCAGTCTCTGAGACTGGAGCAGAGTGAGCAAGGGGGACTGGAGGAGAGCTCAGAAATGCAGCCTGAGAACAGATCACGTGAGGCCTTTGCAGGTCAACATGAGAACTCTGGCTTTTATTCAGAGTGAAACGAGGAGTCACTGGAGAGTTCTGAGCAGAAAACTACATAACCTAACAGATTTTAAAAGATAAATTTCAACTACAGAACTGCAGCAAGGGTAGGAGAAGGAAGAACTATTAACAGGAGTTTACTAGAGTAATCCAGCTGAGAGATGACAGAACTTAGAGAAAGTGGGAAAAGTAGTAATAGTGAGAACTGGTCAGTTTGGAGATACTCTAAAAGCAGAAGTTAGACAAGATTCTCTAATGGATTAGACATGGTGTCTCAGAGAAAGTGAGGAATCAAGGATTTGACCATGGTTTTTGGCTTAAGTGACTGGAAGAACGATTTGCCATAACTGAGATAGGGAAAACCACAGGTAAAAGTGTTGTTTGGTGCAGGGCATAGCAGCAGCAAAGAAATCCATCTGCTTGGGACAGGTTACATTTGAAATGCCTATTGGATTAGATATCCAAGTAGGAGAGTCAAAAAAGCAGATGTTAAGAGACAGCGGAGTCATTCAGAAGAGCATTTGGGACTAGAGAACATAAACTTGGAAGTTTTAAGTAAATACAGGTTGGGCATTCCAAATCTGAAAAGCCAAAGTTCTGGATGCTCCAAAAATCCAAAGCTTTTAAGTATTTGACATGATGTTCAAAGAAAATGCTCACTGGAGCATTCCAGACTTTCAGATTAGGGATGCTGAACTAGTAAAAATAATGTAAATATTCCAAAATCCCCCCCAAAAATGGGGAATCTGAAATACTTCTGGTCTCAAGCATTCTGGATAAGTGCTACTCAACCTGTATATAATGTTTAAAACTGATGATCACCTTGAGTGAGTGGAGAGAAAAAAGAGAAGTCCAAGGACTAAGCTTTGGGTACTCCAATGCAAGGAAATTTGATATCAACTCAAGTATAAGAGTTTTGGATAAAAAGAACAGAATGAGACAGTCACTGGAAGGAAGGTAGGGCTATGAGTGTTTTTTAGTATCAAGTTTATAGCGTTATGCTAATATAAAGATCAATAAAATGGTAAGAAACTTACTACTTCTCTGCCATTTTTCCCTAGATTGAATTTCAAACGCAGAGATCTTCGAACCTTTTCTTTATGGCTGATTTTAGGAGAAAAGCAGCCTGCTTTTCCTGATTCCACTCTAGAAGAAGTGGAATTAAAAATGTCAGTTTATAGTATAAACACCAGAGAAATACTTGAAATACGAAATTTGAAATAAAGTCCACAGCAAATCATATTGATAATAATTGGATGGATTAATAATTCTTTAAAAACAGTTCAACTTTAAGATACCATACATGAACACACTGCATTTGCATAAAAAATGATCTGCTAATCTTAAAAGTTAGTCAGTCAGTTATAACTCAGAATTGTTAGAATAGGCTAGCTTTTTAACCTAACAGGAATTTTTTTCTTTGTTTTTTATTTTTTGAGACAGGGTCTCACTCTGCGGCCCAGGCTGGAGTATAATGGCATAATCACTGCTCACTGTAGCCTTGACATCCCTGGGCTCAGATGATCCTCTCACCTCAGCCTCCCAGGTAGCTGGGACTACAGGCATGTGGCACCATGCCTGGCTAATTTTTGTACTTTTTAGTAGAGATGAGGTTTTGCCATGTTGCCCAGGCTGGTCTTGAACTCCTGAGCTCAAGTGCTCCACCCACCTCAGCCTCCCTAAGTGCTAGGATTACAGGCATAAGCCACCGTGCCCAGCCTCTAACAGGAAATTTTAAAATTACACCATCAACATAAAATAGGATTTTAAGCAAGCAAAGCGGACTCAAATTAGTAATTTTTCTCTGGTGGGTATTGAAAAGGCAATTGATTAATAAGACTATAAAGGCAGAAGGGATTTTAAAAAATTATGACTCAAATATGATGCTTGACAGAAAGACAAAACATTTTATTAATTATGTGTACACCAAATATTTATCCGATGAAAACAAAATGTCCTGGATAAAGTACCTGCAAACTTTTTTGCCTGCAATTCTTTTACTTCGCCTTGGCACACCTGCAGTGATCAAATGGTTTCCACCAATGAGTACAGGAGAGAGTGAACTCTGAGATGACCCTTCTGAGCTTGTATCGATGTGAACTACAAAAATAACCACATGTAATATACCACACATATCTATTTTCCTTTTAAAGTATAAAATAGTAATAGCAGCAATTAGATTCAAAGCCTTAATTTCTATCCCAAGCAACAACCGAAATCACTTAATTTCTGGTTAGAAACTTCAAGTGTCAAATAACCCAACTCAGCTAAGAAAAAGCATTCATTTTTTACTTTTGACTTGCCAATTAAAGGTCAGCTTAAGCATTACTTTTATATTAGAGCTTTTCTTTAAACTCTGTTAATAATACAAGGCAGGGATAGGCACCATTGCAGACTGGAAAAAGAACAAGATTTGGAGACAGGCTTGAGTTTGCTCCATCACTTACTAAATGGCTTTAGGCTCTGAAAACGGACTTCTATGATGAATATTACTGTTATCTATATAAAATATTTAGTCAGTATCTAGTACATAATACCAATTAATGGTATTATAAAAAATAAGCTATTGGCAAACAAGTTGGAATCTGAGTATTTGAGATATACCTGCTGGCCAACTGCTACCCACCTGACTCCGGAA
This sequence comes from Homo sapiens, assembly GCF_000001405.40. NCBI lineage: Eukaryota > Metazoa > Chordata > Mammalia > Primates > Hominidae > Homo > Homo sapiens. The sequence continues at coordinate 4,847,024 of NT_187660.1, read as the reverse complement.
TGTAATTTGTTCAATATTTTTGGCAAGTAAACAAAAACTAATTATTCTATAACACATTCCTAATCCCTTGGCTGCTGCTGTGTTCCATGCAAATAATTACTGGTACAACAGAAGCTCAATTATTTAACACCATTTATATTATGAAATCAACTATAGTAAACAATTACGAAAGAAGTAAAATAGTTATGAACAAAGGCTCCATATACATTTATGTTTGAATCACGCCCAGGACACATTCAACAAACATGAACCCTCTCAATTCATCTGAGTTATTAATAAAGAATTCACAAAGTTTCCCAGAGACATTCACATTTTTTCAATTATGAAAACGGAAAAAATACAACCACCTTAGAAACTTTTGGGTGCATTTAGCTAAAGAAAATTTTGGAAGCCAATATTATACATCTAAAGTGACATAAGTAGCTTTATTCTAGGGCTGCAGTCTAGTCACTTTAAAAATGTGTCCGGCCAGGCACCGTGACTCACGTCTGTAATCCCAGTATTTTGGGAGGCTGAGGTGGGCGGATTGCTTGAGGCCAGGAGTTCAAACCAGCCTGGCCAACATGGTGAAATCCCATCTCTACTAAAAATACAAAAATTAGCTGGGTGTGGTGGTGCATGCCTGTAATCCCAACTACTCAGGAGGCTGAGGCACAAGAATCACTTGAACATCGGAGGTGGATGTTGTAGTGAGCCAAGATCATGCCACTGTACTCCAGCCTGGGAGACAGAGCGAGACTCCGTCTCAAAAAATAAAAATAAAAAATGTGTCAATGGTCGCAGGAGGCACAGTCAGAATATATGGAACAATGCAAATTTATCACATCTGTAAGAAAATTATGGCCAGGCATGGTGGCTCACACCTGTAATCCCAGCACTTTGGAAGACCAAGGCAGGTTGATCAGCTAATGTCGGGAGTTCAAGACCAGCCTGGCCAACGTGGTGAAACCCCGTCTCTACTAAAAATGCAAAAGAAAATTAGCCAGGTGTGGTGGTGGCCACCTATAATCCCAGCTACCTGGGAGGCTGAGGCAGGAAAATCGCTTGAACCTGAGAGGTGGTGGCTGCAGTGAGCCGAGATTGTGCCATTGCACTCTAGCCTGGGCAACAAGAGCAAAACTCTGTCTCAAAAAAAAAAAAAAGAGACAATTATGAATAGATACTCTATGGACTACAGACTAATGTTGCCTTTATATATTTTTAAAAGCATCATATTTGTTATAATCTAAACTTAGAAATCAATCTATTTTCAATTTTGCAAATGGAATTTGTTGAATTGTGGCTGAGAAAGTAGGGTCAAAGAAAAGTGGTGTAAAAATAATACGATTACTATTGTTGAACTTTTAAATTTTTTTATAAAAAAATTCATTGATTAGGCAAGCTCAAACTAAAAATAGCACAAGACTGTTTAACCTCTGTTTTGGGAGCTTGGAGGAGGAGAAGAAGGAATCAGTATGTTCATTCCTTGGGGAAAATGTAATGCTAATAAGCAAAGGCAGGTAGAACTACAACTCCCATTTGCCATTTGGAAAAAGTCCTCCAAACTGCAAAGGATATATTCAAAAAAAAAAACAACTGAACTATGTTACTTAAAAAAGTTTAAGTCTCCAACCTGTGAACACTGCAAAAGCTACAGACATAAGCTTCAGAGTTACTATCATCACATTTCAATGAGCCCTAGAGAACCTGTGAAGAAGTGTTTTTTTCTGGAAAACCTCAAGTTGCTATTCTGTTCAACTTCTCAATAAAACAAATAAGAACCCTTTTGGACAACAGAAAAAAGAGACAGGCTTTGGGAAGGAACTCATATAACTCAGATAATGAATCAAAAATGAAACTTAACATTGTCTGAAACCAACAAAATAAAAAATCTAAAATAATCAGAGATCACTCACATTTTGACTAAATGTAAGATAAATGAGATGGAGGACCCTGGGCTTAGAGTTTCATTTCATTTTTGGTTGATCGTAAGGTTAATATGAGCCAACTTGAATTCTGTATATGCTAAAAGAGCCAATTGAATCTAAGACCCAGACTAATCTCCGGATTAGCATGATCATACTCTATTACTCTCTGAAGGCTCTGGTTGGCCACATTAGAACTTGTAGTTAATATGGAAGAAAATGGCTGGGCTGGTAAGGGATCTGGAAGCCATGGCACAAGGAACAGCGTCAACAAAGTTCTAAAGCTTTTACAAAAGGTACTTGAGTCTAAAACTTTAAAAATACCCTCATTTTCAAACCATAACCTGCAATAGTAACGCTCCCACTTGGGAATCAGACATGATCAAACATCTGGCAACCTCAATTCAACAAATGACAGCAATAAAGCCACAGCTATAGACCCAGATGTAACTATAGCAGGATTCAGGATGTCTAATCACATAAAACCTAAGCATCAATGCTATCACCAGAAGCCCAAACTACTACTCTGGGTTATCACAACTTTCAATAGATGTTGTCATAACACACACACACACACACACACACACACACACACTATATTGAAACAGTGTCTATTTTAAAAGGCAGGGGGTTTTATAAAAATTCATAGGTTGGATAAAACAGAATAAAGTTCTAGTTCCTAAGGGTGGTATTATTAATATGAAATTGCACTGTGCCCAGAATAGGCACTCATTTTAATCTTTACAATCCATTTATATAAATTCTATTTGCTACCTGATACCGGTGTAGAACTGCTATTGAAGAGATTACTTGGCAACAGCTCAAAGTTAAAATTGTGCTTGATGGACTTCCTTTTCTTACTTGAGAAACCATGAGAAGAATCTACTGGCAATGTACGCTTAGCATTTGGTGTAAGAATCACTGGTGATTCAGATAGCTGGGCTGAAAAAATATCAAAACAAAACCAACTTGTTTCTACTGCAGAGTTGACAACATATAAAAGCTTTACATAATTTCTTCTTATAAAGCTATTACTTAGAGCTAAACAAAAAATGAGAATATATTTACATCATCAGTTAAGTAGATGTTGTTTAACTAAAACACTCTGCAATTACTTAAATGAAAATAAGGAAGTCGCAGAGGCAAGACTCTTAAGAGACAGCAGTTACTTAAATCTAACAGACTAAAAGATGCATATGATATACATTAAAGAATATTAATGTAAGGAAGAAATTACAATCAAGGAGTTGAAACAAAAACTAATCTAAATATTATTTTTGCTTTTCATCATAAGTGAGTATTAACCAGTTCATTTCTTCACTCTAGAAAACAGAAGATCATGTTGACTCTTACTGGCTGAATAATTTCAGCCACAAGCAAATTAGAATAAAAAATTGAAATATACAATAATGAACTTCTAGTCCTAAGATAAAAATGAGGTTGAACTATTTTCACACGCTTAATAGCATCTAAATTACAAACAGAAAAGCATGATTAAGAAGATTAAAGACAGGAGACTAAAAAAATTTTTGCCTACAATTTTGGGTTCATTATAGCCTATGTAATTAGCAATGTCACAACATAGTGTGTATAGTACAGTATGACTATTAAAAATAATATTTGATTTGATTAAACTAAATTTGATTACTAAGTTAGGTAATTATTATTGTAATTGTATTTTATAGAATACTATACAAATTTTAATTTAAATAAATGCATATAATAAATACCTACCAATTCTTTCTTCTTGAGGTGTAATAGAAGGTGTTCTGTTAGGTTTAAATTTATTTAGTGCTCCACTAACAAAATCTGAAATGCAAGGCATAAGCAATTACAACTTCACATTTACTTGTCTTTCACCAATAATTCATATTAATATTTGCAGTCTTCTTTCAACATGTAACTTTACATCGGCTTATAAATTTTAAGTTATTTAAGAGGAATTATTTCAAAATAGGAAAAATACTAAAGGATATATTTTTATTCCATTCCCCACTTATACTTCCATATCCCTAAAATAAAAAAGACACAATACAGAAAGAAATGTAATACAAATACATATAATGTACAGTAAGGGTAGGGAAAAAGAAATCATTACATGTTAAGGCAAAAGATGAAGGTCTGAACTGAGGCAAGAACCATGGAAATGGAGGCACGAATAAAAGTATTTAAAAGATCAGTAGAGATGGAAGTAAAAACATTATATCAATAAATAGTGTAAGCAAATGAATAAAAGTGTCTGGAAAATAAATAACATAGTTTGACTAAAGTTGCTCAAAGACAGGAAATAGTAGACAGGTATGCTAGAGCAATCCTATGAAAGACCTTTAATGCCAAGCTATAAATATCCCTATTACCAATTAAAATTTCTGAAGGGTATGTGTGTGAGATACTTGAGTAGAGTTATACATTTAAAATGTAAGCCTTGGCCAGGTGCAGTGGCTCACACCTGTAATCCTAGCATTTTGGGAGGCCAAGGCAAGCAGATTACTTGATGTCAGGAGTTAGAGACCAGCCTGGCCAACACAGTGAAACCCCCTTTCTACTAAATATACAAAAATTAGCCAGGCGTGGTAGCGTGCACCTGTAATCCCAGCTACTTGGGAGACTGAGGCAAGAGAATCGCTTGAACCCAGGAGGTGGAGATTGCAGTGAACCAAGGTAGCATCACTGCACCCCAGCCTGGGTGACAAAGACAGACTCCATCTCAAAAAAAAAAAAAAAAAGTGAGCCTTAATAGCAATATGTAGGGTAGATTCAAGGAGGAGGCATAAAGACCAAGAAGATTCTTTTTTTAATTTTTATTTTTGAGACGGAGTCTCGCTATGTTGCCCAGGCTGGAGTGCAGTGGCCCGATCTCAGCCAACTACAACCTCCGCCTCCCAGGTTCACACCATTCTCCTGCCTCAGCCTCCCAAGTAGCTGGGACTACAGGCGCCCGCCACCACGCCCAGCTAATTTTTTATATTCTTAGTAGAGACGGGGTTTCACTGTGTTAGCTAGGATGGTCTCGATCTCCTGACCTCATGATCCGCCCACCTTGGCCTCCCAAAGTGCTGGAATTACAGGCGTAAGCCATCGCGCCCGGCCAAGAAGATTCTTACAGTAACAATGCAATAAACACTACGGAGATAGAATCTTATATGACATGAAAACTGTCTGATTATAGATGGTAGAGGAAGAGGTAGAACCCATGGTTAAAGCCTGAGTATCTAGGGAATAGTGGTGCTGTTAGAAGAAAATGGAATTCACACAGAACCAGGATAAAGAGGATAAAGATGGTCATTTCAAAACGTTAAGCTTAAAGCACCAATGAAAAGCAGATGTGATGAGGTCTCCCTAGCAAGCCATTAGTAAAGTGGAACTGACATTTTCAAGATAACGGTGGTACAGATGTGGTGGTTATCTATTTAGATGTGATAACTGAAACTACAGGACTGGTGATAACTGAAACTACAGGACTGGGAAAGAGGGCAATAAAGATGATCTGCATCTGAGAAATATCTCCATTGGGGATAGGAAGTTTTATGGGTTGCATTGTGTTCTCCAAAAAACCTATGTTTAAGTCCTAACCCCCAGTTCCTATGAAGGTGACCATACTTGGAATTCGTGTCTTTACAGATGTACTCGAGTTAAAATGAGGTCATTTGGGTGGGCCCTAATCCAATGTGCCCTGTAAGAGGGAAGTTCTGACACAGAGCAACATCATAGGATGACATAGGCAGGGATTGGAGTGACGCGGCTGCAAGCCAAGGAATGCTAAGGACTGACAGCCACTACCAGGAGCCAGGAAGAGGCAAGAAAGGATTCTCCCCTGCAGGTTTCAGGCATTCTGCCAACACCTTGATTTCAGACTTCTAGCCTCCAGAACGGTGAGACAAATTTCTGTTGATTTAAGCCACCTAGTTTGTAGTACTTTGCTACAGTAGCCCTAGGAAAATCATACATAAGTCATCAGTATTATCCTATCTACAAAGGAGGTAAAGAAGAAACACAAGTATGCAATAACAAATAAACCAAAAGATGAAAAAGGGATTGGGATAGTTAGTAACATTTGGTTCTGATATTCAAAAGATAATAAATTTCCTAAAGTAATTGGAAGAATAATGGCCTCTGACTTCTTGATCAAGGAGATTGCAAGTTTTATTACCAACTCTACCATCTTATGATGGTCTTTTGGTCTTTCTGATTCTTCCTTGATAATATTTCCTTCATTATTTAGTTCGTACTCCTAACTAATCCATGTCACTAACAAGTTCAAACAATAATCTGATGCCTGGACTACTGACACACATTGCTGACCATTCTCCCTACTTCCAAGTCTCAATTCTTCAAATCAGGTAATTTTCTAAAATTTTTAAATCATATCATGCCTCACATCATAAATCTTCAATGATTCACCAACACCCAGGTTAATATTCTAATTCTTTAGCCTGGCATTAAGTTTACCATAATACCATCCTTTATCCTTATGCTGAACACTTCACTCAAGTCATACTGCACTATCTACATTAGACATAGGTTACTTCTTCCCTACACAAACCTTTCTTCATAGCATCCTTCTCATCTAGAATAGGATACAAGTATTCTGATCCTCCACCCAATCCCACTAAATTCTATCCATTATTCAAGAAGGTTCAGTTTGGCTCCTCTTTGACAAGTCCCTGATAATTACAATCCAGGGAACTTTTCTCCTTTTAACACATTTTATGTTTGTGCTAAAGATGTAGCACTTAACATTAGATTGTACTATCGCTTTAACTTTTTACACGCATACGTCCTATCTTTCCAGCTGTGCTTTAAGCACCAAAAAGGCACATACCACAGTTCATGCTTCTTTATGTGAAATGTACTTTCGATTAAAGCAAATCACTGTACCTCCATAAAATGGGACCGCCACTTACCTCCTACACTTTGTCTTCTCTTTCTCTTATATTCACCAGGAGTTTCATATTCACCTTCTTCAAAGCCTTCCAGTGATGGAGTAGCACAGAGACCATCAATACCCAACATGGCTGGTATCTTTTCCAGGATAAAATCTGGTACACGCCCTAAATGAAAATGTTCACAAGTAAGACAATTATTATCCTTCCTCCACTCTTCCCCAAAAATGTTTAGATACTAATATACCAATTTCTTTTCTTTTTTTCTTTGCAGGAGGGGCCGGTACTGTAGGGTGGGGGTGAGGTCAGTAATATACCAACTTTCTAACAGTTGCCTTCATAGTTCCTTTGAAAGAAACAGAGATTTTCCTCATTTAAACAAATTCTGTTAATAATGCAACTACATCTTACCAATATCTGATGCATAATCGATAAGAGTCTGTACTACTGCAGCCTGTAATCGTAGCTTCTTTTCTGTGTTAGAAGACATCTTTTCATGTCCTTCACTTGTCTGAAGAAGATTCGGTGCAAATATTACTGCAAGATTGCTGCTGTCCATCTTATTCTCACTGGATCTTAAGTGAATAAACGCTTTATTAGATGGAGCCAAACGTGAAAATACAGAAGAGTTAAAATAACGTATGTAGTACATTTTGAAGACCTTATTATCAGTCATACACAAGTCAAAATAGTTACCCTTCATCTACATGATTGGCTTGAACACAAGAAAGAACCAGAAATATATAGCCTCTCTATATTTAAATATGTATTCTAAAAACCATGCTAATCTTAGAGTTCATACTTTGCTTTTCCACACAAATTGAACATCTTTATCTGATTTTCAGACCTACACATAAAAAGTTGGAAGTATCAGAAGGCAGCAAGTATGTCTAGAATAAGCAGGCTCACTGACAGCAGGGAGAGGGAAATTTTGAAAAGCAAAACAGAAATATTTTAAAAACCCAGTAAACAAAGGCTTTCAGTGGACAATGAATCTTATAAACACCAATGAACCATTAAGGCATTCATGATGATGACTTTAAGATAAGGAAATATTAAATCATTTGGTATGCTGTTTCTTAAATTGGAGTATACTCCTCATAGTAATGAAATATGGAATTTTTAAAGAAAAATTTCCATTCCAAATGAAATTGTACATATCTACAAGCATAAAACGTTAGTTGAAAAATTCAACTATTATTTGCCAAGAGTTTTAATTACCACTTACCTAAGAGAAACATTCCTGAGAAAGTTAAAGAAGTATCTTAATACATGAACTGTGTGGTCAGCCAGAAGACAGGAGAGCAACAGTGTAGCTTTATTCTTTTCCTCTGTGCCTAACTGTTGAGCTTTCAAAAGTGCTTCATGCAAATCAGCTGGGAGAATGGGCTCTGGCAGTTCCCTAAAAAACTGCTTAAGAAGTCCCGCAATATCACAAGGAGGTGCAGAAGATAGGCAACCTTCACCATGATCCACTTTATTCTGAAATAAATATAATAATCTTGAGTATTTTGGCAACTTAAGAGTTTATTGCAAATAAAGTATCTTTTGTTATACTCTAATTACACTTTTCTTTAATAAATTTCTCTTAACTCTTATTTTAATATATGTCACTACTTTATTTTTAATGATTTTTGAATTTATTTTTATTTTTATAGAAATGTGGCACAGACTATGTGGCCTGGGCTGGCTTCAAACTCCCAGGCTCAAGCAATCTTCCTGCCTTAGCCTCCCAAGTAGCTGGGACTACAAGCATGTGCCACCACACTCAGCTCTATCACTCCTTCTAGAAGGCTAACAACAATATAACTTAACACATTTTTTTCATTTTACATAATACTTGATAGAAATAAGGACCATGAATTTAAAAGTACCCTATTAAATTTTTAAAGCATGATAGAAATAATATACCATTTCTTTTGGAAAAAAAAAATCTTCTGCCATGAAAAAAATGCAAATTCAATTTCTGTCAACTATTCATATTAATAGTTCTAAATATTTCAGTTTTAAAAACCAAATCAGAAAATGGCTCAAATGAAAAATTAATAGTTCAACAATATGCTCACCTTTAGTGCTTTTAGGCGAATCACAGATCCTGATTTCCGAAAAAGCCCTTCGGTATGAATATGGTCTTCTAAAGATGTGCAAGCATCGACAAGAAAGCTGAAAGAGAGATTTTTTCAGGTGGCTAGACATACATATCACATCCTATTCCTCTGCTAACATACATGAGCAGGCCAAGCACTACGTACCTTTCAGAGGCTCTAAAGCCACAAATCTCTGTAGTCTTTGAGATGAAATGTTACTTTTAGTTGTCTACTGGCTTCCCAAATTCTTCTCCAAGGCCCATCTTTTTACTTCTAACAACTCCAATGTGCACACTAAATTTTATCTTTCTCAATCCTACTTCATTTCTGCTTCCCTTCAGAGCGTAAGACTTGTCTTTTTTTTCTGCCTCTACTTCTTCATATCTCAGTCTCTACTCACCCCTATCCAATCATTCTCATACCTCATTACTCCAAAGAAATAGCTCTCTTCAAGCTCACTAACAGCCTCTGCCTTGCCAAATCCATGGTCAGTGTGTTGTCCTCGTATTGCTCGATCTATCACCATTTGACACACCTGATCCCTTCCCTGTTCATCTCAAAAATACTTTTTCACTACTCTTTTAGTTTTCCTGCTATCTCCCTGCCTGCTCCTTCTCAAATTCCTTTTCTCACTCCTCTTATGTGAAACCTCTACATGCTGGAACAACCCAGGGCTCTGTCCAAGGCCACCTTCTTTTATCTACTATCTCTTCATGGGTGATTTTCTCATCTCCTACATCACCCAAAAACAGGGCGAGGTTTTTTTTTCCTCACCCCAACATTATCCCTCAGAAAAGTAGGATATATCCCAGTCCTTACAAGCCTTTTCATATTAAGGGGAATGTGCTCAATTTCTTTATTTTGAACAATGTTCAAATAAATCTCAATGTTGGCTTTAGATACCTAGATATTGAACAGCTGGGACCCACAAATTAGAATGAATATCGGCTACCAACAATTGATACAGCTGTATTGGTGCACAGTGGCTGAATGTCAGCCTTATTTACAGAAGGTAACTGACAAAACAGTCTTTTTAATTAAATAAAAAGTAGGTCATGAAATTACAATGAAGATATAGTCATGATTCCTGGGAATATGACTTTGCAATTCCAGACGCCGAAAATCTGCTTTTTTTTTTCTTTTAGTTTTTATTTTGAGACAGGGTCTCGCTCTGTCACCCAGGCTGGAGTGGTGCGATCACTGCTCACTGCAACCTTTGCCTCCTGGGCGCAAGTGATCCTCCCACCTCAGCCTCCCGACTAGCTGGGACTATAGGCACACATCACTACGCCCAGCTAATTTTTCTATTTTTTGTAGAGACAAGATTTCACCATGTTGCCCAGGCTTGTCTTGAACTCCTGGGCTCAAGCAATCCACCACCTGGGCCTCCCTAAGTGCTGGCATAACAGGCATGAGCTCCTGTGCCCGGCCTGTTGAAAATCATTATAGGTGTTCATTATAAGAAAATCAAGCCTTTCATAGGTCATTTAAAGAGCAAAATGGTTAAGCGGTTACCTAAGAAGACAGTGAATCTACACCTATAGGATGAATGGGGGGAAACTGTCCTAAGGCAACCAGGTGTTCGATAATTGCTTTTGGATGACATGTCAATTAAAACCTAGATTATTGGTCTATAGTAGCCCAAATGAACCCTACTTTAGATGGAGGGGAAATGAATTAAGGATAAGTTTCACCATATGCATTTTTAGATTACATTCTTTTTTTTTCTTTTTTTTTTTTTTTTTTGAGACGGAGTCTCACTCTGTCGCCCAGGCTGGAGTGCAGTGGTACAATTTTGGCTCACTGCAAGCTCCGCCTCCTGGCATGCCATTCCCCTGCCTCAGCCTCCCGAGTAGCTGGAACTACAGGTGCGTGCTACCACACTCAGCTAATGTTTTGTATTTTTAGTAGAGACGGGGTTTCACTGTGTTAGCCAGGAAGGTCTGGATCTCCTGACCTCGTAATCTGCCCGCCTCGGCCTCCCAAAGTGCTGGGATTACAGGCGTGAGCCCCGGCGCCCGGCTAAATTATATTCTTAAAACATAAACTTTCCTAGTAAGTTCTGATGCAGTTAGAATAGGCCAGCACAGTGGCTCACGCCTGTAATCCTAGCACTTTGGGAGGCTGAAGCGAGTAGATCACCTGATGGTCAGGAGTTTGAGACCAGACTGGACCACATGGTGATACACCCCATCTCTACTAAAATACAAAAATTAGCTAAGTGTGGTGGTGGACACCTGTAATCCCAGCTACTCCGGAGGCTGAGGCAGGAGAATCACTTGAACCCAGGAGGTGAAGGTTGCGGTGAGCCGAGCTCACGCCATTGCACTCCAGCCTGGGCGACAAGAGTGAAACTCTTGTCTCAAAAAAAAAAAAAAAAAAAAAAAGAATAAAAGGTTATTTATAAATAGTAAGTGGCATAGAAAAGCTAAGTGATACATTTTCACAAACACTCTAATATCTTAGCTTAAATATTCTTTTATCCAATATTTGTTTTCAAGAGACATGGTCTCACTCTGTTGCCAATGCTGGAGTGCAGTGGCAATGAGCATAGCTCACTGCAGCCTCAAACTCCTAGGGTCAAACAATCCTCTGCCTCAGCTTCAGAGGTAGCTGGGACTACAGGTGCACACCACCTTGCCCAGCTGATTTTTCTTTAAAATTTTTTTTATACATGGAGTCTTGCTTTGTTGCCCAGACTGGTCTCAAAATCCTGGGCTCAAGCGATCCTCCTGCCTCGGCCCTCAAAATGCTGGGATTATAGGCATGAGCTACTGTGCCTGGCCAATATTTTTTTAACAAACAAAAAAAAGTCAAAATTATTACTGAATTGGTAAGTCAGTATATTACTTAATCTGAGTTGTGGCAAAAGAATTCACATAGAACTGAAAACTGACTTAACAGAACAAAAATTTTTTGTGATTTCTAACATTTACTCATTACTGGACTTTAAAATTCAATCCTGGGAATGAGTACAAATTATAAATTTAAAATATGTAAAAGTTAAAAAAATATTTTTAACATTATGAGAGATTAAATCATTTGCTGGTTTGAAACAATTATGTTTTAATCAACTATTTCTTTTAAACTCTCTAAAACCAGTTTGAAATGCTTACTCTCTTCTTCTTCATTTCCCTGGCTAGAAGGCTCACTGCAGCCTCCACCTCCTGGGCTCAAGCAATCCTCCCACCCCAGGCCCCTGAGTAGCTGGGACTACAAGTGTGCTCCGCCAAGCTAATTTTTCTATCTTTTGCGACAAGTTCTCACCATGTTGCCCAGGCTGGTCTTAAGCTCCTGGACTCAAGTGATTTGCCCACCTCGGCCTCTCAAAATGCTGGGGTTACAGGCATATGCCACTGCACCCGGCCTTCTTCATTTCAAACTCTGCTTACCTTGGAATGTGTCCATATTCTGGTACAGCAGAATGGGGCAGTGCATTAAAAGGTACTCCAAATATTTTACCCTAAAATGACAAATTCAGTTACTCTAACACAAATATTAGGCATAATATCAGTTTTCTTAAACTTTAGGCAAATTAAAGAACTCAGGAAATTAAAAAAAAATCAGAAATAAATGATAAACTATCTATCAAGACAAAAATAATCATTTCAAGTGCATTTGATAACAAATAATTACTATATTAGACAGTATGCTGAGTGCTGGGAGTACAAAGATGGCCAAGATAATGTCATTCCCCTCAAATAATCTAGTAAACTCAAGTTTCCAATCTGATCATAAAGTCAATTTGGTTAGTGGTTAGTCAGTAAATTCTTAAAACAGAATTTGGTCCAAAACACTAACATTTACCCCAAAATACTATAGGTTGCTTTAATGACCTTATAAATACTTACTAGATACTTTCTTTTGGTCACCTTATAAATACTTACACAAAAGACTAAGTCAATTGAAAAGCAAAACACTAATTCCTGTCATTCATTGAGTCTTCCTAAAATTACATCAGAAGAAGTTATTTTTATACCTAATACATTTTCCACCTTCTATAGAAGAGTGCTTTTCAAACCATGCCCTGCAGTAAGCAAGGCAGGAGTGTGCAAATATTTAAGTCAAACTTCATTTAACTAGCTGGAAACCCATTTTTAAAACCTCACATTCAAATTTTAATACACTGAAGATCCCAAGAGTAAAGCTGTGTGTTGGTTAACTTGAATGTTTTTGCACACTGAAGAATAAAGAATCTGCCACTATCTTTGTGCATGCATTCGAACCTCTTAAAAATGTGTCGCTTTCCACAGCACTGAAAGGTAAATTCAAGCCTGTAAATGTCTGGTTATTCAAACTTAAGTGGGTATGCATAATCTCACATGTTAATTTAGTTTACATGCATCTGCTCTGTGAATGCTGAAGTACTTTTTTTGATGTCACAAGTTATCAACCAAGAAGTATTTATGTTTTATGAGCATTATATTTAACTTTATATTTACAATAAAAACCACTCAGCATTGTCAATGACGCAACACAGTAACAAAATTTTACTAATTCCCTTTCAAGCACCTGGCTCCAATTAATTTACAAATATTGTAAGCTGAAAAGACAGTATAGTATAGTAAGTGCTTAAGAGAGTAGGCTCCTGAAGGCAAAAATGACAGGTGTATTTTTTTTGAGAGGGAGTCTCACTTTGTGGCCCAGGCTGGAGTGCAGTGGCGCAATCTCGGCTCACTGCAAGCTCCGCCTCCCGGGTTCACCCATTCTCCTGCCTCAGCTTCCCGAGTAGCTGGGACTACAGGCGCCCGCCACCACACCTGGCTAATTTTTTTGTATTTTTAGTAGAGACGTGGGGCGGGGGGGGGGGGGTTTCACCGTGTTAGCTAGGATGGTCTCGATCTCCTGACCTCGTTATCCACCCGCCTCGGCCTCCCAAAATGCTGGGATTACAGGCGTGAGCCATCGCACACACAAAAATGCCAGGCTTTACATCTTAACTCTTGCTTAACAGCTGAGTGACCTGGATCAAATTAACATTCTGTTCCTCGGTATCCTCACACAGATCCTAAGTCATAGAGGTGTAGGAAGAATTAAATAAATTAAAACATACAAAACACTTGTATCAGTGTCTGACACACAGTAAGCATTCAAAAAATATTTGTTAATATTATGATCATCATTTTAAGCTGAACTATTTTAAAAAATGTTAGTATGGGCAACCCCTTTATTGGGTAAATCAGAATTTTCTTGATACTGTGCAGCCAAACCAAATGTAAAAATAAACCAGATACTTAAGCTGGTAAGTCTACTTCTGCTATATATAACTAGAATTCAGCGTGTTTTTTTCCTTAAGTCTTATTATTTAGAATAACTGGCCTCACAAGTAACCACTATAATTTAATCTCATAAAATGTTTTTAAAACTTAAAACTACAGTTAGCTAACAAACACCAGTCGGCTAAAGAAATTGTTTTCAAACAAACTATCCCATTAGATCTCCTAACACAATGATCTTCTATATTTCTTCATTAGAATATTCTTATAAGTGTTTCTAGCTGAATTTATATGGCATGATTACCAATTAGGAGGCAGACCAATGATATGACAACTATCATTAGATGAAGAAGTGGCATGTTACCCGCACTGTGCTAGGCCTACATAAAGAGCTTCACTTTTTAAAAATCCCTAAATAATCCAAGGAGAAATACGTTCCCACTTTATATATATAAAACTGAAGCTTAGGGAAATCAAACAAGCAGCCCAAGTTTACAGATGTAGTAGGGGTGGAACAGCACTCAAACTCAGGTCTATCTGACTCTGAAAACAGGCAACAGTTTTTCTTGTTAAGCGGTGAAAAGGCCGAGTGCAGTGGCTCACGCCTGCCATCCCACCACTTTGGGAGGCCGAGGCGGGCGGATCACGAGGGCAGGAGATCGAGACCATCCTGGCTAACACGGTGAAATCCCGTCTCTACTAAAAAATACAAAAAATTAGCCAGGTGTGGTGGCGGGCGCCTGTAGTCCCAGCTACTCGGGAAGCTGAGGCAGGAGAATGGCGTGAACCCGGGAGGCAGAGCTTGCAGTGAGCCAAGATCGCGCCACTGCACTCCAGCCTGGGCGACAGAGGGAGACTCCATCTCAAAAAAAAAAAAAAAAAAGGAAAAGAAAAGAAAAGGGGTGAAAAAAAGTCCATATACAAACTCTTCCATATACTTACAAAATCAGCTACATTTGAGATCTTGGAAAGCCAGTTTTACAATCAGAAAAAAATCACTGTAGCTTTTTAAATGTAAGTACATGTATTGCCATTAATTTGCTACCAACAAAAATAACTTCTCCAAAGTTTATCAGCGATTAAGAGGCACACATATTACTTTTGTTAGTGGTTTTCTTCTCCAAGCACTTTTTTTAAGAAACCATAAACTATTAAAAGCAACGTATATTAATTTTATTAGCTTGTCTCCAAGTACTAGGAAGTACCATATAAATTAGGCACATAAATTTAAAATAAAATGCTTTACATTCAGCTTATTTTTCACAATGGAATTCCTGATTATGTGGCAGAGCTATTAAAATCTCATTCAAAATCCCTTTATTTCAACCACCAAAACATCAACAACTTCTCAATTATTCCACTCTGGCTTCTCAATTTACTCATACAAAAAAAAATTTACTGTCCCAAAAGTATGACATGGCCAAGCAGCAAATCTGTTTCCCAAATTAGTGAATATGCAGTCATCATTTGAAGCCTATTTCTAATGTTCTGTCATACTTCTTCATCTACAGATTCATGTAGAAAATGCACTGGTCTCCCTTGTCCCTCTACAACCTTACTCTAAAACAAGGGTGGAGGGGTAGAGTTTTTGTCCCTCCCAACGTACTACCTGTTCCAAATACAGTAAGCTGGCAATATCCGGAGACATTTTTAATTGTCACAACTGAGAGATGCTACCAGCATCTAGTGGGTAAAAGACAGACATCCCGCTAAACATCCCACAATTCACAGAACAGCATTTCGTCTTCCCCTAACAAAAATTATCTAATCCAAAATGTCAATAGTGCTGAAGTTGGAAAATCCTGCAACTTTCTCTCAATGATCAAAAATCCTTGGGGGAAAAAAAACAAGAATGTCACTTTTTAAATATCAGCAATCGACCATCTGAACTGAATTACACACCTAACCATTCTTTTTGATACACAGAGTGAACATTTTAGCACGATCTGGTAGTAAGTGATGATAAAGGGTGTGCCCTTTCTTTTAAACCTAAATCCCTTTTCACAGAACTTACCCCTATTTCCGTGGCTGCTGTTTCATGTCTCCTGCGATCGCACTGCCCACGGACACCCTTCACCTTAATACCATAGAAGGCCCGCAGATGCTGCAACAGGGCCAACCTCACCAGCCTCTGATCCCACATTCCGGATACGTCGATAACTCTCTGAGGCAGGATGCAGGTCCTGACCCTCGTTCGCCACCAAGTCTTCCAATTTCCAAACGCTCTCAAATTTGAACTCCGCTCGGCTGCTTTCCGGCCCCGTCTGGCACTTCTGCGGCCCCGACCCCCGGCCACTTCCACGGCTTTTCCTTGATCCTCACTCAC
The DNA here is from genome assembly GCF_000001405.40 of Homo sapiens. Taxonomy (NCBI): domain Eukaryota; kingdom Metazoa; phylum Chordata; class Mammalia; order Primates; family Hominidae; genus Homo; species Homo sapiens. The sequence goes on along the minus strand of NT_187660.1, from coordinate 4,830,608 downwards.
ATCCACTTACACAGACCCGCTTCTCTTAGCCCTTTGATCCAGCCACACCTCACTCTTCCTTCACTTACACCGACCTTCTTTCTGGTCACCCAATGCTTTCAGCTACTCACATAGACTTCTTTCTGATTCTTTCGGTTTCTCGTCTATTGCCAGATTCTCTCCACTTCTTGCTACTTCCAACGATCCCCCTTCCTCCAAACCTTACTGTCCCCGTCTGGTTCGCTCTGAAATGTGAAGAAAACCCTTCTCGCTCCTCCAGCCCCAGCAGGCTCAACTGGGCGCTCGCCCCCGCCCTAGCCTGGCCGCCGGACCAGCCGGCTGCTCAGGCAACTCTTCCAGTCCCGGTGCCCGCCCGGGCTGGTAGCCGCCGTCACCCCGTCTCACAGGCTGCTCGTTCCCTCCCCCATCAGCCTGCCTCTACCTCCCGGCCTGCACATCCCGGTGCGTTCACTGAAGCCAAGCCGTTAGCCTCATGCTTCCGCCCCCAGCTCCTCCGCAGACACCCAGAGCCACCACGGGGGGGTCACACCCGCAGTTTCAGCCCAGGCTCAAATGGCAGCGCCAAACAGCGCTCCACATCTGATTGGTCCACTCCTCTTTTCAAAATCAGGACCCCGGAGGGTGGCCGAGAGCTGCCTGTCTAGATAAGTGCGGGCGAAGGGGTGTAACGGGCAAACCCAGCAAACATGAAAAGCAGGATGAGTTTCACTTGTTCCTTCAAGGCCAGTTTTTGGGGCGGGGGAATACTGTTTAAAGGTTTTTAAATACACCTGACCTGCGCCTCAGACCATTCACAGTATTTGAGGAAATATAAAAGACAACTTATTCCCGTTCTTTTCCGAGCTTGGCTGTCGCTGAAGGCCCTCTTATGAAGAAACCGTTCTTACGGAAGCCCAGATGAGACAACTTGAGACAGGATTCAGAAACGCTGATTTTAGTAACCTTAACCCTCGGCCCTTGGTGGGAACTTCGGCTCTGTGGGAATTAGTCTTTGGGGGACTGATGGTGATGCTGAAATCTTATTGCGTAGGAAATTAAGTACAACAAAGAAGACCCGTCGTGAGAGGAGAGTGCGGAAGAAATGCGAAGTCTACGGGAGGTGGCAGCTGCAGAAGCTTGGTGTTGGATTTGGCGTTAGGAGACCGGGAGGAGCCCAGCTTCCGGTCCAGACGGTTATCTTGTTGACTTGCACGACTGCAAACGCCCTGAGCTGCTTTTGCAGTCTGAAACATCAGCGATCCCATCAAAATATTCTGTTTCTTGGGATATAAGAAACATCCCAAGGCGGGCTGTAGAGCGAGAGATTTGGACTCGATTTAAATACAGACAAAATAGTATGCATTTACTAACACCACATCTCACCCCCACGAAACTTGGTAAGGGCAGCAACAGAACTTTATCTGCCATATGCACTCCTGTATTCCTATTACCAAATAGTGCCAGGGACTAAGTGAATATTTGTCCAATGAATGAGTTTTAAGTAGGAAACGTTTGCATAGAATCATTTTGTTTCTTTTGGAGTTCAAATCTTCGGATATTTTACCCTTCCCAATCCAAAGAAAAGTCTCTGAGTGAAGAGATGGGAACAAAATGTAAGTTAAATATGTTGCTTTAACAACTGTTTATTGAACTCGTGCTATAGACTATAGAATGATGAGCAAAACCAGGCACAGTTTCGGCCCTGGAAGAGGAAAGGCAGGCATATATTTATCAAGTAAGTACATTAATGGCGGCACTTATCAGTTGAGAGAAGTGCGCTAAGGAAAGGAATATGATTCTATGATAGCGTATAATAAAAGATCCTTGACCGGGGAGGGGAAACGTACCAGTGATTAACTGATCTGAAGAATCAGTATAAATTGACTTTGTAGAAAGTATAGGTGGATGGCTGAGTGGGACCATCATTCAGGAAGCAAATGCCTGCAGAAAAAAACATCAATTTTAACAAGAAACGGTGTATCAGAGATGAAACTGAACCTATTCCTTGTCTTTTCTTCTTGCTTCAGACATAACTTTAAAAAATTGCTTACGCTGTCTTTAGCCACATCTCTTCCCCAAACTCCACACTGTTCGGCGTTTTAGCCGTCTCAAATTTCCTTTTCTTAAAGACCCATGACAATCTTCAGTGTTGTGTCTTTTTCTACGTCGTGATCCTTTTTTAAAGCTGAGCTCTTCTTGTTTTTCGTCTCCTTTCTCTTTTTTTTTTTTTTTTTTTGTGATGGAGTCTCGCTCTGTCGCCCAGGCTGGAGTGCAGTTGCACAATTTCGGCTCACTGCAAACTCCACCTCCCACGTTCAAGCAATTCTCTGCCTCAGCCTCCCAAGCAGCTGGGATTACAGGCGTCTGCCAGCAGGCCCGGCTAATTTTTGTATGTTTAGTAGAGACGGTGTTTCACCATTTTGGCCAGGCTGGTCCTGAACTCCTGACCTCGTGATCCACCCGCCTCAGCCTCCCAAAGTGCTGGGATTACAGGTGTGAGCCACCACATCCGGCCCTTCCTTTCTCTTAAGATGAAAATATTGGTTCTTTTTTCCTACACACAAGGAGGCAATGAAAATATTGGTTCTTTTCATTGCCTTATTATTAATGTTACTATTAATAAATATTAATATTAACATAATGGTTATTTGCTTCATCTACCTATATTCACAGGTATATAAACACAACAATAGCAATAACAGGATAAAGAATAAAAACAGAATAACAATAGAGATATTGCTAACAGATAAATGAAGTTTAACTTTGCATGTACTTCCTTTTTTCTAAAATTGTATCCAACTAAGGATGTAAAATCAAGATACTGTGTTTTAAATGAACTGGGCATAATTATTCTTTTTGGTTATATATGGATGTACTGTAGTTTATTTAGCCAGGCCCTTACTAGTGGATATGTTGGCTATTCCCAGTCTTTTGCTATACAAAAGTTTCCTTGTGCATATATAATATGCTTTTGCCAGTGGGTCTTTAGCATAGATTTCTATAAATGGGATTGTTAGGTCAAAGGGTAAAAGAACATGTTATTTTGTTTAATTCTGCCAAATTCCCCTTCATAGGGGTTGTGCAGTTTTGTATTCACACCAGCAGCATTTCCTGTTTCTCTGCAGCCTCTCCAATAGAATGAATTGTCAAACTCCTAGATGTTTGCTAAATCGATATGTGGGAAATGTTATCAAAGTGTAGTTTTTTTTTTTTTTTTTTTGAGACGGAGTCTCACTCTGTTGCCCAGGCTGGAGTTCAGTGGCTCTATCTTGGCTCACTGCAACTTCTGCCTCCCAGGTTCAAGCGATTCTCCTGCCTCAACCTCCTGAGTAGCTGGGACCACAGGCAATCACCACCACGCCTGGCTAATTTTTGTAATTTTAGTAGAGACAGGGTTTCGCCATGTTGGCCAGGCTGGTCTCGAACTTCTGACCTCAACCTATCCACTCACCTCGGCCTCGCAAAGTGCTGAGTTTACAGGCATGAGCGACTGCGCCCAGCCTCCAGTATAGTTTTGTATTTATCTTTTTGTCAATGAAGTGGAACATTTTTTCAAATGATGCATGCTTACGACAAAGTATTATGAAGCTGTTAAGGAATGTGGAAGATATATGACTATGATGTGAAGTGAAGTGAAAAAGCAAGGCATAAAAGAGTGTATATAGTATGCTGCCTTTGGTATACGGGGTGGTAGAGATACATATACAAATGGATACTTACTTATATTTTCAAAAATAAACAATAGAAAGGTAAACCAAAATCTAATAAAAATGGTAAACAATAGGAGAAGATCAAGAACAGGTGAAGTAGAAAATAGGAATGGAAGCTAGACCTCTCTGAATATATCTTGTTTTATATATAAACTTGGAACCCTGTAAATGTGTAACATGTTTAAAATACAAAATAAGGTGGTGGCTCACGCCTGTAATCCCAGCACATTGGGAGGCCGAGGTGAACGGATCACCTGAGGTCAGGAGTTCGAGACCAGCCTGGCCAACGTGGTGAAACCCCGTCTCTACTAAAAATACAAAGATTAGCCATGCGTGGTGATGCATGCCTGTAATCCCAGCTACTCGGGAGGCTGAGACAGGAGAATCGCTTGAACCTGGGAGGCGGAGGTTGCAGTGAGCCAAGATCCGGCCACTGCACTTCAGCCTGGGTGACACAGTGAGACTCCATCTAAACAAAATAATAATAAATAAAATAAAATAAAATAAAATGTAAAAGCAACTCCTAAAATGGAAAACAAAGTGCAATAAATCAATCTTTTCACCTGTTTAAGGGCTATTTGTACTTCTTTTTATTTAAATTGTCCATCTTTTACTTTCAGGATGGTCTTTAAAAATATTTTAGAAGCTTTTTATATATTAGTCCCTCATGATATAAGCTACATATATTTTTTAGACTTTTTGCCTTGCTTTTTTGTTTGTTTAAATTATAGTTAATCTCTTCCCTTAATGCTTCTGGATTCTGATCATAGATAGGAGTATTTTCCCCACTTCTGAGTTATAAAGGTATTCACTCTTGTGAATTCTAGTACTTAATTTTCTAGTACTGCTATGTTTTCATTTGTTAATGTTAGATCTCTGAGGCTGGAGTGCAGTGATGCGACCTCTGCTCACTGCAACCTTCACCTCCCGGGTTCAGATGATTCTCCTGTCTCAGCCTCCTGAGTAGCTGAGACTACAGGTGCATGCCACCACACCTGGCTAATTTTTGTGTTTTTAGTAGAGACGAGGTTTCGCCATATTGGCCAGGCTGGTCTTGAACTCCTTACCTTAGGTGATCTGTCTGCCTCTGCCTCCCAAAGTGCTGGAATTACAGGCGTGAGGCACCGCGCCCGGTCCTTAAATTTGGAATTTATCCAGTGTAGAAAGAATGGATCCAATTTTATGTGTTACCCCACACAGCTATCCAGCTGTAGATATTGTAATTTTATTTCATTTAGTGAACTCCCACACCTACTTCTAAAAGTAGGAAAACACTACTGAAAACCTCACTGAGTTCCCTGACGATGAAAAGGGAAATCTTTCGTTAAGCATTAGGCTTTGCTTTTAGTGCCACTAGATGGCACACATCCTTTTCCTTAGATGTTAGTTCACCTAGCCCTCATTTCTGTGAAATCAGTCCATAAAGTGTCTGCCAAAGGGCCTTCCTGAACCTTTTACCTGCATCCCTGCTTGAAATAAGATGATTTGTGCAACTTTCAAATTAGGTCCGAGTTTTTTTCTGTAAAACCAAAATGATTGTTCCTAGAATCACTGCTTCTAGGGCCTGGCACATTCCACAGACACATTGTTCCATTTATTTATTTATTTATTTATTTATTTGAGACGGAGTCTCGCTCTGTCCCCCAGGCTGGAGTGCAGTGGTGTGATCTCGGCTCACTGCAAGCTCTGCCTTCCGGGTTCACACCATTCTCCTGCCTCAGCCTCCCCAGCAGCTGGGACTATAGGCGCATGCCGCCACGCCCGGCTAATTTTTGTATTTTTAGTAGAGACGGGGTTTCACCGTGTTAGCCAGGATGGTCTCGATCTCCTGACCTCGTGATACGCCCGCCTCAGCCTCCCAAAGTGTTGGGATTACAGGCGTGAGCCACCGCACCCGGCCACATTGTTCCATTTATTAATAAAACAGAAATGTCTATCATATTCTGTCCTAAATGTGGACTAAGATGGAAAATAGTACAGTGATTTCCTGAGGTCACTGGGCTATCACCAGAATAGTAGACACTGTGGTGCTTCACCTAGATCCCCCTCCAGGCTGAGGTGCTCACTCGCCCCACTTGCAGAAGTGTTGGTTCCTCATGGCTCACAACAAAGTCCCCCTCTGAGAGCTGCTCCATGAAAAGGACCTGCCTCACCCCAAGTGATGCCTTCCTCTGGGCAGTCTACATTCCATGCCTGGTTAATATGGGGTTTCATAGGCCTGGTCCCCATATCTCAAGACAACGGAAGGACCTCCCAGCTCTAGAGCTTCCTGAAGGAGCAGCTGAGATGGTGGCAACTGTTTCACAGGCTGCCCAATCCTGTTTCTTTTACTCCTTTACTTGTGTTGTTCCAAGAGCCTTCCCAAGTAAGCCTCCTGTGGGGAAATCTCCATCTCAGTACCTGTTTTTCAGGCAACCCAACTTAAGATACAGGGCCAGTGGTTTTCCCTAAACAGTGCTCTAAACTAGAGCCTTGCTATTCAAATACGGCATAGGTATCGCCTGGAAACTATAGCCATGTGTCTCTTAATGACAGAGATACCTTCTGAGAAATGCATTGTTAGGCAATTTTGTCATTGTGCAAACATCATAGAGTGTACTTACATCAGCCTAGATGGTGTAGCCAACTACACACACACCTAGTTATGTGATATAATCTATTGCTCCTAGGCTACAAACCTGTACAGCAGATTACTGTACTGAATACTGTAGGCAATTGTAACACAATACCAAGTATTTATGTATCTTAACAGATTTAAAATTTATGATATAACATTTAAATTTTTTTCTTTTTTTTTTTTCTTTTTTGAGATGGAGTCTTGCACTGTCACCAGGCTGGATTGCAGTGGCACAATCTCAGCTTACTGCAACCTCTGTCTCCCGGGTTCAAGCGATTCTCCGACCTCAGCCTCCCGAGTAGCTAGGACTATAGGCGTGCACCACCACGCCCAGCTAATTTTTGTATTTTTAGTAGAGATGGCGTTTCGCCATGTTGGCCAGGGTGGTCTTGATCTCTTGACCTTGTGATCCGCCCACCTCGGCCTCCCAAAGTGCTGGAATTACAGGTGTGAGCCACTGCGACCGGCCACAGATTTAAAATTTTACCTGCGTAGGGTACTTATGAGTGGAGCTTGCAGGACTGGAAGTTGCTCTGGGTGAGTCAGTGAGTGGTGAGTGAATGTGAAGGCCTAGGACCTTACTGTACATTGTTATAGACTTTATAAACAGCATATACTTAGGCTACACTAAATTTATTAAAATTTTTTCCTTCAGTAATAAATTAAGGTTAGCTTACTATAACTTTTTAATTTCATCAGCTTTTAAATTTTCTTAACTTTTGACTCCTTTGTAGTAATAGCTCAAAACACAAACACATTGTACAGCTGTACAAAAATATTTTCTTTCCATATTCGGTAGGATTTTTTTCTATTTTTTTTACATTTTAAACTTTTTTGTTAAAAACCAAGACATGGCTGGGCGTGGTGGCTCACACCTATAATCCCAGCACATTGGGAGGCCGAGGCAGGTGGATTGCTGGAGTCCAGGTGTTTAAGACCAGCCTGGACAACATGACGAAACCCCGCCTTTACAAAAAAATATGAAAAATAGCCAGGCATAGTGGCACACACCTATAGTCTCAGCTACTTGGGAGGCTGAGGTGGAAGGATTGCTTGAACCTGGGGAGCAGAGGTTGCAATGAGCTGAGATCGCACCACTGCACTCCAGCCTGGGCGATAGAGCGAGACCCTGTCTCAAAACCAAACAAAACCAAACAAAACCAAAATGAAGATACAAACTCACACATTAGCCTAGGCCTGAGCAGGGTCAGGATCATCTATATCCACTGGTCCCATAAGATTATAATGGAGTTGGGGCCCGGCGCAGTGGCTCATGCCTGTAATGCCAGCACTTTGGGAGGCCAAGGCAGGCGGCTCACGAAGTCAGGAGATTGAGACCATCCTGGCTAACACGGTGAAACCCCGTCTCTACTAAAAAATACAAAAAAATTAGCCAGGCGTGGTGGTGGGCGCCTGTAGTCCCAACTACTCAGGAAGCTGAGGCAGGAGAATGGCGTGAACCCGGGAGGTGGAGCTTGCAGTGAGCCCAGATCGTGCCACTGCACTCCAACCTGGGCGACAGAGCAAGACTCAGTTTCAAAAAAAAAAAAAAAAAGATTATAATGGAGTTGGAATGTTCCTATTGCCTAGTGATGTTGTTGACGTAGTAGCATCACTGTAGCACAGTTCATTACTCACATCACATATTTGTGGTGGTCTGTGGGGAGCTATTCCAGAAAAAAGCCTTGTTATCATAGGAGATGATAGCTCCTTCTGTGTTATTGCACCTGAAGACCTTCCAGTAGGACAGAATGTGGAGGTGGAAGACAGTGATAGATATATATGTAGTCCATTGTTGACCGAAACATTGCTATGTGGTGCATGAAAGGAAGTAAATCAGGGCCGGGCGCAGTGGCTCACGCCTGTAATCCCCGCACTTTGGGAAGCCGAGGCGGGTGGATCACGAGGTCAGGAGATCAAGACCATCCTGGCTAACACAGTGAAACCTCGTCTCTACTAAAAAATACAAAAAATTAGCGGGGCGTGGTGGCGGGCGCCTGTAGTCCCAGCTACTCGGGAGGCTGAGGCAGGAGAATGGCGTGAACCCGGGAGGCGGAGCTTGCGTGAGCGGAGATCGCGCCACTGCACTCCAGCCTGGGCGACAGAGCAAGACTCCGTCTAAAAAAAAAAAAGAAGTAACTCAGGCCCCACCCTAGACCTACTGAATCAGAATCTGCATTTTTATGATTCTCAATGATTCTCTTATGATTCTCATTTTATTTTTATTCCATGACTTTTAAAAAAAAAATCCCGTAACTTCTTTTTCATAACTTCTTTTGTAACTTTTCATAATACTGTTTTCTACTTTTTTCCCACAAGTTTTTTTGCCACAACGTTTTTACATTTTTTATCCCATAACTTTTTCACCCCATAACTTCTTTTAATCCCATAACTTTTTAAATCTTGTGTTAAGAAACACTTGCATAGTTATATTACACCTTTGTAAAAATGAAACACATTATCTCATGCCAAGCATGCCCAGCATTTGCACAGTATCAATACCTTTAATACTATAGTTTTCAAGAAACGCAAAATAAAATTTTAAGGCAAAAACAACACATTGAAACAATTTAATAATTTATTACATTACAGTGGCATCACACCAGCAGTCAATAAGGCCACTCTAGGGAAAAATCTTTCAGTATTTCCATGACACATTCTGTTTACAATAATTCATAAACTGGTAAAATTCATTCTAAGAAAACTTGGCAAATAAAACTTTGGACTGGAATTGGCATTTCTTTCTCTGCTTTTCGTTCCCACCATTTCTTTCTTTTATACTACAGTATTCATATTTTAAAATGTTTTAAATTATTTCAGAACATTAAGATAGCAGTTACATTTTTTAATAGTTATATTATTTTAAAATGACTAAGATAAAGTTTTAGAGAAACTATATTATGGATAGGGCTGATTTACATTTTCAAATTTTCTGAAATCAGCTTTGGTTTTAGAGCTGATTTTTTTTTTTTCATTTCTGGAAAATTAGGTTGAATCAAATACTTTTAAAATGATTATTATATATTGCCATCTTTAAATAGGTGTTTTGATTCTTCCTACAGACATTAAAATGTATTCAGTGGAACTCACAGTTTAAAATTCTATGTTTCTCATGAACTCTAACATTCCAATGTTGCCTTCTAAGCAAACTGAAAGCTTCCTTATACTGAATGAGGAAGAGTACAAATACTCGGCTGAATGAGGTATCGCAAAAGACTGCATGCACTTTGGAGAAAGACTTAAGTTATTGTCATACAATTTCCATTCTTTTTAGTGTTTTCTTAAATATATGACAAATACCTACACAAAGAGTGGTATTTCAGTCAATATAGTAAATTTATTTTCCAGACTGACCTTCAGCTTAAATATGCCAGTGTGTGATTTAATCCATAGGCACCTCATGAACACATTATTGTCAGATTGGTTACAGATGCTAAACGCTATCCGAAGGTCATTCCTAGTCACTGATATTTATCAGGGTAAAAGTGAAGTGATTTCAACGATAAAAGTACCTTTGAAATAATTTATCAATGTATTAGATAAACCCAGTTTCAGAATGATAAAAGAAAAAACGTTAGACCAAATAATGTGGCTGATTAACAGTGGTCCGATTTCTAGCCCGAGGGTTTAAAATGCTCTTAAAGTAACTGTCTTTAAACTGAACTCAAAGAATGCAAAAGCGGCAAGTTCAGAAAATAAAAGGCGAGAACAGGACTTTAAGTGCATTTTAAACCCACGGGCTAGAAATCGTACCACTGTTAATTAGCCGCATTATTTGGTCTAAGATTTTTTCTTTATCATTCTGAAACTGGGTTTATCTAATACATTGATACATTCATAAAATTTGGAAGAGTCAGTGGAAGTCACAAGGACCGAATATTTGCACTCTTTCAGTGAATGCCAGCAAATCTGTTATTCCATCGGTAAAATCGTATTGTTGCTCTCCTGTTAATGTCATATTTATAGAAGTATCATGAGGATGCCAAATGCTAAAAATGGAGATGATCTAGTAACTAGAAATCCCCACCGCAGGGAGCACACACACCTATCTCCCTGCATCCTAACAATGTGATGTGTTTTGGAACACAGACATTAGAACTTCATGAAGTTTTAACTGTTGAGTCTTTCCCAAGCATCATCAAGTTACGATTTAGGCAATACATAACTGAAATGCATTCATTCATCATGCATAGGCACAATCACATAAATATCGCACAAAATATGTCCCGAACAGAAACCCAGAGGTACAAAAACATATTTCACTTTGTAAAGAAGTTTGTGAGAAAATATAACTCTGTGGTTGTATAGACACGTTTCCTGATAATACATTGACATTCACGAACAACAGTAGATTGCACTGCAGTTTGTACACATTTTAAGTTTCATAAACTTCTCCTTGATTTTCAAAGATAGTATAATACCATCTACTAAAACTCCTTTTTGTTTCAACTATCTCACATATATTAGTTTATAAGAATGTTTCTATTTTTTTTAAAGTGTTTTCCATTCAAAGAAAAAGAAGTAAATTCCTATATCAGAGTAACCAAGGTGGTTGAAGAATAGGTATTAGCCAAAGAGGTCTAGATGGTAAAATCAATCTTCAAGCCTCAAAGAATCTCCGTGAACAGAGAGGAATGCCAGGAGTCACACAGCTTTCCTTCACTCTAATTCATTCTTGACTAGAGCCTGTATGCCTGTTCCAGGGACATTTGAACTCGTAAAGGATTTCTTATGATCTTCACTAAATACATTAAGAAGAATGCCAACCAGTGCCCTTTTGTGTACTGGGGCATGTAGTCATGTGATTAAAACAGGTAACATGAACTCTGACTTTAAAATGTATTGTAGATACAAATGCTCTAAGCTAGGAAAGGTTTTCCACATCCACAGTCAACGATGGGAACCTTTCATTCCTCAGAAATAAGCCCTTTTTAGGTCATCGAAAAAGAGTGCAACTGCTGCAGCTCATGATGCAATATCTTCATGAGCCCAGAGCACATACAAATCCTAAGGGCACCACCATAATACACCGCTAATTCCTGGCACCGGAAGAGATGAAACACACTCTATCCTGCACATACCTGCCAGAGGAGGCCACTTTCCTCTTCTGTGAGATTTAAAAAGCTCCCCCAAAAGGTTATCACTCCCATCACCAATACACAGAAAATGGAGGAAAGGCTGTTTCCAATTCTTGGCCTTTAAACAACTCTAAATGTCAGTACTCATAGTGGCGTATTACAAAGTAATAAACAGTGCACACTTGGGGGCAAACTACATATTGAGCTAAGGAAGAGCTCACTGTGATTAAGATTAGATCAAACAACAGCAGAACATAGGCAAATTTTGTCTGAATGCTGTAGTGAATATACATGCTGCAATAACATTAAAAAAGCATGGCAGCCTATTCCAAACCAAAGAGAACAGTTTTGGGCAAAGAGTGGGTCTTTGTGTGTTTGAACTCCCACCACGTAAGGGCAAACTCGATATGCATGCTAATGACCTACAATTATGAAATTAAAAAAGAAAAATGCTAAAGGATGCCAGAGTGAACATCAGTGAGAGCCACAGACACCCACTCTCTTTTAACTTTTTACAAATAAACTTAAACTATAAATTAGAAACACAAATAATCATGAGTGAGTCTAACATTCAAAGGAAGTAAATGAATTGTGTAGGAGATTAACCCCATAACTTGGTTTCTTATTTAAAAATTTCTTGAGCAGCTGTTTGATGATGGTGATGTTTATCTCCTTCTTCTTGGCAGCCAAGCCCAACAAAATAATGGCACACAGCAGTTGCTGCCCAAGCCTGGGTGCTCCTGGTGGTCCTGCACGATCGGCTGTGCAGTAGGCTTGTCAAGGAGAGGATCCTCCCTGGCCTCTCCTTGGGCAGAGGAGGTGAGGGTCACCTCACGAAGATCTTTGGAGAGAGGGAGGCGGGGATCTGAGCACAGTGGGAGCCCCCCTCTTCCTGCCTGCCCACCCCGCCTGAGGGCTCTACTCACCACCATGCTTATCTGTAGCCCCAAGCTCCTGGGGAGCTGGGGCTCCTGGACCGGGCTCATCAGCAGGGTTGTGGGCAGCGGCCAGGAATTTTCTGTGCCCATTGTTGTAGTTGCTGTAAGCCGCAATACCATCTGCTGCAGCTCCAGCAGCTTCACCTGGAGGGAGGGGTGCTCAGCTGCCATGCCGCTGCCTGCGCCCACCCTCACCCCCACCCCCACCCCCACCCCCACAGAGATGTTGCACACCCTACCTTCATCTCCTCCCTGAGCTCCAGCCTGATGGTGTCCTCCTCCCAGTGCTGCATCTTTGGCACGGCCCCCTGGTTCTGATAAAAGGTGATGGATTTTCCTGCGGGAGGACAGGGCTCAGATGCTGGGGCCCCTCTGATGGCCCTGTAGCTCCCCCTGCCGTGCCCTGGCCTCCCACTCACTGATGGCATCTCTCTTGCCAGTATTGAATGAAGCGAAGTTCTTGTTTTTTCACCAGCTCACTCAGGTCTGCCTTCTCCTTCAGGTGGTCCATAAAGCTGCTCTGGAGCCAAAATATTGCAGTCACATCTCGGCAGCGACCTGCCCTCAGGTGGCATTTTCAAGTCATGGAGAAGGCGGAGGTGAGTCCTGGCATGGGCCAGCTTCTCCGTGACTTCCTGCAGGGCCCAGTGGGTCTCCCCACTCACAGACTCGCCCCCAGGCCCTGGGGCTCCAGGGCCTCTGGCCGCCTCTGGCTCCTTCTGGGCCGAGGCCACCGGGTGAGCCAGGCGCTGGCAGCACACCCTCTGCTCTTTCACCTGCTCTTGTAACTGTGCCTGCTTCTCCTGGGCACTAGCTCCAGCGGACTTGAAAAATGCCACCTGAGGGCAAGATGTGAGCATTCTTCTAGGGGCATACACAGAAGAAATGGGGCAGAGAGGTGGAGCGCAGCCCCTTCCCTTGGGGCCTCAGAGAGTGCACCTGTTGGCCACAGGTGAAATGGTGTCTGACCACTGGCTCTCGGAAGGGGTGAGGGTCCAGAGAAATCAGAAGGCAGGGAAACGAAGAGCATAAAGGGGTCTTGGAGGGACCACAGAGAAAGGTGGCAAAATGGGTGCAGGGGGAGTCAGGCTCACCATGGCCTCCCTGCTCTCCAGGTCCTCTGGGACACTCGGCATGGGCTGAGGTGCCTCCTCCCCCTCACTGTCCAGATGTTCTCCTCCGTGTCCTGTGGGGGGTGGCCAGAGGGGTCTTCAGACAACCCAACAAGGGAGGTACTGTGGGCCCACCTCTACCTCCACCCTCACTGTGTAACCCTGAGCCAGCCCCTCCCCAGAGAGGAATGAGCTGTTGTTCTTTATTTTTACTTTTAAGAATCAAGATCTTGCTATTCCGCCCAGGCACACTCCCACTACTGGTCGATGTGGGAGTTCTGACCTGCTCCCTTTCTGACCTTGGCCAGTTCAGCCACCCTTAGGCAACTTGGTGACCGCCCGCTCACAGGAGGTCACCACACTGATGCCGAACTTAGTGCAGGCACCCGGTCGGCATAATGACCAGCTGTTCTAAAGGTCTCTTCCAACTCCTCAATCCTATGCTGCTAGCAGTCCCCCCTTCCTCCTGGGGCTCTCTCCTCTTCCTCTGAGCAGTCTCCCGTACCTTCCCCAGGGAGAGCCATGAGGCTCAGCTGGGCCGTTAGCTGCTGGTTCTGCTGGCTGGCCGCTTCCAGGTGCTCCTAAGGGGCCAGGAAAGAGTGAGAAGGGATGGAGTTTGCCAGGTCGTCCCCCTCACAGCCCCATCCTCGGCAGCTCCCTCCCCTGGGTCTCCTGCAACTTTTGGCAGGCCATCTCGGCCACTGCTTTGCCCCAAGCTTCCTACTGCTGCAGCTGGTTCATTAGCTGGGTCTGTTGCAGTCACTGCCTGTACAGCGCCTCCTTCTCACAGGTCAGCTGCTGATAGGCGGCCACCTGCTGCTGATAGGTGGCCACGTACTGCTGCAGGTGACCCAGGTAATGATCTGGCTGCTGCTGCAGACTCTGAGCCTCTTGGCTCTTCAGCTCCACCTGCAGGAAGACCCTGGGTGTGAGGGCACGTGGTGGCTGGTTTCCAGATTCTGGGCCCATTAATAGGGTAGCGAGGGCACTGTGGGGCTCTGTCAGCTACCCAGGCCCCTGTCCCCTTACTCCAGGCCTAAGTGACTGCCTCCCTTTCCTAGAACCCCATGCCTCCTTCCCCAGCCTCAAATCTCATACCCTCTTCTCATTTAATCCTCAGCACCTCTGTAAGGAAAATGCTAACTTCCCTTTGAAGTTAAAGAAACAGAGACTTAGAGATGCAAAGTACTTGAATGGTGACCAGTGGAACCGAGGCTGGAATCCAGTTTCAATCTAAGGAGTCTTTTTGTTTTGTTTTCAGACAAGAGTGTCACTCTGTGGCCCAGGCTGGAGTGCAGTGGTGCAATCTCAGCTCACTGCAACCTCCACCTCCTGGGTTGAAGCAATTCTCGTGCCTCAGCCTCCCGAGTAGGTGGAATTACAGGCATGCGCCACAATGCCCTGCTAATTTTTTTTTTTTTAATTTTAGTAGAGATGAGGTTTTACCACATTGGCCAGGTTGATCTCAAACTCCCGACCTCAAGTGATTCTTCTGCCTCAGCCTCCCAAAGTGCTGGGATTATAGGCATGAGCCACTGCACCTGGTATAAGGAGCCTGTTATAGCACTGTCTCTTCCCCTGTGATTGGGGGCTCCATGCCTCTAGCTGGGATGATGATGTCCAGACCTGAGAGGAGCCCAGGGCTACCCACCTTTAAAAGTCAGAGGCAGGAAGCGAGAAACAGTCGCAGGACTGCCCTGGGGGGTGCTGTGGTCACCAGCCCCCAGGCTGGAAGCTGCCTCTGACCTGGCACCTCCCCTCCCAAGAGGCTGCTGCCCGCCTCCCAGCCCTTCTTGGATGGGGTGGAGGTTTCCGTCTCCTTCACCTCGCCAAGCTTCTCCTGTAGCTCCTTTACTTGCTGCTCCAACTGCAGTGTGCTCTTGTTCTCATTGTTCTGGACAGAGAGAAGCAATCAGCAGCCACCCACTGCAGCTGGAGACCCCAGAACTTGGTGTCTGCCTCCCATGGCACTGGGAAGGCTGGAGGCAGGTTAGAAAAATCACCCCCTCTCTCCCACAGCCACCTGGCTCACAGGTGCCTTTAGAAGTAACCTTTCACGCGAGGGCTACACTGCCCCATTTTAGAGGTGGGGAAACAAAGGCCCGGAGGGCTAGGGAGGAGGGCAGGCTCCCCAGTTGGGGCAACGCACCAGCTCCTCGAAGACGCTCTGTGGCTTGGCCAGCTGCCGAAGCTTCTCGTGCTGCTCCTGAAGCCTCTCCTCCTGCTTCCGAAGCCTCTCTTCCTGTTCCCGAATCCTCTCTTCTTGTCGCCGGTTCAGGAGACTTATGTGCTGATTGTTTTTGACCTGGGCCTGGAGCTCTCCTGCCACTCTCTCTAGTTCCTTCCTCAGGTGCTGCAGCTCCACCTCAGAGGGCACTGCTGGGGGCTCCGGGGCCAAGGGTTCAGCTGACAAAGGAAGCAGATAATAAGGGCCTCTGGATTCTCGGAAAAGAAAAACCCTCCTCTTGGCGCACAGCTCCTCTCAGGCTCCTCAAACTTGGCCTCACTGCTAATGATTCCTCGCACCCAGATGGTAGCCAGTCTTCCAAAGCACTTTCAGAGAAAGAGCACTGCGGGTGGCTGACAACGGGCCCTCTTTGCTGATGGGGACACTGAGACACTGAGACTCACTGAGATGACAAGACTTGCGGTCTCCTGGCACAGATCTCTTTCCCTCTGCCTCAAAGCCCTTCCATCCACCCACCTCCCTGGGGCACTCTAAGCCACCCTCACAGCCCTCTGATGCCAGTCCTGCTCCCAGGTCATGCCAGCCCCATCTTACCCGTCTGGTTTTTGAGTTTGGACAAGCTCCACTCCAGCTGCTCTACCCGACGCATATCTTGCTGCTTCTCTTTCTTTAATGTGCAAATCTGCCCAAAGCACAGGGGGAAAGGGCCCTGGAGAGAGGGGCTGGTGGCTGGACAGGCTGCCCTCTCCCTCTCTGCCCCCACCTCCACAAAGCCCAGACCCATGACCACCTCTGGCTCTACTATTCCCATTTTACAGATGCCCAGAAAGATCCAGTGACCTATCTAATGTGGGGGGGCTGAAGGGTCAGATCTCACCTCCTGCGACATTTTACTCATCCTCTGATGCCACCGGGCCCTCTCTCCTTCTATATGTTCAGCACACTCATCTCTTTCTAATTGGAGTTGTTGAAATGACTCCTTCAACTGCAAGAATGGGCACAGAAGTTAGGAAGGGCTGTCACTGGTCCTCACCTGCTCCTGGCCACCTGGGGTCATCGTCCTTCCACATCCCTCCCTCGGAAAACCTCACCTGTGTCAGCTGCGCTTTCAGCAGTGCCTGGTCCTGTAGGGACTGCTCTAACTCCCACTCTGTATGTGCTTTGCTGCAGCTGGACAACTGGATGGTGAAGAGTGAGAAGTTTCAATCTGGAGAGCCTGGGCATTTCCACACAGTGCCCCTTAACAGGGCTAGGGCTAGGCCCAATATACAACTCGGTCAGTAAAGATCAAGGCATTTCCCAGCCCGTGGTCTGGTTTTTAAAAGAACACAGTAAAGTTGGAACGGACAGGGAATGAGACTGAGTTTATAGCTGGCTAACAGAGGCCCAGAGAGATCAGATAATATTGCTGTTGTTATTATTGTCATTATTACCACTGTTTGAACCTTTGTGGAATGCTTCACCAGGTACCGTGCTAACAATCCCATTTAATCCTCGCAACCACCATAGGAGACAGTTACTATGATTCCCTCTATTGTGGAGATGAAAAAACATGGAGTATTTGAGGTTAAGTGCTTGCCTAAGTTCACTTAGGCAGAGCTGGGATATAAACACCCAGGTCTATCCAATTCTCTAAGCCCGTTTTTCTTGCTGGGGATGGGGGCACAGATAGGAAGGGGAAAATTAATCTTTTGTTCACTTTTTGAAAGGATGATAACATTTGCATAGTCCAAAACTCAGAAGGTACAGAAGGGAAGTATCTCCCGGCCATCTTGTTGCTCTCTCCTGAATTTTTTATGAACCCTTGCAGACATGTTTTATGTATATTATCACAGTATGCACACACACACACACACGCACACACGTTTCCTCTTTCTACAGAAATGGTAACATACTAAAGGTACTCTTCTGTACCTTCACAGTACAAGTACCCAATACCCCACCTAGGACTAGGACTTGCCCAAGACCACAGCCAGGTAAGGGCGGGGCAGGCACTTGGCCTCCAAGCTCTGCGTCCAGTGCTCACTCCCCACAGTACCCCCCAACTCACCCACAGCAGCTGACTCGGCCCCAGGCTGCCACTAAAAACCATACAAAAAAGTAGCAAGAAATGGCCATGCTGCCTTCTGGGCAGGACACGCCATCCTGCAGAAGGGACCTTTAGGCTCACTCCTCCATCTGCAAAACCAGGCTCCCAGGGGATGGGGCAGGTGGCTGGACTCACCTGGTTTGCCTTCTTCTTCTCTGTGGCGATGACAGCAGACAGAGCGCTCTCTAACTCTCCTTTACACTGCAATGAATGTTGCAGACGGACAGCCAGGTCCTTGGACTCTTCTGTAATGAGAGAGTTGAGATGGGGCCCAAAGGACTCCCCCTGAAGACCTGTCAAAGTGCCAGGTTGAAGGATGACAGGGTGCCCAGATTCCCACCTTCAAAGTATCTGAGAGAACGTTCCATGTGGTACAGGTCCGTATTTAGTTCCTCTTTCTGTATGATCAATGTCTGGATTTGAACCTTTGGGAGAAAAGCCAAGCAAGTGCTGAAAGAGAAGGAAAGAAACATTCTCCGGAGGACAGGAGGAAACTGCACACCCTCCACTCACCTCTAGCTCCCTTTCGGCTTTCTGTCTCTCGTTGTTTGCTTTCTTTTCCTGTAGGAAGAGGAAGACAGAGCTCTTACCAGGGGGAGGCAGAGATGGCACAGCAAGAGACATGCCCCCAGAATGCCACCAATGCCCCAGGACAGGCCCACCCATGGGACCAGGTTATCAGGGGCCCTGTGGGGATGGGGTGGAATCTGAGGGGTCAGCCTTCTTCCCCAGGCTGGGAGTGGGTGAGACGAGACTGGGGCCTCTATGTCTGAGTGCCCCCCAAACCCAGCAGTCATGTCGCGAGGAAACGAAATCACGTTACTTCTTCCAGCTGATGTTCCACTTGTTTCTTCTGTTGTTTCTGTGGGGAGAGTCAAATAAGGTGATGGAGGGTGGCCCCCTCAACTCTATTCCCCAGACCAGGAAGCGGTAGGCAGGGGCCAGGAATGGATTTTAAAGGCAAAGTTCTCAGACATAATGGGAACACGAACCGGTAAACTCTCCTCAAGCTCCCAAGGACAGAGGATTTGGGTCTTTGTTGGCTTTTGCCCACAGCCACAGAACTCAGTCTGAATCTGGAATCTCTTGAGAGGACAGCAACATAAACCTCTAGAGATGGAGTTTCAGAAAGGCCCCTCCTTCTGGCAGCTTGTGATTTAGAAAAGTGGGTTCATTCAATAAACACTTACTGAGCACGTATGGGCCAGGTACGGTTCTTCACAGCAGATATAGGATGGAAAAGGACAGACAGGAGCCCTTAGCCCTGAGGTTTCCATTCCCGGGGGCCTTTAAATCTCAGACTCGAGAGCTAACAGAGACCTTTGATACTCACTACCTCCTCTGGAAACACGAGCCCAAAAAGGAGAGGTGGCTTGTCCAGAATCAAAGAGCAAATTAGGGACTGAGTCATGGCAGAAATACGGGGCCCTTGACAACCAGTCAGGCTAGCACTTCCCCAAGAGGCAACAACCCCAGGGCGTGTGTAGCAAGGACTCGAGCAGGGGTGTCTGGAGAGGAGAGAGTCGGCAAAGAGGGCAGCAAAAGAAGAGCCATGCTGCATGCTCTGGGGTCCCTCCAGGTGAGGCCTGGGCACCCAAGCTCCCTATTTGTCCCGGGCACCAGGGACCCCCAGCCCCTTTCTTCAGGGCCCCAAGGGGAAACTGGAGCCCAGGATTGGCAGCGTGGAATCAGGGGACCCCACCGGACTCTTACCAAAGATTTGATGGTGTTCTTCAGTCGACTGATTTTTACGGACGTTGAATCCAGGACTACTGCTCGTTCTTGGCACGGGCTCTGAGGTGCATGCAGAGAGGAGGAGGTGGAGCAGGAGTGGGGAGAGAGGTAGAGAGAACGATCGTTAGGGCTGGGGTGTGTGGGCTGTCTCAGCTGGCAGAGGGGCACCCAGTCCCACCTGGAGGAGGAGGTTGGAGGGTTGACCCGAAGGGTCACTGCACCTCCACCCAGAGCCTCTTACCTCCAGATCTTTCAGGGTAGCAGATGATGTAGGGCCTTCCCTGTGGAAACCTGTTGCTGACTACAAGAGATGAGAGTGCACATGGAGATGTTCTGTCCCCCACAGTGTCTGAGCCCTCTGACTTCCTTTCTTCCCCATCAACTGCAACATTTTCTTTTCTGCCTATCTTGGACCTTTTGTCCCATAACTCCTTTGTGCCAACTTCTCTCATGGTTCTTATCTCCCCACCATCCCATCCTGGGGCCCCTTCAGTGACTCCTGATGGCAAGTGGCTGTTCTCTTTGTCCTGGTTTCCCCTTGAGACTGGGGATGAGGAAAATCAAACCATATCCTGGGTGTCCTGAGTGTTTACAGCAGGCCATGTACTAGGGATTAACATAAAAACAACAATAACAAATCTCATTTAAACTTCACAAATGGAAGTGAAACAATAACACCTCTATTATACAGATGTGAAAAGAGAGGCCCAATGAGGTCAAGCAACTTGCCCTAAATCATATCCCTAGCAGAGCAGATGGAGAGGCAGGATTCAAACCCAGAATTCCTTTTTTTTTTTTTTTGAGACAGAGTCTTGCTCTGTCACCAGGCTGGAGTGCGGTGGCATAATCTTGGCCACTGCAAGCTCCACCTCCCAGGTTCACACCATTCTCTTGCCTCAGCCTTCTGAGTAGCTGGGACTACAGGCACACGCCACCACGCGTGGCTAATGTTTTTGTATTTTTAGTAGAGACAGGGTTTCACCGTGTTAACCAGGATGGTCTCGATCTCCTGACCTCATGATCCGCCTGTCTTGGCCTCCCAATGTGCTAGGATTACAGGCGTGGGCCACCACACCCGGCTAAAGCCAGAATTCTTAACCAGTACCCAGCAGTCCATCCACAATCTTAAGAATTACCCTCTATTGCCCCTTGGGCCCCCTGTCCCCAGAAGCCTGGTCAGCCAAGACTCACATCCCCAGGTGGCTGGCAACCACCGGAAGTGGCTGTCTCAGGGATACTGCCATTTGTTTTCCTGTTCCTGTTCACTCCTGCTGGAACTCTAGGTCTGTTTTTCTGCCAATATTCTTTTAACTGTTGGAAAGAAGAGCAGTAATATTCATGAGAACCGTCAGCCCCTACAGCCACAACCTCCTTTACAGTTTTTACAAAATACACTTACACACCGTCTGATTTAATGACACCAACAACTGTACAAGGTGTTGTCACACTCATTTAGTGACTGAGAAGGATTGATATCATGGCTAGAAAAAAAAAAGAAAAAGGCAATACTGGAACTTTGAGACTCAGTCTTCTGACTCCAAGCTCTGAGGTTTTGCCAAGAATCAGCAGCTGCCAGGGACCAAAACCAGAGGCAGAGGTAGAAAAGTAAACATTAAGTAGGCAGGAACTGTATGCCATGTGGTTTAGTCATACATCCTCACACGTCTGTTAGTGTGAAGAAGTGCACCAGTACCTCTCAAACTTTTATATCAATGTGTCCTCATGGCAGAAGGCAGCCTTTCTCTTAAATCAGAATTTATCAGAAAGAGGACAACCCAAGCCTCATTTCAGAGAGAGGTCTGGTATACTCTTAGAAACCTATGTGACTGTCATCCCTAAGTACATTCATGTTTTTTCTCTTGATCTCAAGAGAATCAAGGGAAACTGATGCTTCAGAAAGATGTCCCACATTTATCCTGTGGCACTCAAAGTACCCAAGGTTGAGATAATATGAGGAAGATTCAAGGTGTCAAGTTCAGTTTCCCAAGATCTATTCCACAGAAGATGAGCAAATCTCACTTCAGAGACCACTGACTGAAGGAGAGTCTGGTCCCAGAACCATGGAGAATTAGAATATGAGGTGGAGAACTCAGAAAAAAATGTTAAAATCTCTCTGGAAAGTAGAAGCCTGGGAGAAAACCAAATCAAACCCATTCTCTCATTGCCACCCAGAGATACTGTCATTGTTTTGAGTTCATGGGGGAAGTGTAGGCTTTTCCCACCGTCAACATCTGTAAGGGAGTGAGGCAGCCTGGAACCTCTTGCTCCTAGGTCCCATAGTCTCCATTCCCCTTCCAGCTGGAAATTTGTGCTGTGACCAGAGGAACCAGAAACGGGGTGAGAACGCTTAGGGGACTGGGTCGTAAGGTCAAAGGCCAGTCTTGCAGTAACGGCAGTTACTAGGTGGACTGTGACATCACAACATTCCACTCCTCCTGGTCGGGGGGAGGGACCATGTCAGCACCATGTCCAAGTCGCTGCTCCACGATGGGGGAGGGAAGCACAGGGTTGGGACCCAGCTCCTTGGAGACGCCAGCACAAAGAACCCAGGGAGGTCGACCTTGAGGCAGCAGGAGGGGAGGGCACAGTCTGCAGCAGGGAGTCCCAGGAGTCACCAGCCCAAAGTCACCCAAGGATGACTGGCGAGGGTGGGGCCTGGCTCCTTGGAGATGAGAGCCCAAAGAGCCCACGGAGATCAAGCTTGGGGCGGCAGGAGATGACGGCCCAGTAATGGAGCGGGAAGCCCCAGGAGTCACCCACCCAAAGTCACCCTGGGGTGATTGGCGAGGGCAAGGACTGGGCTGCTTTCTGAAGGGGTGGGGCTGACTGACAAAACTTTGGTGGGGGTAGCCCAAGGCACCGGGGTTGGGGGGACCAGTCCAGTGTGCCTCAGGAGTCGTATAGACTCTGGCAGGGGTCTTGTCATCAGAGGGGATCTGTGGCTGGGTTGAGGGGCTATGACCTAGTGCGTTTTTACCTTTTTCTTGGCTGCAGCCAATTTGTTGTGTTGAGTTTCTTCTGCCATCGCAGGGTGGGGAGGGAGGAAGGGTTGGGGCCACAGCAGCAAAATCCCAATAAGAACCGATCAAGGCCTCCAGTCACCTACCAGGCAGCTGTGTGACTGAGCCAGAGGAGGCGTAACCAGGGCCCCAGTAGAATGCGGAATAGGGGCGTGGCCTTAATGCTCCAAGCCCATTGGTCAATGAGAAAGATGAAAGGGAAAGGGCGTGGCCAGACAGCAGCGTGTCCAGAGGGCCCTGTGGCTCACAAGGAAAGCTGCCCATGGCAACCGCTCTCCCCACCCACTCTAAGAGAGGGGAGAGGCCTCCCACTCTGGAAGAGAAGAGGGGCTGGCTTTTGCTTTAAAAGCTTTAAAACTTTAAAAAATATATGTGTGTATACTTTATATATATATGTGTGTCCGTGTGTGTATCTATGTTTTTCTCCATAGCTGTCTTCATTATCCAGCTTCTATGCAAGGTCTATGATTTTGGCCTATATTTTTCATCTTTGATTACAGTACAAAAATTACCAGTATTACCTTAACTGAGATACAGATCCTATAAAAATGGAAAATGCATAGCATGCTTGATGATTAATGAAGCAGACTATATTATCCAACATTCTAATAAGATAAAATAATCACAATGATTTCTCTTTTTTGGAAAAATGTTTCTCTTATTCTCCTACGTTTTCGTTAAGATTTTTTTTCTTAAACAAGAAACATGTCTAATATCTGTAAAAGCACAAAGCTTTTGGGCTGGGTGCAGTGGCTCATGCCTGTAATTCCAGGACTTTGAGAGCCCAAGGTGGGTGGATCATGAGGTCAGGAGATCGAGACCATCCTGGCTAACACGGTGAAACCCCATCTCTACTAAAAATACAAAAAAGGCTGGATGTGGTGGCAGGCAGCTGTAGTCTCAGCTACTTGGGAGGCTGAGGCAGGAGAATGACATGAACCCCCGAGGTGGAGCTTGCAGTGAGCCAAGATCATGCCACTGCACTCCAGCCTGGGCTACAGAGCAAGACTCCATCTCAATTAATTAATTAATTAATTAAAATAAAAAATTAATAGTAAGAGCAATGTGAACAAAAGATGCAATAAAATAATTTAGAAAATACAAACTATTAAAAAATAGATTTTAAAACTTGTGCAACGAAGTCAAACAGCAGCCAACGAAAATGTATACCCTTACACGTTTGTTTAAAAAGCAATTTAAATTACATTGATCCACTAAACTAGGAAAAGCAAAACAAACAAAAAGGGGGAAATAATTAAGACCTAAGGAAAAAGGAAAAAGAAAAACCACTAGATTTAAAAAATAAAACTAAAGGAGGATTCTTTCAAAAGACTGAGATAATAAAACAGTCAAGCCTCTGATAAGTAATCAAGATAAAGAAAACTTTGAAGAGAAAAGGGCATATAGCCACATGTGAATATGATGCAAAAAGTGAAAACTTTACACATCTTTACAACACCTTAGAAGTATGGATGACATGTTCATTTTTTTTTTTTTTTTTTTTTTGAGACGGAGTCTCGCTCTGTCACCCACGCTGGAGTGCAGTGGCGTGATCTTGGCTCACTGCAAGCTCCGCCTCCCGGGTTCACAACATTCTCCTGCCTCAACCTCCCGAGTAGCTGGGACTACAGGCGCCCGCCACCACGCCTGGCTAATTTTTTGTATTTTGGCTTAGTAGAGACAGGGTTTCACCATGTTAGCCAGGATGGTCTCGATCTCCTGACCTCGTGATCCACCCGCCTCGGCCTCCCAAAGTGCTGGGATTACAGGCATGAGCCATCGCACCCATCCAAAGTGTTCATTTTTTTTTAAGAACCTACAGTTACGAGAAGTAACTGAAGAAGTGGGAAATCTGGAGACCAATATGCAGAAGAAGGAAAAAGACAAAGACTCATCCTCCAAATTGGATATTTAAACCAGAATTTGTCATCCTCAGCAATATTGATATATTGGGCCAGATAATTCTTTGTGGAGGGTTCTCTTGGTGTGTTGTCGGGCATTTAGTAACATTCCCTCTACCCACAGAATGCCAATGAGACCTCCCGACCATGACCAGTTGTGACCACAAAAATGTCTCCAGATATTTCCAAACGTCCCATAGGAGGCAAAATACTCCTGCAGTTGAAAATTACTGTGTAAACCAGATCTACATCCTAGATCTTAGAAAAAAGATGTAAAGCTTCCCAACTCAGCCCTGCATACCCTTGATACTGAAATAACAGCCTTAAAGGAAACAAACAAAACTATAATCTTATTTAATACAGAAGTAAAAATGCAAAAATAAAATATTACCATAGCCATTCTAACAGTGTTTATTATAGGAATGCAAAGATAATTCAAAATTAGGAAAATTTCATCAGGCAATTCACAAATTATATTTCTACATATAATTGAAGGCACAATCATGAAAAACAAAGTAGCTCTATATGCATTAAGTCCATGATCTATTCAGTGAAAAACACAAGTTGCACATGTCTTACAGAAGGAAAACTTAACACTGAACACAGATTCTCACCATCTGCTCTTTGTCCTGAGGCTCCAATAGAAATACAGTGAAGAATAAACATTGTATAAGCACACCATTACAAAAAAGGAATGGGGTTACCAACAGAAGAGAATTCATCTTCATTAGACAATGACAGTACATGGAAAATGGTTAATTCATGGAGCAAAGCAACAAAGGTGGAGGTCAGGGGGATACTGAGAACAAGGAGGCTAATCTGTCCCACAGCAACCTGGAAAGGTTCTAGACTCAGACACGAGGTACCCCCGACAGTGGGACTGATAGGCAAGACTGAAAACAGAGATTAAGCAAAAGCCCGGATAGAGAACACATTTCACAGGCCCTGAAACACACTGCTGGCCCCATCTCCTTAAACAGAACCCAAGCAAACGTATCCACCTCAGGCAAGAGAATGTAGATTTTACATCCAGAGGAATGGAGTAGTCACCCAGCCATCATTTATGATTGCAACAGGAGATAAGATAGAGGGATGGAGGATAACAATTAGGAATCAGCATACATTCCCCTTAAAGCTATCAGTTGACAAGTCTTGGCCACAAAGAACTCCCAATCAATTTTTATTTATTTTTATTTTTATTTATTTATTTATTTATTTATTTTGAGACAGGGTCTTGCTCTTTCGCCCAGGTTGGAATGCAGGAATGCAGTGGCATGATCAGAGCTCACTGCAGCCTCAACCTCCTGGGCTCAAGCAATCCTCCTGCCTCAGCCTCCCAAGTAGCTGGGACTGCAGATGGGTGTCACCACACCTAGCTATTTTTTTTTTTTTGTAAAGATGGGGTCTCACTATGTTGCCCAAACTAGTCTTGAGCTCCTGGGCTCAAGTGATCCTCCCACTTCGGTCTCCCAAAGCACTGAGATTATAGGTGTGAGCCACCACACCTCGGCTCCCAGTCTTTTAGTACCTCTCTCAAATATGAATGAACAAATAAAGGAATGGAAAAAAGACTACAGGTCAGGCACGGTGGCTCATGTCTGTAATCCCGCACTTTGGGAGGCCGAGGTGGGTGGATCACCTGAGGTTGGGAGTTCCAGACCAGACTGACCAACATGGAGAAATCCCATCTCTACTAAAAATACACAAATTAGCTGGGTGTGGCAGCACATGCCTGTAATCCCAGCTACTTGGGAGGCTGAGGCAGGAGAACTGCTTGAACCTTGGAGGCAGAGGTTGTGGTGAGCCAAGATCACATCATTGTACTCCAGCCTAGGCAACAAGAGCGAAACTGGGTCTCAAAAAAAAAAAAAAAAAAAAGACTACAAATGATAAGCAACATAGAATAGATATTTAAGGAAAGGCTTTAAAAAGAAAAATAAGACCAAAATAAACTAAGAAAAAAATTATTAAAGAACAAGGAGATGCCAGGGAGAAGACAAAGAGTATCAAAATCACTTCATAAAGACACTTGTGAATATATTACATGTATAAAACAAAACAATATGAATAAGAAATAATCAGAGAAGAAAAAGTTCTTAGAACTCATGCTCCATCTTGGGAGTTGGTCTCCAATGAGCCATACCTCCTGTCATCATGTCCTCAGACAGGCCCATCCCATAGTCAATCTGGGTTGGCCCCAACACTCACTTTAACCTATAGCATGTGGTAGAAATGACACTGGACCTGTTCCAGGTCTAAGCCTTAAGAACTCCTGGCAGCTCCATTTCTGTGCTTCTGGAAGCCAAAAATAAGAATTGGCTACCTTCTTGGAGAAAGAAAAGCCACATGAAGAGATCCGAGAGGATGAGATGCTATGCAGAGAGAAAGGCCACATCAAGAATTACCAAGGCAGCAGACCTGTGGGTAAAGAAGCCGTCTCAGACATTCCACTGCAGCTGAGCATCCAGATGACCAGTCCCTGACACTGTTTAACCACACAGTGAGAGCTGCCAAATGAGACCAGCAGAAAAACTGTCCAGCTAGCCCCAGGTAATCCATACAGTCGTGACAGATAGACAGATGTGTAGTTTTAGGCCATTAAGTTTTGGGATAATTGGTTAAGCAACAATAAATAACCAAAACAAAACTTAAAGTTATGACAGTCCAAATAAAATTTCCTGAAAGTCGAAAGATAAGAAAATATTCCAGAACTGAAAATTTAAAAAACATTTAGAAATAACGTGAGATATAAGACTCAAGACAAGAGGTCTCAAATCCAATTAACAGACACTTCCAAATGAACAAATAAAATGGAAAAGAGAAAGTTAACAACAAAAATATGACAAGATTCAAGACTCCAACTTTGAAAGAGCCTATCCATAGGCCTGTTCATTTGGTGTACCCAGCATAATGAATGAAAAAAGACCCACACTAAGTACACTGTTGTGCTATTTCAGCTCACCAAGGAAAAGACAAACTCCTAAAAGCTTCCAGGGAGAAAGTCATGCATAAACAAGTGAAACTCAGGATGGCATGAGGCTTCGCCACCACGACTGGTTAGAAGACAACAGCACAGACTTTGAAATTCTAAGGTAAAATTATCCTCAACCTAGAAATACGTAATCAAGCAAACTATCAATCAAGTGTGAGGGTAGAATATGAGAGACGTGAATACTGATGGGGATGTGATATGCAGCAGGCACTGTTCTAAATGGTTTACATGTACCAACCCAATTAAGAAACTTAAAATACACACGTGCACACACACACACACACACACACACACACACACACACACACACACACACACACACACAGTTTTTCCTGCTAATCATTTTACGATGAAACAGCCAAGTAGCTAACCCAGAGCCCACAAAGGCAGAGTAAAAATTCTAACACTTGGTAAAATAAAAATGCACATATACCCTGTGATCTAAAAAAAAAAAATGCTTAAATATTCAAAGACAGACAGCAATTACAGCTACTGAGAACATCACTGTAAGCAAACTGAGGCAGAGAAAACAAAGGTGCTAATGAGGATTTGAACCACCTAACATGCAGAAACCCACTGGATGCTTTCCTAGGTTCCGAGCTGGCATTGTCTTTCAGAATGATCTAGAAGAGGTCACATGACACTGTTACAAAGGATCTAGAGAAAGGGACCCTTGCTTTATCACTCCGGCTCTCCAGTCATGCTTCACATTTTCACTTCTTACACTCTTTCACATGAAGTCAATTTACAGACCTCCATCATGCCCTTAGAGACCTTTTTGTAATATTCTGACAAGTTCTGGATGTCATCTCTGCACTTTTGACAAATTCTTAGCAGTTAACGTACAAGGCAGTTAACATTTTTGTTCACGGTATAGCTAGAAAAGGGTCATATACTCAATAAAACAAATATTTACCAAGCATTCATTGAGTGGAAGATAAAACGCACAAAGCATAATTATAAAATATTCTCCCCTGCCATGATACAACAAAATTTTTAAAGGCTTACAGAATATAGCATAACATGACCAAAGCAAAAATAGTAAGGACTAAAGAGGGGAGGAAGGGAAAATATCAGCATGAACTGAATATGACCCAGAAGAGTCTTGATGGTCAGACATGTAAAGATGTATTGGGCAGGGTTAAGGGGTGGAAGTCAGGGGCACAGGTCAGGGGCACATTCTACAAGGGAAAAACAGCTGATACAGAAGCCTGAAAGGTAAAGTGGGCAGAGCACCTGTACAGGACTCTTACCTGCCACAGCGAGGGCACAATGCGCCTTTCCAGAACACAGCAGCGCGCAGCCAGGCCTGGGGCAGAGGGATCACTCAAACAGCACCAGAGGCTGCATTCCTACTTTTCTTCCGTCAACAAGTCCATTTTCGTTGTTAGTTTCTCCTTCAACACAAACTTAAAAACAAATGGCTGAACACGCAGGAACAAGGAAAACCTGACTGAAGAATGAGACGTTAAAACTTAAGGGCCTTGGGTCCTGGCACGGTGGCTCACGCCTGGAATCCCAGCACTTTGGGAGGCAGAGGTGGGTCATTTGAGGTCAGGAGTTCAAGACCAGCCTGGCCAACACGGTGAAACCCCGTCTCTACTAAAAACACAAAAGCTAGCCAGGCGTGGTGGCCGGCGCCTGTAATTTCAGCTACTCGGGAGGCTGAGGCAGGAGAATCACTTTAACCAGCGGACTGTCAAGAGAGGTAGGCTGCAGTGAACCGAGATAGCGCCACTGCACTCCAGCCTGGGCTACACAGTGAGACTCTGTCTCAAAAAAAAAAAAAAAGAAGTCATGGTCATGGTAAAAAACCTATGGCTTTGGAAGGCTTTCTCGGTAACGTCCTAGAATTAAGGTTAAGCCTGCGTTTCCTGTTAACTGAACAGGAAACCAGCCTGACCAACATCCTTCTGCCCGGTGGCTTGCTCTCAGCTCCTCTTCGTTGGGCCTTGGGCAGCCAGACTGTCTAGTTTTAATCCTTGCTCTGCCACCTGTGACCTTGGACAAGTTACCTACCTTCAGTTACCTCATCTACAAAATGCAGATATTAATAATACCCTCTTTTTAATTTATCCAGAGGATTAAAAGAGTTAATAAAAAGTAAAAAATAAAAAGACTTGGTAAGCATAGGCACAGAGGAAAAAAAAGTAAAAATAAATAATTAAATAAAAAGACCAGTGCCTAGCACATAAAAGTTCATCAGGAATTAATTCTATAATATGAACTCAATTTTGCAAAACTTCAAAGTACGTACAACTTTTAACTTACTAGGGTATACATACCAGTAATAAATTCACAACGGTAGACATGTTTGCCTACTGTAAATATAACAAAGACTAAACAAGCAGATACTAAATCATTAAGCAATTATCAGTTAGTATCTTTAATTTTCTTATACTTCTATATTTTCTATAGATCATCTTTGTAACAAGAAGAAAACCAACCAAATGAAAATGAAATGAATTCTCTCAAAAAGAATTAAGTCAAGACAGGAAGAAGGCTCGCAAAGTAATATAAAATATATCTTATGGTTTATGGAAAATTCTTAATAAAATACCTTCTTTGCTCCAAGCTGCACTCTGGCTTTGCCTTTGAGTCAGGTGGCATGTCTTTGCACGATGACTGGTTCTATTGAGTAGGCACTGCTTCAGCCCTACAGGAAGAACAAAACCTCTCTGGAACACAGCAGCATTCCTGATTCCCACTTGAGGAGGCCTAACAAAACGGCATATGCCTCAACAGCAGCAGATCAGTGTTAAAAAGTCTGGAGTCAAGGGGAAAAAGTAAAATTGGACCATTTCCAAAATCTCACAAAAAGCAACAAACTGACGTTCTAAGTGCCCAACATGAGCAAATTAGAACCTTAAATAAAGGTCACTCTTAATGCCTATCCCAGCATAGATGCAGCACCAAGTACAGTGTCATTTTACTGGTTTACCTTTTTCATTCTTGAAAGTAGGAGCTATGAAAAAAAACACTAAAATTTCTCTAAGAGAACCTTCTACTTTCTGTCTAACTTACATAATCAAAACACTGTATTGAGGGTGAAAATTGAATATTATAAGAAAATAATCACGTGTTTTGCGAGAAGTTGCAAATATAATGCTCCTCCACCCAATACCTACCTTAAAAAGAAAAAAGGAAACATACAAAATTATCTCGAGAATTATTCCTGCTTAAACAATGTCTACGTGCCATTACTAAGTATGCACACAGTAAAGATGAGAAGAGGACATGCAAGCGTGAACATACTTGTTAGGGATATAGGACTATGGGTAATTTAAACATTTTAATGGTATTACTCTCATGTAATTGCTCTGAAATTCTAGTCAGTTGTTTGAAATGGCTCTTAGAACAGAATACTTTGACATTTTTATGATGTCAAAAACTAAGAACTTAGCCCTAAATATTCCAAAGAATAGGTGCAGAAGAACCCGTTTCCTTAAACGGCATTTGAGTATTCTTCACAACTCAAACTTTCTCTCCCATCCTGTGATGGCCGAGAGTTTTTCCTCTGACGACGGCACTGACCTTACCCTATCCAAAATATGAACATCTGCATGGTTTCCTGGTTCAAATTGCTTTTATCCATTCTGTCGTGAGAATCAAATGGTTCAGACCATGCAGCACCTCTCTGGGACTTCTCAAGTCCTTTCTAGATCTGAAGACTATTCTCTGAACCAAAGACAACTTCTGGGGGTGTACCAAATCTCCCATTAGAAAATTATTAAGATCAAGATGTTTTAACCTTTTAACTCTTTCTCAAACAAAATAAATTCGTTTCTCCTTTACCGTTATTTTAAATTTCAAAATACACAGATAGTATGTCTAAAATAAAATCAAGAGAATGACAGTTTTAGAACACAAACTGTGGTAATTTTGAAAACACAAAAGCTGAGACCACTAATTAGGTCTATGTGGACACCAAGTCCACCACAACCTGTTCTGTCCTCCGGGGCTCTGCCCACGCCTTTCCCTTGCCTGAGATTCCTTCTGCTTCCTACCCTTCCAAATGCTGTATTTCCCCCTGGAAGACTTGCCAAGACCACTCTAACATGCACATCTCCCATTCCAGCTAACCAAAGGCATCCTTGGGTTGACTAAACCAAATTATTTTGCAGACAAGGCATCTAAACACTTCCACTGTAGACTATTCACCTTAATAATTGATATTGTGACATTATTCAATAATAAAATGAGGGAAAGAAGTCCTCTTCAATCCCTTATCCTGGAGAACCCAAGCAAGTGTCTTTCCCACTTGCTTTGCCCAAACCCTGGGACCTTTCTAAGTAAAAGTTTAATGGAAGGGAAAGAAAATCTAAAAGAAAAACTCTCCAAGAAATTAAACTCGGGCAAAGATTCATGGGATTAAAAATTTTTATTCTTTGTGTATCTGATTTCCGAAACACAGAAATCTCTCTCCCACTCCTTAAACCTACCACTGGGCTAAGAGAGTATTGTACAGAATATGCACTCACTGACTTAACAGAATTAGAACATCCAGGCACTCACTGAGATTTTGCTTCCACAACCGCTCAAAGTCTAGTCATTAGTTCATGAGTTAACACCACACTTGACCTTCAAATTTTGGAAATGCTGACGGTAGACAGGGACTTGTTTTGGGAAAGGAAGTACACAGTAGACATTGTTACCCATGACCCAACCACCACCACCTTTCCTTTAAAGAACCCCACTCTTCCTTTAAGGTTGCAGAGTCTCAGAAAGTGGGAAGAAAGGAAGTTTTTGCATTTTCAGGTCAAAACGAAGTACATTTGTGCAACCACATAATGCCCATGCAAAGGTTTCTTGAAATCTAAACACAAGACAGAAGTAGTTCTAGCACCTCCACAAAAAGTAAGGTAAGTAAGTTTTTCCTTAATATACACTTTCAGCAGCATCAACACCTAAAAGTGGTTGACTTTACTACTGTACTAAATTAAATTACATTCATTTTGTCAATAGGTGTTCCAAATTCGTACTGATCTTTGTCTCCAAGGGGTTCCTGCTGAATATTGAGACAGTTGAAGATTACTAGGGGAAAAAATTCTTAATAATCGAAGTAAGGATCATCTAAGGATAATATGCCACATATACAGACACAGTCACATTTTCAGCTTTACAAAAGTTCAGTTATCAAAGTTGTACAGCAAACACTATCCTAAGCTTAGCGTCTTCAGGCATTTGATTTATAATCACTGTAAAGAAAAATCAGTCACAAAATGCCACTGTTGTATGATTCTATTTATATGAAATGCCCAGGATAGGCAAATCTACAGAGATAGAAGTTAGATCAGAGGTTGCCAGGATCAATGGTGGGGGAGAGAGGTACAGGGAGTGACTGCTAGTGGGTACGGGGTTCTTTTTGGGGAGATGAAAATGTTCTGAAATTAGGGAGTGGTAATGGCTGCATAACTCTGAATATACTAAAAACCACTGAACTGTACACTTGAAGGGTGAGGCTTATCATACAAAAACTGTATCACAATAAAGCTCTTAGTTTAAAAAATGTTTGTCTATGTCAAGAAACAAAGAAATAGGGTCATAGCTAGAAGATATGGGATATAAAATACTGGAACAAAACTGCTTAATAATATATCTAGAATCACACAATGCTTAGTCTTTACGCTGACTAAAATCACGAGATTTGTGTTTTATCGGTATTTCACGTTTTTTACTTCTTCTAAGTCAGCCAGTAATTCCTCCTTCTCACTTAATCGTTGACTACAAAGACCAAGCCATTTTGACTCTGCCACCGATGAGCTTTCACATTTCTTTCCTCCTTCCATTCCCATGACTACCAAACCAGTGCAGGTTCTCCTCACTTCACTCTAAGACAACAGCGTGGCCCTCAAATACTGTCACACTCTTCAAGGCTCTGTGAGCACAATCTGTCTCATATTCTCTTCTGCTGTCACCAGATTTATTCTAAGACCGTTTCTTCACTGTTACTCCCCTGTTTCTCAACCAGTTACACAGAAAGACGAATATCCAGGCATGGTGTCATGTGCCTGTAGTCCCAGCTACTCAGGAGGCTGAGGCGGCAGGATCGCTTGAGAATGTGAGATTCAGACTGCAGTGAGCCATGATCATGCCACCGCACTCCAGCCTGGGCAACAGAGTGAGATTGTCTCAATAAATAAATAAGTAAATAAATAAATAAATAAATAAATGAATAAATGTGGTCTATCCATGCAACGGAATACTATAAAATTATCAGCCTTAAAAAAGAAAGAAGCCCTGTCACATGCTGCAATATAGATGAACCTTGAAAACATTACACTAATTGAAATCAGCCCATCACACAAAGACAAATGCTGTACAATTTCTCTTACATTAGGTTCGAAATTAGTCAAACTCATAGAAACAGAAAATAGAGCGGTTGTTTCCATAAGCCAGGGGATAGAGAAATGGGGAGTTGTTGTATAGTGGCTATAGTTTCAGTTCTCCAAGAGAAGCAAGTTCTAGAAACTTGTTACTCAACATGTATATTTTTAACACTACTGCACTGTATACTTACAAGTGGCTAATATGGTAAATTTTATGTTGTGCCTTATCACCATAATGTTTTTAAAAGAAGGGGTTTGTGTTTCCCTTCGTTGTGATCACCCATTTTTCACTTCAGCATTTTGAACTTGAGATTTCCTGTAGCGGTTTTACTGAGCCCTGCAGTTACCGGCTCAGAATGTCTCCACCGCCTTGTAACCTTGTAGGCAGACACTTTTCAGCATCTTATTGGGCTCCGTGTGCTTGATGCTTAAAGTGACATGGAGACATGCCACTTGCTGAGAAGCAAAGAAAGGCAAAAGGTGACTGACTGCTTTCCTGGCATCGATGAAGGCAGAGAGAAGGGATCTTGGAGGCACAGATATTAAGCCATAAGCAATAACATGGGTTGCCAAAAAGAGAACTAACCCCTCTCCTGGTAACATTTCCAGGTGTTTTTCACAGGGCCAGTGGATTTCACAATGTGAGTGCTGTCCAGCACCAAAGGGAATGGCCAACAGGCATGGAGCAGCCTACAGCGTCCAGCACCCAGTAGGATGGCCAGGAGGCACGGAGCAGCCTGCCTGTCCCAGGAAAGCAGGAGTCACAGGACACAACTGGACCCAGGTAGGCATGTATGTTACTTTCCTGTGGCTGTTAGAGCAAATTACCAAAAATGTGGTGACTTAAAACAACAGAAATTTATTTTCTCACAGTTTTGGATATCAGAAGTCCAAAATCAGTATCACTGGGCTGAAATCTAGGTCTCAGCAGAGCCAGTGCTCTCAGAGGCTGAGGGGAAAATCCATCCTTTGACTTGCGCAGCTTCTGATGGCTGCTGGCATTCATTGGCTTGCAGCTCCACCACTCCAGGCTCTGCCTTCTTGGTCACAGGGCCTCCTTCTCTTCTGTCTGAAGTTAAATCTCCTTTATCTCCCTCTTATAAGGATATATGTGCCAGGATTTAATGCCCACGGAGACAATCCAGGATAATCTCTCTTCAAGATCCTTAACTTAATCATACCTGAAAATCTGCTTTTTCCAAATGAGGTAACATCTACATGTTCTAGGAGTTCCAGACCAGCCTGGACGACATGGTGAAACACGGTCTTTTTTTTTTTTTTTTTTTTTTTTTTTTGAGTGGAGTTTCGCTCGTTTTCCAGGCTAGAGTGTTTTCCGGTCTCGACTCACCGCGGCCTCCACCTCCCGGTTAGGTGGTTCTCCTGCCTAAGCCTCCTGAGTGGCTGGGATTGCAGGCATGAGCCACCATGCCAGCTAATTTTGGTGTTTTTTTTTTGTACAGACGGGGTTTCTCCGTGTTGGTCGGGCTGATCTCAAGCTCCTGACCTCGGGTGATCCACCCGCCTCCGCCTCCCTGGGTGCTGGGATTGCAGGCGTGAGCCACCGTGCCCCCGGTCCAATTTAGTAACCAGAAAGGAATAGATCGGCCTGGCGTGGTAGCTCATGCTTGTGATCCCAGTACTGTGGACGGCCGAGCGCGGCGATCGATTGAGCCTAGGACTTCCAGACCGGCCTGGGCAACGTGGTGAAACACTGTCTTTTTTTTTTTTTTTTTTGAGTGGAGTTTCGCTCGTTTTGCAGGCTGGAGTGCAGTGGCGTGGTCTCGACTCACCGCGGCCTCCACCTCCCGGGTTTAGGTGGTTCTCCTGCCTCAGCCTCCTGAGTGTCTGGGATTGCAGGCATGAGCCACCATGCCAGCTAATTTTGGTTTTATTTTTTTGGTACAGACGGGGTTTCTCCGTGTTGGTCAGGCTGATCTCGAGCTCCTGACCTCGAGTGATACGCCCGCCTCCGCCTCCCTGGGTGCTGGGATTGCAGGCGTGAGCCACCGCGCCCCCGGTCCAATTTAGTAACCAGAAAGGAATAGATCTGCCTGGCGTGGTGCCTCCCCCTTGTGATCCCAGGACTTTGGAAGGCCGAGTGTGGCAGATCGCTTGAGCCTAGGAGTTCCAGACCGCCTGGGCAACATGGTGAAACCCGGTCTCTGTTTTGAGACGGAGTTTCACCCTTGTTGTCCAGGCTGGAGTGCAATGGTGTGATCTTTGCCCACCGCAACCTCGGCCTCCCGGATTTAGGTGATTCTCCTGCCTGGGCCTCCCTAGTAGCTGGGATTACAGGCATGAGCCACCATATCCGGCTAATTTTGTAGTTTTTTTCTTTTTTTTAGTAGAGACGGGATTTCTTCATGTTGGTCAGGCTGGTCTCCGACCTCGGGTGATCCGCCCACCTCTGCCTTCCAAAGTGCTGGGATTGCAGGCCTGAGCCACTGCGCCCGACGGAAACCCAGAACGGAAAACAAAAGAAAAACCACAAAGATTAGCCGGCTGTGGTGGGCCGCGCAGGTAGTCCCAGCTACTCTGAAGGCTGATGGAGGAGGATTGCTTCACCCCGGCTTCTAGGTGGCAGTGAGCTATGATGGCGCTGCTGCACTCCAGACTGGGCGACAGAGCGGGACTCTGTGGCAGGAAAAGGGAAAGGAAAAAAAAAAGAAAAAGAATGTAAATAAAATTGCTAACTCAAGGAACAGCTTGACAGTATATTATTGCGACAAATAGAGGCAAAGGTTAGCAGACACCAGTGTTCACTTAGTGGGACCTGCGGGTGTTCCCCCCATAGGAGGCTGCTACTTTCCCACAAGAAATCCATTACTGACTACCGATAAAAGAACACATCGTAGGTTTCTTACAATATACAAATAGCTAAACTTTATATAGCCACGACCATATTCTAGCACTGCTCTAAGCCATTTCCTACTCTGAAATAGCTACTATTGTTACCTCCATTGTAGAGAAAACAGGTGCCGGAGGCTGTTGTGGAAGGCCCAGGGAAACTGACTATGAAATTGACTTGTTGTAAGTTTCAGACTTAAAAGTTCTTCCTGCTCTGCGCCTTACATTGCTACATTTTAGTTAAGGTACCTCTTACAATACTGGTCCTTTCTGTATTTGGAGGGACTTCTCTTGCAAATTGAAGTTTTTTCTTGCGCTAAGCATTTGGTCATGAGATTATCTGCGTTTTACATCAGTTTAAATACCTCTTTAGACATTGTTCAGTTAGGAATGTAAATAGGAGCTAACATTGTGTGTAAAAGGAAAGAACATCTGATTACAACCACTTTTGTTTCATAATACAAATATAAATCAATATGTTATTGGAAATGCAGGCTGGGAGGGGAGGGAAAATATGCATAGAGAAAAGCCCCATCTCTGCTTGGAGTTCAGCACTGGGTCTCTTTTTCCTTTCCACCTTCCTTGTCAAGGCTGCCACAGTGACAAGCACACAGGGGTGCCTTTAGTGACACCTGCTGCGACAGACCTGGCAGAACGGATTGCAGATTTGCATGTTTCCTGGCTGCCTCTGCTAGCCTGAGTCAGCAGCCCACTCCAATTCATGCTGAGCTTAGACAGCTCAGGTTTGCAAAATTATCCCTTCCCTTGGAGCAACCGCTTTCCAGTCTCCTCATCATTCCTAAAGGAGAATGACACACATGCCAGCATGACAGAGGTCCAGAAATTTATAGAAGCTTCATTGTGAGCCTATATCCTTAACAGGGGTTCAAACTACCAACACCGAATGAAGAGAGAGGTTTTGCAGTAAAGCAGGAAGTCATTAAAATAATGAATCACCCAGCTAGGTTTTGAGCTCCTTTCCCACCAATTTAATGGAAAGTTTTATTGTCTTTACAATGTACACTTTCATAAATTTTGCATAAATTTATTATTCACATCTTAACATAGGTAACTCCTTAGTGTTTGATCACTGAGCAAATTATATACAGCAAAACAATCCGATATTTTGGTGAACTCATAGCTTAGAAAATACTAAAGACTCATTGTAAACTGAGGGCAGCATTAAGCAAATTATATTTACCTTTGTGACTGCAAAACTTAATGATTCAATGCTTTTCCCATGAAATTTATCTTCCAATACTGATAGTTTTTTAAACAAAAAATATGAATTAAATATCAATTAAAATTTTATCATTGTTTTCAGAAACTGTGACTTCACTAGTTATGAACAGACTTGAAATGTATAGTTTTTAAGTTTGGAAATTCTTTGTAGTCTCATTTACTTTTCCAGGAAGGAAGTGAGATATTTTTTGCCACTGTTGCCTGGTTTTTGTTTGTTTTTTGATCATAAACAAAACTTAATGGAGCCTCAAATCTACTAACTCGGTCCTCCTCTGGCAATATGCCTTTTTCTGATTTCTAGATATCACTTGATATTTTTTAACACACTAATTTTATTATTTAAAAATTTATAAAAGTACTCAGAAGTAAGAGGCAAATTAAATTTGAAACCTTAGTGGTAATACCATCATCCAAAGTCATCATCAATAATATTTTGGCATATTTTATTTTAAAATACATTTCAGCACAGTTTAGTTATATTTGTTATATCTGTATCAATAAACTGTTTTCATATGTCATTACTTTTATGGATATAATTTTTGACGTGCGACTAATATGAAATCTTATATACTTGCTATAGTTGACCTTGTGAGACATTTAGATTTTCAACTGTTTAGTACTTTAATAACCAGTTTTTATTCTAATATCATTATTAGAATAATAATATTACTATAATATTATTATTATTGTAGCAATAACTTGTTTTTAGAATAAATATCCTATTTCTCATTTAACTTGATCGGATCCGTGCATGGACAATTATGTTGGGAACATAGAATGTAACTGGCCCTGTTTCAACCCCTTAGATGTGGCCCTCAGTTCAGGGAAGGGAGGAGTTCTCTACTGGGCTGATAAAGCAGAATTCAGAAACATTGTTTTCTTCTCTACCTGGTGTCTTACAAAACCAGAAGATGTGAGTGTGACTCTTAAAGGCAAGAGCATGTATATTATGCAAAAGCAGCCTGAAATATTTTATTCACAGACAGACAGACAATGCTTGACTCCCTGCTAATCTGAAATACTTCGTCGGGAGGGCCAGGGAAATCAAAACAAAATTTCAGAAGTAGAATGAGCTATTTGGTGTATGTCTCCAAGGCCAATAAATAACAAGAAGGAAAAATAAATTTCTTTGCTAACAACAAGAAGGAGAAATAAACTTTTTTGCTCTAAAATATTTTCCAATTATCTCCACGACACTGGAGGGAAGGACTAACAAAAAAAAAAAAAAAAGAAAGAAAGAAAGAAAAAAAAAAAGAAAAGGAAAAAAAGGTGGGGCATGGTGGCTCATGCCTGTAATCCCAGCACTTTGGGAGGCCAAGGCGGGTGGATCACAAGGTCAGGAGATCGAGACCATCCTGGCCAACATGGTGAAACCTGGCTCTACTAAAAATACACAAAATTAGCCGCAGGCACCTGTACTCCCAGCTACTTGGGAGGCTGAGGCAGGAGAATGGCATGAACCCGGGAGGCAGAGCTTGCAGTGAGCCGAGATGGCGCCACTGCACTCCAGCCTGGGGGACAGAGCGAGACTCCATCTCAAAAAAAAAAAAAAAAAAAAAAATTAACCATCACAGAGGAGCAGAGAAAAACCTTCTCAAAGACAGAAGTCATTGATTTATTTCCATCCCGGCACAAGCCCCTTAATTCTGTAACTTGTCCAGAATGGTTTCCTGTCACTGTAGATTCTGCATCAGAACATCCTCTTATGCAAAGCTAAAAAACTCCAAACCACCTCTGTTAACTGTGCAGTGCTCCATGGTTTCACACAGTCCAGAGCTGCTTGTGTTTATCAAAAATGAAGCAGAAAACAAAATTCTTCCTTCACACAACCACTACATTCCATTGCACATTTACCAAAGACATTTACCACGTTGGCATTATTTGTGCATCCATCAAGAAGTGCTGAAAAGCATTCCCCTCACACACTGCATGTGTCCTGTGAGTGGATCTTCCATTTTACTTGCCAGTTCTGGAAAACTTTGAATTTGTGTGTCGATGGAAAATTAAAGTTTAGTAGCATCTTTGCCCCACATTCACCCAACTTTTCTAGGAACTATTTCAATGCTACTTTTCACTAGTGTCACTTTTCAGTCTTAGCCTCCTGGAGTACAACTTTATTAGAAGCCCGCAAAGCACTAGTGTTAAAATGAGAAATAGTAAACATCTGATTCTGTTGTGTTTTAACTCCATGCTTTTCTCTAATGTTTCATTGTTTTGAATTTAATTCTTTGTGCTTCCCACGTGAATGCAACTTACAGTTTGAATGTCTTCTTTCTTCACTAGCCGATGCATCTGTGCCAGTAACACACGGTGATTCTGTCCTTTCACCTTCAGTTATGCCTGTAAAACCAAATTCAAGACAGATGATCCTCAACTCACAAAGGAGTTATAGCTCATCATCAGTTGAAAATATAAGCCGAAAATGCATTTAAGGCCGGGTGCAGTGGCTCAGCCTGTAATCCCAACTCTTTGGGAGGCTGAGGCGGGTGGATCACCTGAGGTCAGGAGTTAGAGACCAGCCTGGCCAACATGGTGAAACGCTGTCTCTACTAAAAATACAAAAATTAGCCAGGCATGTTGGTGCGCACCTGTAATCCCAGCTACTGCGAAGGCTGAGGCAAGAAAATCGCTTGAACCCAAGAGGCAGAGGTCGCAGTGAGCCGAGATCATGCCATTGCACTCCAGCCTGGGTGACAAGAACAAAACACACTGTCTCAAAACATAAAATTAAATTAAATTAAATTAAAATGCATTTAATACACCTAAGCTAACATCATAGCTTAGCCTAGCTTACCTTAAACATTCTCAGAAAATTTACATTCACCTTCCATTGGGCAAAAATTCTCTCTCACAAACCCACTTTAAAGTGTTGAATATCTCATGTAATTTATTGAATACTGAAGTATGGTTTCTGCTGAATGCGTATCACTTTCACACCATCATAAAGTCAAAAAATTATAAGTCAAACCATTGTATGTCAGGGATCATCTGTCCATTAGAAATAGTACTTCTGAGTAAAACGAGGACAAACTCCTTTGGTCTTCATGTCCTCAGAATCACTTTCATAATCATCTCTTGGTTTACAAGGTGCATCTTTTATTGGTTAAAAAAATTAATACAATTTATTTCACTCTCAAATTAGGTTTAATAATAAATAATACAACTTTCTTTTGTTTTCACTAATAATGCTAACATTGGCTTGATTTAAAATTAATATTGCAAAAATAAGACTTTATAGAATAGATGTTCCCATTTTTCAGATGTGTGAGATTATACTATAGTTGACAAACTAACCTTAAAGAACGCAGCTTGCAATGTGGTCCTTGTGTATGTGACTCGTTTGCAGCTCACAGCCTCTGCATCTTTCCATCGAGTCTGACAAAACCTGAGTTGGTCTGTAACTGCTCATTGAGACAAGTCCCCTGATGTCACATGCTGGGAGAATGTCAAGTTTCTATAGAAATTTCTAAACATTTACCCTGAATTTCTATGTTTCTATCATTACATAGAGATGACAGAGTGTTGACAGACTTTGAGTGGTCTTTAGTAACCAATTGTTGAAAGTCTGGTTTAGCTAAACTAGTTTGTAAGTACCTCGGCAGGTGCCTTTGCTGTAGGAATTCTCAGAGTCTCTATAAACTAATGAGCATTGGAAATCTGCAGGGGGGAAACAGAGTATGCAGTATCCCCCATGATGATTCAACCCCAGATTTTATTTTTCACTGAGCATCTCACACTTAGTAGTGTATCTTTTCTATGCATTGGGCACTGGGAGACGACGTGTTGTCATCTCAACAGAGACCTGGCCTTCAGACGCCACCACTCACTGCCGCTCTGTCCAGGCGAGCATCAACTTGCACTGTTTCAGAAGCAAAAGGAAAATGAACCGCAGCCACTGAAGTCCCTCAGAACTGAGGAAAAGTTACTGACTTTCCTGATTTGTGTTCAGTCTGGCTGGCCATGGGTACAGACACAGCTGGTTTCCCCATTTGTGAGCTGGACGGATTTAATTCCTGGCTGTTTGAATGATGTATCCCCTCATCAGTGAAACCAACAGAGTAGCTCAACTTAATTTTCTCTTTCTATGGCATGCCATTTATACCCATTCAATTATGCCTGTGTCAATTAAGTCAAACATTCTTACTGTCTCTATTTCTAATAAAAAGTGGTAAACACTCGAAAACCCCTTTCATAAATAGGCATGTATAAAAGCAATGTTCTTAATAAAAATGTTGGACTTAATAAAAGTATTTTAAAAAACAGTAGGAACCATAGTATAATAAAGGCCTTAGCCGGGCGTGGTGGCTCACACCTGTAATCCTAGGACTTTGGGAGGCTGAGGCGGGCAGATCACGAGATCAGGAGATCGAGACCATCCTGGCTAACACGGTGAAACCCCATCTCTACTAAAAACACAAAAAATTAGCTGGGCGTGGTGGCAGGTGCCTGTGGTCCCAGCTACTCGGGAGGCTGAGGCAGGAGAATGGTGTGAACCCAGGAGAGGGAGTTTGCAGTGAACAGAGATTGTACCACTGAACTTCAGCCTGGGTGACAGAGCGAGACTCCGTCTCAAAAAAAAAAAAAAAAAAAAAAAAAAAAATATATATATATATATATATATATATAAAGGCCTCATTTTGCAGGTGAGGACACTGAAGATTATAGAAGAAAGAAGGGCTTCATGCAAAACCACGTTCCTGATTGTTGGCGGAACCAAGCCCACAACCTGGAACTCAAGTTTCTCTACTTATAGTAGACGCTCAAAGAATTATAATACTTTATAACAACGTCATAATCATTTGACATTTCTAAGCTGGTCATGTTTTCTTTCATGTGTACTTCTCCCCTCTCAACAATTACCGTGCCCTTGGCAATTTAATAAAGCAGGATAATATTCAACTCAGTGACCTACAGCTTGACAAGCATCTCCTGCTCCCAGAAAACAGAAGGTGTTGCTGTCAAACTAATACTAAATAATAATTTTCTGTAGTCCTAGAGCCTCTGGACTTCCCAATTACACGGCCAATAAACCCCCTCATTGTCTGAGCCAGTCTGAGCTGGGCAGCCTGACTGAAGTCTGGAACATCCTAACTGGCACAAAGGCCCTTAAGATGACCCCAAGCCACCTGTCTGGCTTTCTCTCTTGTCACTTCCTTCTACATCCTCTCTGCAACAACCAAATTAGATTACTCACCATTCCCCACACTGCCTTGTGATTTTCTTTCTTTCTTTTTTTTTTTTTTTGATGAAGTTTTATTCTTGTTGCCCAGGCTGGAGTGCAGTGGTGTGATCTCAGCTCACTGCAATCTCTGCCTCCTGGGTTCAAGTGATTCTCCTGCCTCAGCCTCCCGAGTAGCTGGAATTACAGGTGCCCAGCATCATGCCCAGCTAATTTCTGTATTTTTAGGAGAGACAGGGTTTCACCATGTGGGCCAGGCTAGTCTCCAACTCCTGACTTCCGGCGATCCACCTGCCTCGGCCTCCCAAAGTGGATTTTCTTTTTTTACCCATGCACTTGCCCAAGCTGACTTTCTGGCTCAAACCTTTCCCCTGGCCTTGCATCCTCTCTATCCATCTGCCCAAACCTCCCTCACTCTCCAAAGTCTCATTTCAAATGTTGCCTTTCCCTGAAGCTTCTCCCGGAATGACCCATCTCTCCCTCCTCATTCTGATCATTTCCTCTTTGAATTCCCGTAGTGTTAGGTATGCCCTCCTCTTCCAGCACTGAATCCAGCCTTGCCTCGCATTAGAGTCATTTGTACACCTGACCTTAATCCCCCTGAGGGCAGGGATAGTTTGTGTTTATCCCAAAGTCCTGAAACAACTAGTACAGAACCTGAGACACAGGAAGGCCCCAGAATTGCCTGCCGAATAGAACAGTGATAGTGCTGAATTTGGTT
The DNA here is from genome assembly GCF_000001405.40 of Homo sapiens. Lineage (NCBI taxonomy): Eukaryota > Metazoa > Chordata > Mammalia > Primates > Hominidae > Homo > Homo sapiens. Next base: position 4,786,932 of record NT_187660.1, on the reverse strand, counting down.
CCTCCTTTAACCTGTGTGACCCCAGACGTTTGTTTTCTATGAAGCCTCAAAACATGGTTATGTTTCCTAATTTACAACGAACACATGGAAACCCATGTTTTGAAAATGGGGGTGGGGAGGATGAACTGAAGGCAGCCTCTTCAGCCAAGTTCCAAAGGCCAGGTGGCCCACTGTGAACCTTGTTTAACCACACAGAACATATGAATAGCTACAACAAGGGATCTAACAGTTACCAGAATGTTTTCAGAAAGGTGACTTCAGAAGTGCCAAGCTTCAGGAAGACCTGGACTGAGAAGGGATCAGACAACTTTAGGAAAGCAGGTACCAAACAGCCCTTTTACAGTTTACACACAGGTCTTGGTGTCAGAAAAATACTGGTTTGAGTACTGGTTATGCATCAGAGATGCCACTCTGGACAAGCTCCTTATGCTCTCTGGGACTCTGCTTTCTCATCTAAAAAATGGGGATCACCTGAGGTCAGGAGTTTGAGACCAGCCTGGCCAACATGGCAAAACCCCATGCCTGCTAAAAATACAAAAATTAGATGGGTGTGGTGGCTCGCACCTGTACTTGCAGCTACTTGGGAAGCGGAGGCAGGAGAATTGCTTGAACCTGGGAGGCAGAGGTTGCAGTGAGCTGAGATCGCACCACTGCACTCCAGCCTGGGCAACAGAGTGAGACTCTGTCTCAAAAAACGGGGCGGGGGGTGGTGGATAATAATAGTGCCTACCTCAAGAGGTTGCTGTGAACACCAGAAGAAGCAATACACACCAAGTGCCTACAGATAGTAAGCACTTGGTAAAAATGTAACTGCCATTAACAATAAATATGATGCTCACAGGGTCAGTGGAAAAAGTAGTGGAAAGTAGGAGTGGTGGGAACAGAACAGGAGGGAACAAAGCACCTCTGAGTAGACCTTTCTGTATAGCTCCGACTCTCCAACTCTTATTATGTTTCACCCTAATAATTCATTAAAACTAGGATAGGAAGGCTGAGGGTGTTTTTGGAATACAAACACTAATGAACCAAACTGCATTATAAATAGTGGCCACACTGAAAGGGATGAAGAAGAAAGTAACTACTTTTTTTTTTTTTTTTTTAGACAGAGTCTCCTTTTGTTGCCCAGGCTGGAGTGCAGCGGGGCTATCTCAGCTCACTGCAATCTCTGCCTCCTGGGTTCACGCCATTCTCCTGCCTCAGCCTCCCGCAGTAACTGGGACTACAGGCGCCCGCCACCACACCCAGCTAATTTTTTGTATTTTTAGTAGAGACGGGGTTTCACCATGTTAGCCAGGATGGTCTCGATTTCCTGACTTCGTGATCTGCCTGCTTCGGCCTCCCAAAGTGCTGGGATTACAGGCTTGAGCCACCGCGCCCGGCCCCCCCCGCTCCATTTTTTTTTTTTTTTTTTTTGAGACGGAGTCCCGCTCTGTTCCCCAGGCTGGAGTGCAGTGGCACAATCTCAGCTCACTGCAAGCTCCGCCTCCCTGGTTCAAGCCATTCTCCTGCCTCAGCCTCCCAAGTTGCTGGGACTACAGGCACCCACCACCACGCCCTGCTAATATTTTTTGTATTTTTAGTAGAAACGGGGTTTCACCGTGTAAGCCAAGATGGTCTCGGTCTCCTGACCTTGTGATCCACCCACTTTGGCCTCCCAAAGTGCTGGGATTACAGGCGTGAGCCACCACGCCTGGCCTCCCCCTGCTTTACTTGTATTAACCAAATATTTATGAGTCTATCTATCAAGCGTTCAAATTATTTTACATGTAATCGCCAATCTCCAGAAAATAAATGGGACCACAACAAATTTACCCTAATTTCTGCAGCGAGCATAAATAATTGCTTTCAAGGGATGCTTGAATGAAATTACTATCCTGACTGTAGGGGCAGGGGCTTGGTGAAGATTTGTCCTTTGTGAGTAATGAGAAGAGTATACTTGGATATAAAAATAGTGAAGAAATAAGTAGTTTTAAAAAAAACGCTAAATTCCATGTTTAGCAAAGTTAATGAGCCCTAAATTCCTAAAGCTGAGTATTAGTGTGTAAATGAGTACTCCAAACCAACAGAGAATAACCTTGTAATTCATGGATATTTAGCTAAAACTTCATATGTTCTCATCATTCTGTGTCTCCTAGTTTTAGTTCAAACAGATGTTTTCACTCCTAAAAGACTCAAAATTTCTGACAATGCCCTTTATTAATGTTACTTTTTGAGAAATCACTTATTAAGTAAAAATTAAATTTACATTTTTCAAAATTGCATGTTGGGTTAATTTACCAAATCTTTTATCTGTTTTGTGTTTCCAGTTAGCCATTTTTGTTTCTGATTTGTAAATATTCAAAAATATTTGTTGAAATTACAAATTTTATTAATTGATTTTTGAGGGGAGTAGGGTGCGTTAGTTACTTTTCATTTAAATTCTGTGGTGTTTTTGCATATTCAAATTATTGTATTGTGAATAACCTGAAAGACAGTAGCTATATGATCGTTTGAGGTAATGGTAACAATACTCAAGGGTTGAAAAGATATGATTTTAAGTATGAGCTAAGGAGACTGCCCTTTATGTAACTACGGGATGATGTGAAAATCTGTTTTAACAGCATGATTAAATTTGGAATTCTTTTTTTTGAAGTTTTGTAAAAGGGAGGCAGAAGTTTAAGGGAAAAAGTTGGCCAGGTAAACTTGGATAGTTTTAGATCTATTAGTGACAGAATACTCAAGCTCTTGAAAATAGGAAAAGTTGTTCTTGCCATGTCAAAGGACAAGGGCTGCCATATGCTAATCACTGTATCTTTACTCAGATCCTATAAAATGATTTGTACAGAGAAGGGATTTAGTAAATCTTTACTAAATTAATGTTAGATGATGGAATGGATCATTGCGGCTGAAGGAGAGAGTAGTGAAAATGAGGATATTAGGAAAGGAAGTGGATGATTTGCTCAGATGTTGTTAAATTAGGTTTTGATAGAAAAAACCTGGAAAAAAAAAAAAAACGACAACAGCCTGCATGACTTCTTAAAGCCCCCACCTCTCAATACTGTTTCAATGGCAATTACATTTCACATGAGTTTGAAGGGGAACTTAAAACCATAGCAAAGAGCACATTATATTCGTTGTTTCTGTGTAGTGCTGCTCTTTACCAGGCTAATAAATCCTGGTAGACATGCAAGAGCTTGCTCTTAATCCAAAATAAACAAAATGTGTTTTACTGAGAAAATTGCAGACATATCAAAGGGTAGTTTGACAGCACGGGTACAGAATACTATCAAGACATTTTCTTCTGTTTTACATACATGGGTAATTCTTGCTTGAATGCAAGAGGGCTGAATAACAGCTTTATTTAATATATTTTGTGTCAACTTCTGTATACAGATTTTTTTTTCTTGAGGTGAGAGAAGAGGAAAGAGGAGAACGTTAATTCCAGATAGCTTTAAGCAAATGTTAGAAAGGCGAACATTTATAGGTTTCCAAATATCTTTTGGCTAGCTGACATTTACAAACACGGAGCTAGGTAAGCTTTTCCCCCTAGCAATATTAAGGCTCTGGCAGCAAGTAAAGGATATGTGAAGTGAAATATGCCATTCAAACATAGTAAAGAAGAAGACTGTTTGTAACCACCGTTGGTGAAAATCACGAGAACCAAGTCTTTCTTGTTATTTTAAACATCCTATAAAAGCATTGCAAAAGTTTATATTGCTGGTTAAAATATTTGGGACTATTTTGTCCATTTCCACACCTTACTTTAAGGTCCAGGCATTTGTTGAGAGGGAAATTGCCTATTTAACTGAAGGAACAATATGTTTTAAATTACTGAGAGTACTCTGTTGAAACTTAATGAGAACAGAAAGCAGCATTAATAAGAAAAATAGTATTTACAAAGATTGCTTAAGGATGCAAGCTGGGTACCAACTAATTGTAATTCTTTAATTTCGGTATGCGTGCAACATCCCATGTGTATGAAAACAAAATGTGTATTTCCAAGCAGTATGTTTTAGGATCAGAGAATTTCAACCAAATATTAAATTCTCAAATCGTATGCAAACAAGTGTCAATCATGGCTTTAACATGACAGCTGGAGGAAAAAATTCAAGCAACATGTGTAGATAATTGTGGTTAATGTTTATCTGTACATAGGAAGATACTTCAGATGTGTAAGTATGCAAATAACTCTCGGATTTCTAATTACTGTATTTATCAAGTTCTATATGCTGTCTAAATTCAGAAATGAAAGCAATTTTAAAATAGCATGCATATTATAATTACAATATTAAATTGAGCTCAACTTTCCTAGCTATTCTCTGCCTTTCTGTCTGCCTCTGCCTATGTCTCTATCTCACACATGTATGTGTGTATGTGTATATATACCCTCACTTGTGAACATATATTCATAACCACATGTATAAACACACAGTATAAAAGGATATTAGAAAAGGAAGTGGATGATTTGCTCAGATTTTGGTAAATTAGGTTTTGATAGAACAAACCTGAAAAAATACGTTAAAACATATGAGGACATATACCAAAATATTATCAGTAGTTAATTTTAAGACAAGCCTGATGGGTCATTTTAATTTTCTACTTTTTACCTGTCTGTTTTGATTGCAACTTTAAAAATAAGCCTGTGTTACTTTTTAAAGAGAAAGAGAGAGAGAGCAAGATTTGCCTGTTTTGGAAAATTGTTTTAAAGGAACACCACAGGAAATGAAGTCATTCTTAAGTGCCTGCCATTTATATCTAAAAATGGTTTTCAGTAATGGGATAGTTCTAGTATCAGTAGGGAGATCCATTATCACATGCAGATTTAACCTTGTTGTTGCAGGCCAGAAATATTTAAAACCATTTAACTGACTTGAAGAATTCTTCAATTTTTGAAAATATATTTCAAAAGAAAAACTTTCCAGTTAATTTATGAAGTTAACAAAATATTGATTCTAAATGGTATATTTATAAAATTTTATTCTGTAATTGGTTATTGGTAGTGTAAGGAAATAAAATAGACTTTTATGTGCTCATATTGTAACCAGTGATCCTGATAGCTATATTTAGTTATTCGTTCTAATATTTTATCTTAGATATTCTACATATACAATAATGTCCTTAGCAAATAATGACCTGTGTATTTCTTTCTTGCTAATTCTTACTTTTTTTTTCTTATTGAACTGAATAGGGAATTTTGTTTCTGATCCCATAAGGAAAGCTTTCCATATTTCCTTATTAATTATAATATTTTTGTAAGATTTTATGATTATCTTTCACCAGATTAAATACATTTCATTGTTGTTTGCATATTAAAAAATATATTCTGCATCTGTTGAGATGAGATTTTCTTCCATATTGTTAATATAGTGAATTACAATAATTGATTTTGTGATATTAAAATAATATTTTATTATTGAAACACAATTTGTTTTTAATTTACTGTACTTTTTAAAATTAATATATAATTCATACACCATAATATTTGTCCTTAACAAGGATGCAACTCAGTGATTAGTATATTCAGAAGGTTATGGTATAATCACTGCAAATTCCAGAATAATTTCATCACTGAACAACAACAAAAAAATCCTGTGTCTCTTATTAGCCAGTCCTTGTTTGCTCTTCTCTCTAGCCCCTGGCAATCACTGATCTACCTTCTGTCTCTATAGATTTGCTTTTTCTGGGCATTTCATATAAGTAGAATTATAGAATATGTGACATTTTGTGTCTGGCATTTTTCACTTAATGTTTTCATGATTCATACATGTATCATGTATCAGTAGTTCATTCCTTTTATGGCTAAATTATATTCCATTGTATGGATATACCACTTTTTGATTATCCATTCATCAATTGATGGACATTTGCACTGTCTTTATGGCCATTACAAATAATGTTGCTATAAACATTTGTGTCCAGGTTCTTTGTAGACATGTTTTTCATTCTTTGGGAGATATTCCTAAGGAGTAGAATTGTCCAGTCATTTGATAACACTGTTTAACTTTTTTTTCTTTTCTTTCTTTCTTTTTCTTTTTTTTTCTGAGACAGAGTCTCACTCTGTCGCCCAGGCTGGAGTGCAGTGGCGTGGTCTCAGCTCACTGCAACCTCCGCCTCCTAGGTTCGAGCAATTCTCCTGCCTCAGCCTCATAAGTAGCTGGAATTACAGGTGCCTGCCACCACGCCCGGGTAATTTTTGTATTTTTAGTAGAGATGGGTTTTCACTGTGTTGGCCAGGCTGGACTCAAACTCCTGACCTCAGGTGATCCTCCCGCCTTGGCCTCCCAAAGTGCAACTGCAAAATTGTTCCTACCATGGCTGCATCGTTTTGCGTTCCCACCAGCGATTTATGTGGGATTGTTTCCACATTCTCAAACATACTTGTTATTTTCTTTTTGATCATAGTATGAAATGGTATCTCCTGGTGGTTTTGATTTGCATTTCTCAAATGACCAATAATGTTGAGTATCTTTTCATGTGCTTCTTGCCTATTGTGTATCTTTTTTGGAGAATTTTCTACTCAAATCATTTCTCCATTTTAAAAATAGGTTATATGTTTTTTTATTATTGAGTTGTAAGATACATATTCTGAATACAAGTCTTTTAGAAGATGTATGATTTGCAAAATTGTTCTCCCATTCTGTAGGTTGTCTTTTCCCTTCCTTGGCTTTTTCTTTTAAAGAAAAAATTTAGTTTTAATTAAGCATAATATAGCCCCCTTTTTTTTCTTTTGTTGCTTGTAATTTGGTGCTATATCTAAGAAACTATTGTTTAATCTAAGGTCATGAAGATTTTGCTTATGTTTTCTTCTATGAGTTTTTTACTTCTAGGTCTTACATTTAGGTTTTGATCAACTTTGTGTGTAAGGTAAGGTCAGAATCCAACTTCGTTTGTTTGCATGCATATGTACAGTTGTCCCAACACTATTTGTTGACAAGACTACTATTTCCCCTTTGAATTTTCTTGGCATCCTTTTAAAAATCAATTGCTCATAAATATAAGGTTTATTGATTAATGCTCAATATTATTTCATTAAATTTATATGTCTATCTTTATGCTAATGCAACACCGAATTAATATAGTTTGGTAGAAAATTTTCTGTTTCAAGACTATTTAGACTGTTCTGGGTGCTTTGCTATAGTAGTTTCCTGTTCCTGATGTAACATCTTACTACAAAGTTATGCCTAAAAAATCACAGCTTTATCATCTTAATGTGTGCATGTGTGCGTGCGTGTGTGGATTCCTTAGGATTTCCTGTATGCATAAATATTTCTCCATATATATCTATATACAAATTCTTTATACCTCATGGCATCTCCATATAGAGATAGTTATATTTCTTTCTTTTTAATCTTCACCCCAGGCTACTATCCAATTGAATAAAAGGTGGTGCTACTATTGAACATGCCATAGAATATTAACTTTGTAAACTGACTTGAAGTCTCCCTGGGTGAATGCTAACCCTCTCATATATAATAGTGGCTTCATTTACAAAATGTATAACATGATGACTACCAAATTATTTCTTCAGCCTTCACTTTTATCCAGAACTGCCAAATCTGAATCTAATTCCCATTTAGGATTGCCACAGGTATGTTCAAAATAGTACTTTCTTTTTCTCATAAGATTCTGCCTTATGTCTTGAATTTATACTCTAGGTAAATGTTGTAAGCAGAATAAAAACCCCCAAAGATGCTCACACTTTAATCCTTGAGACCTGAATATGCTGTATTACCTGACAAAAGAGACTTTGCAGTTAGAATTATGAATATTAAAATGAGGACCGTATATGAGTCCAATCTAATCACTATGAGCCCTTAAAAGCTGAGACCATGTGCAGTTGATTTCTGAGAGACTGGGCAGGAGGGAAAGGCAGAGATATTTGAAATGTTCGTGCTGCTGGAAAGGCCCATGAAAAAAGCATAAGGAACAGGGACAGTCTAGGAGGAAAGGCTGGTCCCAGCTGACGGCCAGCAAGGAAATGGGGACTGCAATAATACCTACTCAAGGAACTAAGTGTGGCTAACAATCTGAACAAACGTGGAAGCAGACCTTTCCTCAGAGCCTCCAATAAAAAATGCAAGAGTGTGGCTGGGCGCGGGGGCTCACGCCTGTAATCCCAGCACTTTGGAAGGCCGAGGCGGGCAGATCACGAAGTCAGGAGATCAAGACCATCCTGGCTAACACGGTGAAACCCCGTCTCTACTAAGAAAAATACGAAAAAATTAGCCAGGCATGGTGGCGGGCGCCTGTAGTCCCAGCTACTCTGGAGGCTGAGGCAGGAGAATGGCGTGAACCCGGAAGGCGGAGCTTGCAGTGAGCCGAGATCGCGCCACTGCCCTCCAGCCTGGGCGACAGGGCGAGACTCCGCCTCAAAACAAACAAACAAAATGCAAGAGTGATGGAGTCAGTGCATTACTACCTGAATACAACACACTTTTCAAGCTACATAAACTTCATGCTTTCCTCGTTTTATAAAAGTCATCTCCTCTGCCTTGAAAACTCTCCCCATTGTTATTAATCTGCCTGAAAATTTATCTTCATCCTCAAGTGTCTACTCAAATGGTCTATTAAATGAGTTCTTCCCAGATGATCCCAGATAATGAGTACCACTTTTTAAAATTAGATTTCTAGATACTTTCATTATTGTAATCCACTTTTATAGGAAATTTTTGTTGTTGTGTATCTCCTTACTAAACGAACATTTTTTTGTTTTTGAATCTGCATCAATTGTTGAACACATATAGAATATATTAAATACATACAAGCTAATGAAGTAACACATGAATGCATCTCAGACCACTTATCCTAAAACAACCATTTTTTTCTTTCATTCTGTCAAATACTTTTTCTCTAATATCCTATACTTTTGTTACTATTCATGGATTTTATCTATTTATAGTTATTTTCTTACTGATATGCAATTATTTTCTATGTATAGTGTATCACATATCTGGCAAAATTTTGTTTGGTTTGCATAATATCTTTTTATTTTATTGTGAATGACATTATAGAACTTTACAGATGAAATAAAATCTGTCGGCCGGCTGCGGTGGCTCGTGCCTGTAATCCCAGCACTTTGAGAGGCAGAGGCGGGCAGATGACGAAGTCAGATCAAGACCATCCTAGGCCAACATGGTGAAACCCTGTCTCTATTAAAAATACAAAAATTAGACGGGCGTAGTGGTGCGTGCCTGTAGTCCCAACTACTTAGGAGGCTGAGGCAGGAGAATTGCTTGAACCCGGGAGGCGGAGGCTGCAGTGAGCCGAGATCGCGCCACTACACTCCAGCTTGGGCTACAGAGGGAGCCTCTGGAAAAAAAAAAAATCTGGCTAGGCGCGGTGGCTCACGCCTGTAATCCCAGCAATTTTGGAGGCCGACGCGGGCGGATCACGAGGTCAGGAGATTGAGACCATCCTGGGTAACACTGTGAAATCCCATCTCTACTAAAAAAATACAAAAAATCAGCCGGTGGGCACCTGTAGTACCAGCCAGTCCGGAGGCTGAGGCAGAAGAATGAGGTGAACCCGGGAGGCGGAGCTTACAGTGAGCATAGATAGCACCTCTGCACTCCAGCCTGGGCGACAGAGCGAAGACTCCGTTTCAAAAAAAAAAAAAAAAGGCATTTATATGTCCATTCTTCCACTTATGCAGCCCTACTTAATTATTGTCATTACAAAATGATGCTTATCCTTCTGCTAAATTTCTCTGAGTATTTCTAATATTTATGCTTACAGATAAAATTGAATTATTTTTAATCAAAGTCCAAAAATACATCATTAAATTTATTTTTTCAAAAGAAAAGACAAAAAATTTTTTAATTTATCCAATGCTCCTTTTAAATCCCTAATTGAAAAATACATTTTATTCATTCATTATATATAATGAATTCATTTTATTGAATTAATAAAATGATTTTATTAATGAATAAAATGTATATATAAATATATGGATATTTATTTTTAATGAATTTTTGGCTAATTTTTTGCTAATTTTATTTTTATTATTATTATTTTTTTTGAGACGGGCTCTCTCTCTGTGCCCAGGCTAGAGTGCAGTGGTGCGATCTCGGCTCACTGCAACCTCCATCTCCTGGGTTCGAGCGAGTCTTCTGCCTCAGTTTCCCAAGTAGCTGGGACTACAGGCATTTGCCACCATGCCCAGCTAATTTTTGTATTTTTAGTAGTGAGGGGGTTTCACCATATTGGCCAGGCTGGTCTTGAACTCCTGACCTTGTGATCCACCCATTTCAGCCTCCCAAAGTGCTGAGATTACAGGCGTGAGCCACCATGCCCGGCCACTAATTTTTTTTTTTTTTTTGAGACAGAGTCTCCCCCTGTTGCCCAGACTGTGGTGATGTCATTGCAACCCCCACCTCCCACGCTCAAGTGATTCTTGTGCCTCAGCCTCCCGAGTAGTTGGGATTACAGGCATGTGCCACCACAGCCGACTAATTTTTTTTATTTTGCAGTAGACAGGGTTTCTCTATGTTGGCCAGGCTGGTCTTGAATTCCTGGCCTCAAGCGATCTGCCCACCTCGGCCTCCCAAAGTGCTGGGATTACAGGCATGAACCACCATGCCCAACCAAGAGTTAATGTTTCTTTTAAAATAAATCAAAAGAGCAAAACTTATCTGACAGCAATTGACAAAAGAAAACAGCAGTCTACTATTAAACATAATAAAATTTAAGGCAAAATTATTTTATTTGGGATTTTGGATTTCCTTGTGTTTTCTCATCTTACTTAAACCTGCTTCCTTTCTATGCCTGCACTTCTCACCATCACTTTTCCCACTACAAGCTTACTGCTCCAGTTTTTTAAAAAGTCATGGCTCTTCTGTCTTTTTTAGTGTAAAAAGGGGAAATTTTCTAATTTTCAGTTTCTTGTGTTACATTCTTTTCATAAGTACATTCTTTTTGAATCCTAAATATTTCGTTGTTAGATGATTGTTCAAAATCAGTTTGCTCATTCATGACTATAGAAAGATGTAGATTTAAGCCCTGGTTTTTGCAACAGAAAAGCCAGATGGCCCACAGCTTATCCCAGTTTCTACTTGAACACAATAAGCTTTCTTTTTCTCTCAACTTTATCCAGGAAGAACCATTTTATATACAGATTTCTGATCCAGTCTCCAGGGTTTCCAAGGCATTAATCAAGCATGGCTTTACTGGACAAATGTAGGGCCTTCTGTGTCTTTAATACTGGACTTTCTATGCCAGACAGTATCTTTGTTCTAGTTCTTCTTTGCACTGTTCATATCTCACTGGTTTAGATATAATTGCCTGCTGCAGCGTGATGACTTCCCTCCGTGAATCTTCCTCAGTTTCATTATTGATGGTATACCATGTACATGAGACAAAGATTTCTTTACTCTTCTTGAGGTCTCTCTATGCTGTTTGGTTCAGATAATATGGAGTTACCCATTGTAAACTCATTTACAGTGAAGTCAGTTGTAGCACTGATCTAGTTTGGCTGTGTCCCCACCCTAATCGCATCTTGAATTGTAGTTACCATAATCCCCATGTGTCGTGGGAGGGACCCAGTGGGAGGTAACTGAATCATGGGGGCTGTTACCCCCATGCTGCTGCTCTCGTGATAGTGAGTTCTCGTGAGATCTGATGGTTTTATATGGGTCTTTTCTCTCTTTGCTCTGTATTTCTCCTTCTGCCATCATGTGAAGAAGGATGTTGTTTGCTTCCCCTTCTGTTCCCCTTTTTTCCTTTATTTATTGATTCGAGTGTCATTCAGTTCAACATAAATTTTGTGAACAGCTGGTGTATGGTCAGCCCAAGGCTAAAACATTGTAAATGAATACATGGAGGACAGAAGTTTTGTGAACAGTGGGAGCAGAAGGCAAATCGCTGTAGACAGAGGAGAGAGCAAGAATGGACAACTTGCAAGAAGTTGAGCTATGTAGACAATGGGGTAAGAAAGCCAGGGGTGTTAGAGGAAGAGAAGTGCAAGTTGGATACCATAGCTTATAATGAGAATAGGAATTGGTAAAAATGTCAAGACAGGAGAAATCATATATGTTTAGAGGTTTAGTAGAGGAGCCATTTGACTTCTCTGTTCTTTTTGAGAAAGACGTGAATTGACAGAGATATAGGGAAAGTGTATTTGAAGTACAAGCAACAGCATGTATCTGGAAAACCAAAACACGGAGGGCATAAGTATGGGGGAACTGTGAATATTCCAACTTTGGCCACAACATTGGGTAGATACCATAGTTGCCCAGTAATGAAAACTTGTCTGAAAATGTATGTTTATGTCACACTGAGATAAAGAAGTATGTAATTAATTGGTTTATTTTAATCCCAATTATTGATTTTCCTGAATTATTGAGTATCATGAGACAATGGCCCATCTTAAGAAGTTCTAAGGAAGGTAGACTAATATGCAGGAAGGTATTTGTAACCCTCGAAACCCATTGGAGACACCTCACTAATGTATGGTAACCAGAATAATAGGAGGGTAGGAACTACGCCAATAATCAAAGTGATCCCTCCGCACGCCACTACCTAACTTCTTCAGCTTTGCTTAAACTTTGTCATCTGCTTGTGTGGCAGCAACTTCCTCCTAATAGTGTATGTTTACACTGAGTATTGGCACATAGTTTCTGCATCGTATAGAATTAAATTTCCTGTTTATTTTTAATTTTTGCTTTGTATTGTATTGTACTTTGGTTCACTTGTTTGTGTTTAGTCCAGATCATGATTCTAACCGGTTATAAAAATTTTGTGCATATGCTTCTTTTGAAATTTGTTTCTTGTTTGTATATCCACAGAATCCTTGAAAGATTCCTTTACCCAATGCCAAAAGAAATCCACTTAATACATTCCGCTGAGGCCTTTATATTAGTACACGTTAACTTTAAGTTGGAATATGCCACCGTGTGACATACTTTATGTGACAAGAAAAATGTTCTTAGAAAAGATTCTCATCTCAAGCAAGCTTTATACTGGAGACATTGTTTGCAATATCAGACTTCACTATTTTCAGCTCACAGTTTACTAAAGAGGATAATTGGAGAGGCATTCTAACATTAGTGGAGAAAAAGGCACTTGATGTTCATGACACTTGATAACAGAACCTCTGTATTTCTTAGTCTCTAGCACCATTTCATAGAATGAACTAAGTTATCAGAGGAGAGGAGATACACATTCGACCCAATTCTAAAAATTTAATATAATCAATATTTACTTATAAGGTACATTAATTATATTAATACATGGCAAGTCTCAAGATAAATTCTGAATAAAAATTTTTCAGTTAAATGTTGCAAATAATTTTTATCATTAAATTTTAAATACACAGATTATCTGTGTAACATATTAAAATGTATGTCATATAATGACAAAGGATTTCTCTATTGGAACATCTTTTATTTCACTGGCTTATTATTATTTCTGGTTGGTAAGTTTAAAAGACTACAATCTTTAATTTTATTTAGTTAAATGATTTGTTGTATTTTAAAATCAGTAGATAGTATATGTATCATCTTAGTCTTAATTTATAAATATATGACATTTCAATAAAATTCTTGAAGCCAATCAATAAAATTGATTAAGCTTTAAATTCTAGGCTGAGTCTAATTGATTATATTTCTTTATGATTCTTTAAGGGGAAAGCAGACACTTTCTTTTGTTTCAAGATGCCAATTTTCTTTTCCTCTTTTTTTTTTTTTTTTTTGAGACAGAATCTCGCTCTGTTGCCCAGGCTGAAGTGCAGTAGCACGATCTCCGCTCACTGCAAGCTCCGCCTCCTGGGTTCACGCCATTCTCCTGCCTCAGCCTCCCTAGTAGCTGGGACTACAGGCACCCACCGCCACGCCTGGCTCATTTTTTGTATTTTTAGTAGAGACGGGGTTTCAACGTGTTAGCCAGGAATGGTCTTGATCTCCTGATCTCGTGATCCGCCTGCCTCGGCCTCCCAGAGTGCTGGGATTACAGGCATGAGCCACTGTGCCCGGCCTCAAGATGCCAGTTTTCTAAAGTGAGAAAAATTAATTTTAAAAATTAAATTGTATGTTCAATATCTGTGTGAGATCAGGTAAACCATGTGTCTTAGAGAGGGAAAGGTTTGAAAGTATAATTTTTATAGTTTCTTATTTATCTATATTTTCCTATATGATTGTTGTTGAAATATCTTAAATTTATTTCACATTAAAATTGTCAAATATCTGAATTCATGAGCCACCTGTTGAAGACCACTGAAAGAATATAAATAAATAAAATTGGTAGCTCATTGTTTTTCAATAACTTGTGAAGACTAAGCTCTGATTTTTTTATTTTGCCCAAATTCTTATCTAAGGGGTCTGGGGAGTCATCCCCTACTAACCATAAATTCTCATCAGATGGATTTTATTTAACCCTATATATCATGGCTTACTTTGCAATCTGACTCTGGCATAACATTATGTGACAAAGAAGAAAGTAAAAAAAATTTTACCCCAAAAGCAAGTTTCTTTGTCATATTTTGAAATGGTCCTGCAAAGCTGCCCTTTGTTGGGGGACATATGCATCTGTAAAGAATCTCTATTGACATAACTAGATCTTTTTCTTCCAAGCCCTCCCAATCCTGAAGAAATTAGTAGAAGTCTAGCACCTTTTAAGGTCTGAATAGGAAATATTTGTCATCTATTATCTCTAAGAGCAGCCACTATAAGACTTCAGAAGAACCTTGGTATCCACAATCTTTTAGCTTAACCTGGACATATCCTTTCCTTTGATCCCAGGTTTTTAGACAAACTCAACCAATTATCAATTGGAAAATGTTTAAATTTACCTATAGCCTGAAAGCACCCCCCACCCCTGCTTTGAATTGTCCCGCCTTTCTGAACCAAACCAATGTGTTTCTTAAATGTATTTGATTGATGTCTCATGTCTCCCTAAAATGTATAAAACTGACCTGCACCCTGACCACCTTGGGCACGTGTTCTCAGGATCTCCTTAGGGCTGTGTCATGTGCCATGGTCACTCATATTTGGCTCAGAATAAGTCTCTTAAAATATTTTACCGAGTTTGACTCTTCATCGACACTTGTTTTATTGAATGAACTGGATTTCCATTGTTAATATTACCCTAATGTAAAAAGCAGTGAAGTAACAGACTTTTTGTCAGCCTTTTACTTACAGAATAGATGACCCCATGATCTGAGCCCTAATTCCTAACAGGGGATGCTTTGGAATGAACAAATCAAGAGGTACCTTGAACTGGAGATTGGTCCTGCTTCATGGTAGCATTTTCCCAGAAAACATGTCTCCATAATAAAAAAGAGTGACTGAATAGCAGATGAAGATATCCAGTTATAAAGCCAAGAGATAAGCCACCCATTCCAGAATTGCTACTTCCTCCTTTATCTGCAATGATCAAGTGGCAACTGTGACAGTGTCAACAGGTTGTACAGTGCACAAAAGGGAGGTTCTGGCTGAGAACGGAAAGTCTGCAAATGATAAGAGAGCAAAAGGAAGAAGTCCTAAACTGAGGAGAAACTGTCCTTTAGGGACAGGAAAAGGAAAATGAGCAAGAAGAATAAAAGATTTTAAAAAGAAATGAAGCTGGAAATCTATCATCATAGCCTAATCCCTAAATACCCCGCAGATGTTAGAAGAATGCCAAGCATTCCTGAAGTTGATAGACACAGATATAGATAGGTAGGTAGATACATAGAGATAGATTAATAGATAGGCAGATACATACATACATACATGCATACATAGGTAGCTACATAGACACATAGATGTATTGAATTGTACACATACACATGTGTATATATCATATATACCTATGTATGAGAGAGACAAGTGAGATATTAAATTATAATTAGCTAAAGACCACTTACAATACCCTATACAAAGAGAAATATCTAAAGTGTTTTTGGATAATTAATTCCACATTCTTTAGCAACTCATCCAATTTCCCACTGGCAGAGATTCAGGGCAAAGACATTTCAAGCCATTTTACAATGAGTCTCAAAAAGCAGTAAAATACCTTTATTCTGAGCACCATTTTAAACTTTTTAGCAAGTTGATGCTACTGCGACTCTTATTCCTGTCACCAGAGAAGCAATTCAGAAGAATTGTTAATATTTCAGAAGTTGCTTAAACTTCCTGTAAAGTGATAGGCCTGACCTCCTGGGGTTAATGTGAGCATCATAACAGTTAATACACGTAAATGCTTGACATACGATAAATGCTATGTAAGTGTTAGCCATGATTAGTATTTTCATCACTCAAAAATGCCTCTTTTCTGTCTCACACCATATTTCCCTAAAGTGCTCTGCCATTTCTTTATCTTTAACCATACTTCCCACTCTTGCTCCAATATTTCTCTCTTTTATATTTTTATTCCTTCATATACTGCTTCCAATACCTTCCTACTCAAACAGAAAGCTGCCTCTGTCCTTTAAGAATACCTACTAGTAGTACCTGGAAAGATTATTTTTCAGACACTTACCGTAAGGTGGGGTGGGGTTAGCATTCACCTTTTTTCATGCTGCCATTTTTAAAACTACACTATCTCAGTCTCCTTATGTTCAGGATAACACCATTCATAATCTACCCCTTCTTCACTGGGCCTCATGCCATCATGTCCACATTTTTGAAATACACAAACACCTGTCATTTTCCTTGAGACCTCAGAGCCCTGTGCAGGTGTCATCCAGTTACCCAGCCTCACTCTTTCGTAACTGGTGCGTCAATGACTACCATCATCATTTATGTATTTCTCACCTTAATTAATGGGGAGGGGCCGGGTGCGGTGACTCATGCCTGTAATCCCAGCACTCTGGGAGGCCAAGGCGGGCGGATCACGAGGTCAGGAGATCGAGACCATCCTGGCTTACACGGTGAAACCCTGTCTCTACTAAAAATACAAAAAATTAGCCGGGCGTGGTGGCAGGAGCCTGTAGTCCCAGCTACTCAGGAGACTGAGGCAGGACAAAGGCGTGAACCCAGGTGGTGGAGCTTGCAGTGAGCCAGGGTGGTGCCACTGCACTCCAGCCTGGGCAACAGAGCAAGACTCTGTCTCAAAAAAAAAAAAAAAAAATTAAGGGGGAGCTTGCCTGAAGGAAATCATTTCCTAGTACTGAATTATGACATAAGTGCCTTTGCTGAGACATTTTATATATATGGGCCATTGAATTATGATACTCTTCAACAATATTTTTGTATTAGGCAACAAAATGGATTTCATATGACTATTTGTTGTATTGTTCTTTTATTAAAAGGAGTAGGTCATGGCCCCAAAACTTAATTCAAGGAAAGAAACTCTGTTGGAAACTAAGGCAATATAGTTCAACTTTGTAGCCTCCTGGTGATCTGATTTGACCGAGGCTAAAATTTATAATACCCAGAGGAGTGACAGCCTTCAAATGATTTTCTGTAAGTATTAAAGTTGAGGTGTTTATTAAATGTCCACTTCTGTTTGGTAACACTTTAAGATTTTCTAGTTATTTTGAAGACTCATAAAATTCTAAAAAAAAAAAAATCCTTAGTAAAAAATAGTTTCCTCAAAATAAATACATTGCTCACAATTTTAATGACTCATCATTAAAGCTAACAAGGAAAGGGGTATTATCTGTCTTAAACTATTTGTAACTGATAAATAAGAGGTTAAATTTTTCCCTACAGAGTTTTACTATTGAGCCATTATTCAATTATGAGAAAGAGTAAACTGAAATATTTGCCAAGTACTTATGATATGACAGATATAGTGCCAGGTTGTTTTACATATTGTATATCACTAAATGTCAGAATTAAACTTCTGAAAATCAAAGCTGGCTAAAAGTGGGTATTTAACTTCTGTGGACTTGTTGAAACCCAATACAGAGATGTGTCTACTTGGGATCATGAAATCAAATATTCAGAAGAAATGTATTTTTCATGCATATTCTGAAATCAGTGGCTGAAACCACAAGAAATAAGTGAACAGAGCTTATAAATATTGATTTATTGAGTTTATTCCCTTAGGTTCATATCATGGAGATGCTTAAAATACTTAAGCTAGAGTTATATTTAAAGTACTGCTATGTACGGATGTAATACAACTTATTTTACAGAGCTTCCCTTTGGGGGGCAAGAATTATTAACGTATGTGGTTATCCTGAGCTCCCTCTTTCTGTTTGCTAATGGGGATTCTGGCTTTGTCTGCTCAATTTCTTCCCCATTGCTCTTCTCTGAAAAGGCACTGCTGGTGGCTGACAGTGATATTCTCTTTCGTTATCTCCACATCAGTACAATGATAAGAGGAAACTGGAACAAAAAGGCAGGAGGGGTGGTAGGTAAAGATTGAGAACATGCATTTGAGTAAGGCCTAGGTGAGCTTTCTTCCAGAAAAGAAAAAATAAATACATAGTCAGGAGGCAATGACAAATTTTAACCAGAAGGATTTAAAGAAAGAGAGATATGGATAAAACGATATAAAGATGTGTGCGTTATATTTTATGTCTTATTCAGATATTACCAAAATACAAATACACTCGAGGTATTTTTACATTATGTTTCATTATAATAGAATGATTTATATTCCTATGAGTATATACCCAGGAATGAGATTGCTGGGTGAAATGGCAATTCTGGTTCTAGGTCTTTTAGGAATTGCCACACTGTCTTCCACAATGGTTGAACTAATTTACATTCCCACCAACAGTGTAAAAGCATTCCTATCGCGTCTGTTTTTTGCTTCACTATTCACAATAGCACAGACAGGGAATCAACCCAAATGCCCATCAATGATAGACTAGAAAAAGAAAATGTGGTACCTATACACCATGGAATACTATGCGGTCATAGAAAGGAACAAGATCATGTCCTTTGCAGGGACATAGATGGAGCTGGAAGCCACTGTCCTTAGCAAACTAACACAGGAACAGAAAACCAAACACCGCATGTTCTCACTTCTAAGTGGAAGCTGAATAATGAGAACACAAGCACACAGGGAGGGGAACAAAACACACTGGGACCTACTGGGGGGTTGGGGGGAAGGAGAGCATCAGGATAAATAGCTAGTGCATGGGGGCCTTAAAACCTAGGTGATAGGTTGATAGGGGTAGCAAACCACCATGACACACGTTTACCTATGTAACAAACCTGCACGTCCTGCACATGTATCCCAGAACTTAAAATTTAAAAAAAAAAAAATTACATTTCACCTTTTTTAAAACAGAGTGTTGTCATGCTATATCATGTGGATCCCATCATTATAGGCATTATGTACTCTAATAAGATGGCAAGAGAAAAAATGTTTAAGCTGTTCAGGCTGGAGGTAAAATGGAAGAGTTGAGGCTGGCCTTGGCTGACAGTCAGTTGAGTCTGGACTCTGGCCCTACCTGGCCATGTCTATGGATAAGTTTCTGAACTTCTTTTCTTCAAAATATAACCAGGCTAAGAGCAGCCTGATGGGAGTCCGACTGAGCAGGGTTTGAATCCCAGCTTTGCCATTTAGCATGATGAGATGTGAGTTAAGTTACTTAATTCAAGCCCCACGTCCTCATCTTTAAATGCAGACAACAGTATCTACCTTCAGGTTGTTGTCAGGATTAATATAATTTATGTAAAGAATTTTACCCAACATTTGGCATATATTTGTATACAGTAATTGGCGTATCTTTGGTATAAAATAAATGTTACAAAACATGAGTATTTTCCTTGTTATTGGTGTGGTACCTTGCATTTTCAAGTTGTCTTAGTCCATTCACATTACTATAAAAAAACACCTTAGACAGGATAATTTAGACAACTATAAAACAGAAATTTATTGCTCACAGTTCTGGAGGGTGGGAGTTTAAGACTGAAGTGTCAGCAGATTTGGTGTCTGGCGAGAGCTTGCTCTCTACTTCATAGATGGTGACTTCTGTGCTTCCTTACTTGGTGGAAGGGGCTAGGGAGATTTTGGAGGCCTCTTTTATAAAGGCACCAATCCCATTCATGAGGGCTCTGCCAGTCACATTCTAAAGCCTTCATCTCTTAATACTATTGCATTGGAGATTAAGTTTCAACACATGAATTTTAGAGACACAAACATTTAGACCATAGCACAAGTCGACATGTTTCTCTTTTGTTTAGATTTGCTGAGAGAGAGAAATGGAGAGACAGATTGAGATTCAGTAAAGGGTAAAGTTACTGAAGTTGTAAAAGTATATTCAAGAGCATTATATGGGAAATGTATAGGGCATTGCAGCAAATAAAATATAATATGGATACTGTGAATGATTTCTAAAAATTCAAGTTTACAAAATACATATTTTGAAGACTTGAACTGTTTGAAACATTTAATCCTTGTAGATCATGAGTGGAAGAACAGATTCTCTAAGTAGTGAAGAGAAATAGAGCAGTGGTCCCCAACCTTTTTGGCATCAAGGACTGGTTTTGTGGAAGACAATTTTTTTCACAGACATGGTGGTGGTGGGGATGGTTTCAGAATGATTCAAGCCCATTACATTTATTGTGCACTTTATTTCTATTATTATTACTTTGTAACATATAATGAAATAGTTATACGACTGACCATAATGTAGAATCCCTGGGAGCCCTGAGCTTGTTTT
Source organism: Homo sapiens (assembly GCF_000001405.40). Classification (NCBI taxonomy): domain Eukaryota; kingdom Metazoa; phylum Chordata; class Mammalia; order Primates; family Hominidae; genus Homo; species Homo sapiens. The sequence continues at coordinate 4,766,414 of NT_187660.1, read as the reverse complement.
CCTGCAACTAGATGTTCCCACCTGGGGGCAATGGGAGACAGTGACAGATCATCGGTCATTAGATTCTCATAAGGAGCACACAACCTAGATCCCTTGCATGCTTAGTTCACAATAGGGTTCATGCTCCTATGAGAATCTAATGCTGCTGCTGATCTGACAGGAGGAGGAGCTCAGGGGGTAACACGAGCCATGAGGAGCAGCTGTAAATACAGATGAAGCTTCGCTCACTCAGCCGCCACTCACCTCCTGCTGTGGAGCCCAGTTCCTAACAGCTATGGACTAGTATGGGTTTGGAGAGCCCTGAAATAGAGGATATCCAGCAAGCCTTTTAAAAGAGTGAATTATTCCATTCCAACCTCTGGAATATAAAAGATAAATAGTCTCTCAGGAATTCACACTGTGTGGCCTTTTGCATTAAAGCAATCACCTAAGTTATCTGGAGCTTCATGTACATGGGTCAGATGTTGCTGGCATTGTCCTAACTCTGCATGGCTGCTCTCAAATCAGTCCTTCATCACCTCCATGAGATTCATGCCGTGAGACCCTAATTTCCTTCATTTTTTCAAAGATGTCTATCTTCCAGGAGGACACATCTGCATTTTTAAGGAAAACTCTGGCTACAGGCCATCAGATGATTTTCCCCTTGCCAACACTCTGGGTAACGTTAGCGCATTTGTGCAAAATACATTCAACACCCTGGCCTTACACCTTTTGATCTCCTTATCTTCAATAACATGTATTTCTACTCTAATTTAGGCACCCACATTCATTGCCTCATCAGGAATGATGATATCTTCTGTAGTTATTCACATTGTATTTTTGAATTCCAGTGGCCCTCTCACCTTTGACTTCAATACCTGATTCTTTTAGTTCTTTAAAATTTTTATTTTCTCTTCACACATTATTTGATCTCCTGCAGAACACTATTTTCTTCCACCTTTGCCTCAGTTATTTACCAAATATCTCTCCTTCTTTTTTTATTTTTTTCTTTTGAGATAGAGTCTTGTTCTGTTCCCTAGGCTGGAATGCAGTGGTGCAATCTTGGCTCACTGCAACCTCTGCCTCCCAGGTTCAAGCAATTATCCCGCCTCAGCCTCCCGAGTAGCTGGGATTACAGGCACCTGCCAACACGCCCAGCTAAGTTGTGTATTTTTAGTAGAGACGGGGTTTCACCATGTTGGCCAGGCTGGTCTCGAACTCCTGACCTCAGGTGATCCAACCACCTCGGCCTTCTAAAGTGCTGGTATTACAGGTGTGAGCCACTGCACCCCGCCAACCAAATATCTCTTAAGCACCTCAAGTGCTTTACAACATGGAATGCCAGAATACACCAATTCCAAGCCAAATCTACACAGGAGTGAAAAATTCTGTTTAGATAAATGCAACTATTCAAACACATGCTTTCAAATAACACTTCCTCCTTAGTGCTGAGGGCCATCTTGATACTTTGTTAAAATGATTCAATCAAGAGACAGAATAGAGAGATTGAGGGAGAGTGTGATGCTTTCTTTAATGCCCTGATCCTGAGTTAGATGTATCAGCAGTGTGTCCTGGAGCTTTTTCTAAACCTCCTGTTTCCACATCTACCACCTTCTATCACACTGGATTCTTTACATAGTTTCCACCACGACACTGTAAATGTTAAGGATGTCAAATCAAGATTGAATCTTGGTTTTTCCATTGCCTTTATATTATAGCAAAGTACCTGGTACATAGTTTATAGTTAATAACTATCATCTAAGTGGATTAGTTACCCTACATTATCTTCCCAAATAAATGCCAATTTCAAATAAATACCAAATTTTGCCAACTCTCTATTCAAACCCACATCTTTCATTTTCAGGAAATGACATATTCTCTTTAATGAAAATAAGGACATAAAGTATCACCTACCATTATGTAGCCAGTCCCACCCTCCTATAAACTTACCTATAATTGGGTGATGAGTGATCCTTCCTCTTAATTAATGTAATTTTTCACTTGTAGAATTGATCTAGCTCATGCCTTCCATTATATCTTGTATCTTTCCCCATTTGTTATTGTGTCTCATATCTCTGCCTTCAGCCCTTCCCACTTCTCTATCTCTTATTTTGCCTGTAAACATGATTGAGGCAAAATGATTGAGGTAGAATGACATAACCAAAAAGAGGGTAATTTCAGAATTTCATTCCAATGTGAGAGAGCTCCAGTGGGCCCTTTTATCTTCTAAAATCACCCTCTTTTTTGTTATGCTATTCTCTAGCTTCCAACTACATTTTTTTTTTAAAGAGGTGGGGTCTCGCTACATTGACCAGGCTGGTCTTGAAATCCTGACCTCAAGTGATCCTCCCATCTTAGCCTCCCCAAGTGCTGGGATTACAGGCGTGATCCATCACAGCCAGGCCCCAACTACTATCTTGCTGACCCTTTTCTAATTCTCTTCTTTTGAAAGGAGTTTTCAATTTGCTACTTTACTTCCTAATATCCCATTCATGCATCAACCCAATGTAGAGTAGCTTCTATTCTAATTACTCTACCAAAGCTGTTCTTCCATACCGTTCACTCCTTTCACTCAAAGTACCCCATATTTTTGAAGAATGGTATCATTCATGATACAATGTTCTCTAGTAAGCAGATTTGGACATGGAGATATATACTAGGGAGTGCCCTTGGATTACTACCTGTGAAAAGGAGAAGAAGGAAGCTGGATTGAGGGAAAGGGAAAAAGCTGGGCTGAAAAGAAGTCCTGGACCACAGCTTTGGCTCATCTCACAGGGGACTTTGAAGTTAAAATGGCCCACTGGCATCCTTTCACATTGCAATGACATGACTGAGTCTTTATAGGCCCCAAGTCCCCTCCCCACCTCTTTCACCTGCCTCCTTGCCTCACCTCAATCAGTCGTTGCATATGCGCCACAACTGGGAACCTCAGGACCTTAGGCAGGGGGAAGCTCTGCAGCTGAGGTGACGTCTGAAGGGGCTCACAGCTGAGTCCTGTCTACTGACACAGCTCTCAGGGAGGACCTAGGTGATGCATCTCTGTGTGTATCATATATATGAGTAATGATATTAGAGGTTTTATAATTTAACCTTTTTTCTCCTTTTTATCTTTAATCTTCACTGTATTTCAGTCATGGTCTTCAGGTTTCAAAGTGACCTTTAAGATTCAGCAAAGAATATACAGCTTTTTAAACATGGGGAATAAAACAAGAACAATGTGATAGCATAGTGTAATGGTGCCATAGAAATAAACAATAAAAAAGAATTTAAAGAGAGAACCAGGAGTCAATTTCATAAATGCCACCATTACATTACTTAGGTTAAGCTTTTGAATTTATCTAGAGAAATGTCATTGGCCAAAACATTAACATTTATAGAGGAATGCAAAAGTGCAAAATTAAAGTTCCTAAGAATCAAGTCCAGAAAAATAGAAAATGTGTAAAGGCTATTGTTCTCAGTTTGGCAAATAAAATTAAAAAAATAAGCAAATCCAGAACTGGCTAATTTCAAATAACGTTTCTAGTATTTCCCACACATTTTTTTTACATATTTTAAAATCACTAATACAGCATTACATTTTTAAAAGGCATATTTCAATACCTTACCTTGAAATCATAAGATGCATTTGTTCAATGAAATCTTACAGTAAAGCAGCATAAAAAATATAAATTGTACAGTGTGATATAAATGCAAACTATTTGATGTTCAATTTAATCATTTTTTTCAGGAACCTAAATGTTAGTTATTTATTATTACTTTAACGACTTAATATTAATTACAATGAAAAGAATATTGCCTTTGAGATCTTCCATTAATGATTCAGTTCCCAGGCCCTGATTTCTTTATAAACTTCTAAATTCTTAAGAGAGAAATGTACTTGGCTCAAATTTAATCATGTTAGAATACAGGTTCTGTATCAACTTAGTTTTTGTAGACACTATATGATATAAGAAGACAATGTTTAATTTTATGTCAATTTCTTGCATAAACTTGTTCAATTAATTCATTCAATAAATAGTCATTGAGTTCATATCATGTCCCAGGTACTTTTTTTTTTTTTTTTTTTGAGATGGAGTCTCACTCTGTCGCCCTGGCTGGAGTGCAGTGGCACGATGTCCGCTCACTGCAAGCTCCGCCTCCCGGGTTCACGCCTTTCTCCGGCCTCAGCCTCCAGAGTAGCTGGGACTACAGGCGCCCGCCACAACGCCCGGCTAATTTTTTTGTTATTTTTAGTAGAGACGGAGTTTCACCGTATTAGCCAGGATGTTTTTGATCTCCTGACCTCAGGATCCTCCCTCCTCGGCCTTCCAAAGTGCTAGGATTACGGCGTAAGCCACTGCACCCAGCCATCCCAGGTACTATTAAAAGCACTGTTATTATATGGTGAAAAAGACGGACGGGGTCCCAGTACATACTTTATATGGAACATACTGATGTCTTTTCTAAAACCTCTAGTCTCTGATTTGCCTATATAAAGAGTGACAAGTTTTATTTTTACTTTCTGCAAAAATTCAGTTTCTTGTTGTTTTATCATCATACATACAACTTTTATTCAAATATTCATCTAAGGGCCAGGTGCGGTGATCTCTACTAAAAATACACAAAATTTTAGCCGGGCGTAGTGGCGGGCGCCAGTAGTCCCAGCTACCCGGGAGGCTGAGGCAGGAGAATGGCGTGAACCCGGGAGGCAGAGCTTGCAGTGAGCGGACATCGTACCACTGCACTCCAGCCTGGGCGAGAAAGCGAGACTCTGTCTCAAAACAAAACAAAACAAAAATTAAAAAGAAAACTCGATATTAGGGATTTCACAGTGCTGTAGACTGAATGATAGTGCCCCCCAAAATTCAGCTGTTGAAATGTAACACCCATATGATGATATTTGCAGGTGGGACCTTAGAGGGAGGGGATTAGATCATGACGGTAGAGCCCTCATGAATGGGATTAGTGCACTTATAAAAGAGTCCCCGGAGAGACTCTTGCCCCTTTCACCAAGTGAGGATGCAGGGAAGAGATGGCAATTCATGAATCAAGAAGCAGGTCCTCACCAACTCTTACGGCACTTTGATCTAGGACTTCCTGCCCTCTAGAACTGTGAACAACAAATTTCTATTGCCTATAATCCACCAATTTATGGTATTTTGTTATAGCTGTTTAAATAGATTAAGACACCTAGGATGGGAAACCCATTAATACTGTAATAGAGAGATGAGCTTTCTCTTCCTCTAACTACTTTTAAAGTCTAAGATAATTAGGAAATGATGTTTTGTGTAGCTATATTTTGATTTAAAATTATCTGCCTCAATTAGTGATGAACTAACTTGATTTTGTGCCTGAGTTTTAATAACTGTGATATTTTGAATCAATGTGAGTTATTTGATCAGTTCAAAATATCCAAAAAAAATTTGTCTGGTTAAGATCATGTGCATCTCCATGATGGGATTAGTGTTCTTATAGGAAGAGAAAGTGAGACCATAGCTCTCTGTCTTTCTCTATTTTGTGCCATGTGAAGACATTGTCAGAAGGCAGGAGCCTGTAGTCTAGGAAGGGGGCTTTCACCAGGGACTGAATCTGCCCGAACCTTGTGGAGGATTTCCCAGCCTCCAAAACTGTGAGAAACAAATGTGTGTTGAAGACACCAGTCTCTGGTATTCTGTTATGGCAGCTTGAGCTGCCTAAGATACAATGATAATATAAAAATATTAACAAGATTAGCCTGGGCACCATAAGAAGACCCCAGCTTTAAAAGTAATACAAATAATAATAATAACAACAAACTAAAACATTTTGAAATTTTAAGTGATAATTTTTCATTAGATACAGAATCACCTACTTAGAAAAATACAGATCCCAGGGCAGGGCGCAGTGGCTCAGCCTGTAATCCCAGCACTCTGGGAGGCCGAGGCGGGCGGAACACGAGGTCAGGAGATCAAGACCATCCTGGCTAACACGGTGAAACCCCGTGTCTACTAAAAATACGAAAAATCAGCAGGGCGTGGTGGCGGGCGCCTGTAGTCCCAGCTACCCGGGAGGCTGAGGCAGGAGAATGGCATGAACCTGAGAGGCGAAGCGTGCAGTTGAGCTGACATCGTGCCACTGCACTCCAGCCTGGGCGACAGAGCGAGACTCCGTCTCAAAAAAAAAGAAAAAGAAAGAAAGAAAGATACAGATCCCAAACTCTATTATACTTAATATTTCTTCTAAAATGTTCATCATTTTGAGGATTAAGATTTCTTAATGCATCTGTACAAACACACATGCATATATTCACACAAATAACTATAGTCATTTTATCAACGTTTTGTTTTGACTTATTTATTTAAAAATATTAAATGTATTTTATAAATGAAGAATGCGTGTATTTATTTATTTATTTATTTATTTATTTTTATTTTTATTTTGAGACGGAGTCTTGCTCTTTCGCCCAGGATGGAGTGCAGTGGCGTGATCTCCGCTCACTGCAGGCTCCGCTTCCGGGGTTCATGCCATTATCTGGCCTCCAAAAGTGCTGGGATTACAGGCGTGAGCCACTGCTCTGGGCCTCATTCAAGTATATTTATATAGGAATGTCTGAAATACTGCCACCTAATGTTTAGCAATTATTTTCATTTCTGAGCAGTAGAATTTGAGTGATTTTTATTACTTTTGATTCTGCAATGTGATGTATTCTTTTTTTCATAATGTCTTTCGTATTTATTAAAAGGTTAATTAAATCATCCTAAGAATATTTTATGCATATTTTTGTTAAAATAGGATGTTTAACAGTCAAAATTCTCCATTTACTAAATCTTTCTCAGTCAATGCTTCAGACTTACCTTTTCTACATTTACTAATAAAAAATTTAATTTCAATGTTATATAATAGAAGAACACAGAGTATCTATTTTAAATTTTACCTCCACAAACATCTTTAACCAGAAAATGAAATAAGCACTTAAAATATCAAATAAAATACTAGTTTTCAGGTCTGTTGCTTTGAAAATATGCTTCCTCGTTGAGCAATATCTGAATTTTTATTACTATACCAGGGTATAGATGAAATATCTAACTAGTATACTTTTAAATTAAAACTGCAAAAAATATAGAGAGAATTCAGTAGTGCTTATTCAGCATGTAAAACATTTTGCCTATTACATTCTTCATGTTGATGGTAGCTATGGCTAAAGTTTGTAGATACTTGGTTTCGTTAGCTTTTAGAGTTGCTTAGGTTAAATATGCTATAATATACCAGTCCCTGCTGGCTTTGAACTACTTCGAATTCTTAGAAGTGAAGTAACATAGTACAAACCTATAGAAAATATGATAAATGTACCACGAATGACACAAAATATTTTCTGCAGGTCACATAAGGAGTCATTCTCTATTTTGTCAATTTCCTTAGTTAATTCAAAAGCTCCCGGCCAGGCGCAGTGGCTCAGGCGGGTGCACACCTGCAATCCCAGCACTTTGGAAGGCCAAGGCAGGTGAATCACAGGGTCAGGAGGTCGAGACCATCCTGCCCATCCTGGCTAACACAGTGAAACCCCGTCTCTACTAAAAATACAAAAAATTTGCCAGGCGTGGTGGTGCCCGCCTGTAGTCCCAGCTACTTGGGAGGCTGAGGCAGGAGGATGGTGTGAACCCAGAAGGTGGAGTTTGCAGTGAGCCGAGATCCTGACACTGCACTCCAGCCTGGGCTACAGAGCGAGACTCCGTCTCAAAAAAAAAAAAAAAAAGTTCCCAATGCATGAATCAATCAAGAATTTCACCCCCAACAGTGAAAAAAAAATGTGAAAGCAGTCAGGTTTTAGTCACTGTAAATCACAATTTCAATTCCACCCCATCCAAAGAAAGCTATGTATGTCCTTCTCATTCCAAATACATACAGGCCATGAGTTAATAATCTTTCATTCTTCTAAAATACCAACAGATTTGCTTTTTTACTTTCATTTGTAGTTTATAGTACTCACAATTAAATTGACCCAAATGTTTTTGAGGTATGTATCTAAATATATATATATACATGGATCAAAGGTCAATGCTATTGTCTATGCATTAGCCACTCCCATTTATGAGAATTTTCTAAACTTGTTGCTTTATATCTCTTAAATGGTGTCAGTTGGCCACATTTATTTCCTGAGAAACAACTGAGCAGCTGACAATGAAAATGAAGCTCTCTGCATTCCTCTTAGGCATACTGCATACATCTTAGGCTCTCTGCATTCCTCTTAGGCATACTGCATACATCTTAGGCTCTCTGGATGCCTCTTAGGCACTTAACGCTTACATGTATTTGTATCTCATTACATAGTGATACAGTCCTAAAATAAAGTAAATAATGAGTTATTTTCTAGACTAATTTGATGAGGCTTTTATTTGATAACAAATTAAAATTATGCCACCAGATGCCTATACTTTGACTTATAAAATGTGTTGTGTTCTGCATGGGCAAACAGAAAGTGCAGAAATTGAACGGCTGCCTGGTAAAATTACCTAAATCCACAATGCCACTGGACAACATTGAACTAGATATTTAAATAAGTGAAAGTAATCAAGTAGTTGAGTTCACTGATAAAATTATACTTGGAATCTTACATCATTCCCAGATTAATATATACAATGTATATCAAATGTCATTGCTATGGGAATGGAAACTGTTACACATGAGGCTAAATTTTTATAAAGAATTTTTTTTTCCTCTAGAACTGACCTTGAGAAACTTGATATCCTCTGTTTATGGCAAGTCTTAAGAAAATGTCAACCCAATGTCAAAGGATAATTAATTTTTTTAAAGAAAAGAAAATTAATGGTTCTCATACAAATGTAAAATGAATATATGTTCATGATTTTATTTAACTGATTAATAAATAAGAGTACCACAGGATGTTCTGACTGGTTCAAAGGAGAATACAAAGAGCAGAGAATATACAGGCAGACATTCATGCTGAAATGAATTTGCTTAATAAAGGCAAAATTAGCCAATATCTATAGGGTGACAGTGAAATATATCTACACTGGATAATTTGTATTTTCATGGACAGGAATTATTTGCAATTTACACAGTTGTGAAATAGGTAAAACAAACAAAAAGTGAAAGGTTCAGAAACCCCATACAATCAGTTAAACTAACATTTAGTTTTCCACTGAAAATAGTAATTTTTTGAGACCATTTCAAAGTTTTTCTTAATTTTTCTCTGCTCTAAAAAAGTCTATAAATTATTTCCAATGAACATTAGAGCTTTTTCTTTGTTGAATTAGTATTTTTAAAAATTTATGGAAGGAGACAGAGCATAAAAGCAGTCGCCAAGTTTATCAATTAAGTCGGTACGATTACAAATCCCAATTGAGAAATATTTTTAAGTATATTTTTCTTTCCAAGACAAATAGACATTAAACAGTCCTAATGTTAATATCCTTTATGTTACATATATATGTATAGATGTATAAGTATATGTATATCCTCATGTATATAAAAAGTTACAAACACATAGTTATTTCAGAGAATTATTTATGCAAATGTGTTGGGTTTTCTTTTTGTGAAGCTATGTTATCAAGAAGTTATTCTTAGTTTTACAGAAAATAAAACAGCTCTAGCTCTTTGTATCATAAGATAAATATCTGTTTATAAATATCAGTATTTTCTAATACTTCTAATGTACTCTTTTGGAGGTAATGGTATATGAAACCCTATAAGAGCAATTCTACTTCATTAATTAATTCGGAAGAAACACAAGTTTTTAAGGCCCAGTGTATACCAACAATTGACAAAGTCATTAAGGTAGACAAAGATGGGCAGAGCCTGGGCTTTGGCTATGAATGTTAGAAAATGAATCACTGAAAGTAAAACATGTTTAAAAGATTAAAATAACAGAAAATGGTTTGAAATTAAATTCAGTTATTGGCCATCAATTGGTCAGAAAGAGTAATTAAGAATTAGTCAAAGCTTTTTTCTCTTCATTTAGGTCAAATATGTCATAAAAATAGTCAATTTTAGCTTATTATAAGTTGATTATGTCAAAATGGTTGAACGACATGTCATTGAAATTAATCTTTAGCTTGTAATGCTATCATTTCAGTTTTAATTAATATTGGGGCCAAAATGTTCATTAGATACTGTTTTTAATGATCAGTTTTTATGCAAATGATTTATATAAGTCAGAACTTCAATTCAATGTTTGGTAGCTGTTTGATTTTTAGGACATTATATATTGAAATGTACACTGATTATCCTAAAGTTGTAAATATTTAAGAAACTTTTCAGCAAAAAGTCTAAAATAAAGATATATTTATATTATTTCCAAAACAGAAAATTTAAATTGATTCCCTAGTCAAAGAAACTGTTTGTAAATAAAATGTAACAAGCTATATATTGCTTGGCCCCCAGACATTTTAAAGTCACTTTTCCTTTTTATATACATGTTCTAATATTATAAACAGTGAGCTCAGAAATATCCTAGTTTGTCTTTTGTGTATTTTCAGCAGATTGTGCTGTTTCAAATTCTATTATTTTACTCCAATTCTTTTGTTCACATATTGCTGTTTTGCTAGCGTTTTTCATATTTTAAAATACATTACTATATTGTATATAGTAATATTGTGTTTCTATTTCTCTTTCTTCATGTTTTATTTTGTTCCATAACCTTTGGCTTGTCCTTTTTATTCCATATTCCCATTTGTAGGTGTAGTTTTCAAAGGTGCTTTTCTTATTTACACAAACATAAGACTTTTGTGCCGGGCGTGGTGGCTCACGCCTGTAATCCCAGCACTGTGGGAGGCCGAGACGGGCGGATCACGAGATCAGGAGATTGAGACCATCCTAGCTAACACGGTGAAACCCCGTCTCTACTAAAAATACAAAAAAAAAAAAAATTAGCCAGGCGTGGTGGCAGGGGCCTGTAGTCCCAGCTACTAGGGAGGCTGATGCAGGAGAATGGCGTGAACCCGGGAGGCGGAGCTTGCAGTGAGCCGAGATCGCGCCATTGCACTCCAACCTGGGCGACAAAGCGAGACTCCGTCTCAAAAAAAACAAAAAAAACAAAAAACTTTTGAACCAGAATATTCTGAATGAGATCAAAGTCAAAGCTCAAACATTTCTTAAAAATGAGGTTTTTCTGAGTTGGGAACCAGAGTCATCTTCTATTGCCTGATGCAATAGGCATTGAGAATAGAACTTGTGACAACTCTCTATGCATTAACAATAGAAAAAATGGGATAAGATAGAGGCAAGGAACATACATTCAGGGAGCAAGAAGAAACACTGAGGAACTAATAGAAATTGTGCTTATCAAAATAAACTTACCAAGGTATGGTACCAATTCTCCTTTTTTTGTTCAGTCCATAATAGAGTTCTTAATGCTTTCAATTTTTTTCTTATTAATAATTTTCCTAAATATATTTTATTTGTTTGTTTGTTTGTTTTTTACATGGTGTCTCGCTTCATCACCGAGGCTGGAGTGCAGTGGCGCGATCTCGGCTTACTGCACCCTCCGCCTTGTGGGTTCAAGCAATTCTCCTGTCTCACCCACCTGAGTAGCTGGGACTACAGGTGCCCGCCACCACACCTGGCTCATTTTCGTATTTTTAGTAGAGACAGTATTTCACCTTGTTGGTCAGGCTGGTCTGAACTCCTGACCTCAGGTGATCCACCCGCTTCGGCCTCCTAAAGTGATGGTATTACTTCTGTGAGCTACTGCGCCTGGCCCTAAATCTATTATTTAAAAATCCACCTGTACAATTGGTATTCACAGAAATCTCCCATATATGTTATTATTTTATTCTCATAACTCTCTATGCCAAGTATAGATACATTATTGATGTGGAAAATTAGATCACAGAGATAAAGTGACTTTCCCAAGGTCAGTGCAGAAAGGGAAAAGTGAAAATTTGAAATTGTACCTGAAGAGTAAGAGCAAAGGGGTTAAGGAGTTATTCATAGATCTTTGTGCCTCAGAGGTCCTTACTGAGAGTTTTAATCCAAATGGTTTGGTAAATTTGGGGCGACAGGTATAACATGGCTTATGTGATGCTTAGAGTGTTTTGGAACCATCAAGATCTTTGCAATGGCATCACAGATAACAACCCCATCATCTTGTAAAACATGGACATGTTGGGAAACAATGTTTTAGTTCAGTCATTGAACTGACCCAAACTTCTGTGTTCATATTGTTATAGACCTCATAATTGTTAAGGTATAAAGAAGCATCAGAAGTTTTGTTTTTGTTTTTAATTACAAAGGAGTTAGGATATTCCTAACATCCAAAGTGAATTAAAATAATTCACTTTGATGTGAGAAAGAGCTTCTTGTCTTAGGGACACTGGTGAGGTGAATTCACAACTATGGGTTGTTTTAATTGAATTACATCCTCAGAGCTTTAGTTTTGAGCTCTGAATCTACAATCTGCATTTTGCAAGTAATCAATGGTATTTATTTAAGTGCTCTTGGTAAAGATAATGTGAATAGAGAAATCTGCTTATTTCTAGCATAAAATTGCTTATTAAGCAAAATAATAGAGCACTGCAAATTAACTAGTAAAAAATTGAAATCTTTAACTTTCACACCTTCATTTGATATTTACTGAATACTTTGGGGACTAGATTATATGTAATTTAGTTCAACTTTTGTTTAAAATAGGAAAATGAACTTTGAAAATAAGTACTTTTAAAAATATTTTAGAATGCAAGATAGTTTTCATGGAAACTTTCATGGAATCATATTCTTTATATTTTAGAATCAAGGTATGTTCCTACTTGGTACTTGATCAAGGAAATACCTAAATCAAGAACCATTCCAAATGGCTGTTTATTAAGTGTGATGGTTTACTAATGTCAACAAAAGTGAAAAAAATTATATTGAAGTATAAACTATAAATAATCTTGTTTAACATATTTATAAATACATTTTTGCCCATATTTGTATTTTGTACCTATTTATATAAAAAAACAAATATTATCTTTTGTACAAATATTTTAAGATCTGGCACTTTTTTAGCACCCCAGAAAAATATTTTTCAGGCTCTTAGCTGATGCTGAGAAAAGTCAGTCAGTCTCACATGTTACCATAGATTAATATTGCCTATCTTTGTCTTCATATAAATGGAAGCATACGGTATTTATTTTTTTCTGGCTTATTTCACTCAAAATTGCATTTGTGAAATCTATTTATGTTATGGACCAGTGTTTCATTCCTTTTTGTTTTGTGTAGCACCCTGTTGAATGAATATGGAGCTTTCCAATCCATTCTATCCTGATGAACATCCAGGTGTCTCTGTTGAAACTGCTGGTCATAAATTATGTGTTTAAATTTAGTAGATAATGATAATTATTTTTCCAAAATAGTTGTATCAACTTAATAACTCATTCAAATATGTGAAGACCTCCTAACAATCTAAAAAGATGGACTTCCAATTTCAAATAATAAATACAAAGATTAAGTACTTGAACAGGCAGTATATGCACATTTTTAAACATAAAAGATTGAGTTAAATTTTGAAAAATGTAGGCCGGGCGTGGTGGCTCACGCCTGTAATCCTGGCACTTTGGGAGGCCCAGACGAGCGGATCACGAGGTCAGGAGATAGAGACCATCCTGGCTAACACTGTGAAACCCCGTCTCTACTAAAAATACAAAAAATTAGCCGGGCGTGGTGGCGGGCACCTGTAATCCCAGCTACTTGGGAGGCTGAGGCAGGAGAATGGCATGAACCCGGGAGGCAGAGCTTGCAGTAAGCCGACATTGCGCCACTGCACTCCAGCCTAGGCAACAGAGCGAGACTACGTCTCAAAAAAAAAAAAAAAGAAAAGAAAAGAAAAGAAAAAAAAGAAACATGTAACTAAGAATCTCATTTGAGCTACATGTGTGAAAATATTTCTTTTACATTATCATATAACACAGATTTTGGATATGACGAGTGCTGAACTGAGGCTTTTCACTTGATATGCATTACAAATTAGAATTTTTCACTCACAAAACATGCTTATGACAGTTTTATATATGAATAGAATTGTAAAAATTGCCTTAAGAGTTATTGAATAAAATGTTTAAAGTACCTCATAGGATGAGGAAAAAATGGAAGAGTTAACAAGGATACAGAGCATAAAAGAGAAGAATAAGAGTTCAAATAAAATCGAATGAAAAGACACCATCTTGTGTAACTCTGTAGTTAATTGTGCATGTGTGCTATTTTTCATGACTTGGAGCACGTTATTTTTGGCCAAGAGTTTCCATTCTATCTATGGATATGCCAGAAATTTCCTATTTTAGATCTTCTAGTCTCCAACTCTCAAGATAAAAAACAAAAATCATTAAAACCTCTGACTCTGATATTGAATGCCTGCATAAAAATCTCCTCCCATCACCTTGCAACAGATGACTTGCTCATACACCTTTTTGACTACCACTCCCCATCAAGGGTTCTCTCCTTCGAGACTACAGTAATTCTCTTTGTATTTCATATTATGTGCAAACTTTACTTTCAAAGAGTTGTTACCTATATTAATGTACTTACATCATTCACCGAATATATTTTCTCTATCAGCAAAATTGGTTTAGATATCTTGGATTAGGATAGAACACGTCACAACTTCTCCCCCCTTTATGATCAGTTTTTTTTTTTTTTTAGTCGGACCGTTTTTCAGTTGGTGACTGTCAGAAATGAATTAAAGTTTTAAGAGAAGAATAGGTAAGGGTAAAGAGAAGGGTGTCCTTATGTATCAACTTTGCTTATTTAGTTTTTTCAAGTTCAACAAGACCCTCCTCTCCCTTCAAGGAAGATGATTCCTAGGCACGTTTGTTACTTCTATCAAAACAGCTGAGTTTTTTTTTTTTTTTTTCATTCATGTTGTTAAAATACCAATAGTGGAGCGAAAAATGCTTCACCTGGGACTGTCCCCTGACAGGCAGTGCGACGAGGTCAGGCCCGCGCCCGCCGAGTCCTAGGGCCGCTGCCGCCGACGGCCATGGAGGACGAGCAGCTCGACAGCCTGGAGGGCTGGGCGCCGGTCCGGCAAGGCCTCTTCGCCGATCCCGAGAGGCACCGGCTGCGCTTCCTGGTGGCGTGGAATGGCGCGGAGGGCAAGTTAGCTGTGACTTGTCACGACCTCACCGCGCAGCAGCCGCAGCGGCGCGAGGGGGCCCGGCTGGGGCTGGAGCCCAAACCCAAGGCCGCTGTGTCCCCGCCCAGCTGCCGTGTCCCCGCCCAGCTGCCGTGTTCCCGCCCAACTGGGCCGGCCGGTTCTCGGCCGCGGGGTTCCGCGGCGCGCGCTGGCAGCTAGCGGCGCTGTGGCCGCCTCTGGAACGCTGCTCCCCGCAGCTGGACGTGGGCGGCGGCGGGGCCTGGAGTCTGGGGCTCGGGCTGTGGGCGCTGCTCTGGCAGGCGCGCGCGGGCCCCGGCGAGGTGGCGCTGCAGGAGCTTTGCGGGCAGCTGGAGCGCTACCTGGGCGCGGCGGCCCACGGCTGCGGCGGCGCCACCGTGCGCCACGCTGTTTTCGCGGCTAAAGGCCGCGCGGCTGACTGCGAGAGCCCGCGCGAGTTTCGAGAGCGGGCCCTGCGCGCCTGATGGGTCGAGGCGGACGCGCGGCTGCGTCAGGTAAGCGAGGCCGGGCCGCCGGCGTTTGACCGCGCTTGGGTGGCCTGGGACCCTGTGGGAGGCTTCCCCGGCGCCGAGAGCCCTGGCTGACGGCTGATGGGGAGGAGCCGGCGGGCGGAGAAGGCCACGGGCTCCCCAGTACCCTCACCTGCGCGGGATCGCTGCGAAAAACCAGGGGGAGCTTCGGCAGGGCCTGCAGAGAGGACAAGCGAAGTTAAGAGCCTAGTGTACTTGCCGCTGGGAGCTGGGCTAGGCCCCCAACCTTTGCCCTGAAGATGCTGGCAGAGCAGGATGTTGTAACGGGAAATGTCAGAAATACTGCAAGCAAACTGAAAACAACCCATCCATGTAGGAAAGAATAACACGGACTACACGTAAGCAATTCCAAGTCTGTGTCTGCGGGGACGTCGCAAGTGGGATAAAATGGTTTAAAGGAAGAAATGGCTTTTAGGAGTTAGGGTGTTTTGTTTTAAGTAATACAGACTTGGTCAAATGGAAAGCCGGTAGAAAGTGAGCTTTATTCATCAGTTTAACCGCATTAGTGCTCTTTTAAGCTTGAAAGAGGTAGTTTGAGAGAGTAATTGAGTGGTAAACTTACTGAACTTAGGGGACGGGGAAGTACATGTTCATAGAAGGGTTTAGGAGAAAGTATGCCTTCTAAATCCACACCCACGGTTTACTAAGCAGAGCCAGGCTGGAGTCTCAGCTCACTGCTCTTATTAACCTGAATGATTTTTTTCTGTGCATTCTTTTGAGGAAGGGGAGGTGAAAAGAAGAATTCAGCCTAAGCTAAATATAGAATAAGCTTTCTAAATTAAAATGGTTTTATAAAAGGAGCTTGTTAGTGGGGTCATTTTTGTACTGTGAGCTTTATGTGTAAATGTCTACACACCCACTTAACATGTGTTGATTTCACTTTAGACTATGAGGAAACCACAGGGGAGTTTCAGGCCAGTCAGCTTTTGATCTTCAACTTTATAACTTTCACCTTAGGATATGACGAGCCCACCGGAGTTTCAAAAATGGTATCATTTTGTATCAGACTTGTTTTTTACACTCTTGGTTTCTCACAGAGATAGGTGGTTTCTCCTTAAAATCGAACATTTATATGATGCATTTTACTGTAGTTACTATCAGAAAAGTTAGTTTTCCCAAATTTAAGTTCACTCTGGGGTACTATAGCGTGAATGTAGTTCATTCTGTTGAGCTAGTTGTTCATGTTAGTGTAGTTCACATATTTATCTGGAACTCAAAAATGAGGGGTTGAGAGGGGAAGCTAAAATTCAAAACATGTCCAAATATATAATTTTAATATTTTACTTTATATTTAAAATAGAAAAGCAATTGATTCTAGAATTAGACTAATTGCTAGCATTGCTAGCATATATAAAATGAAGCTGAATGTTTTAACTCTGGAATTTTTCTGAATAGTCTAAGAAATAAGGCTGAAGTGTATCACTTGCCTTAAGTTTACTTTTGCGTGTGTGTTTTAATTTTGTTCAGTGGGGCTTTCACTTAAAAAAAAAACCATAATATTATTACCTGGATAAAAAATACAGCTGAAAGTAGATCACTTTATCTTTAAGCAGAAGGATGGAAATAGAAGAATTTTAAGAATGTATTGGTTGAAAAACATCTATATTATTTTATTTTTATTTCTCTTCTTGTGGGAGTAAAATAATTTCCAACCAAATCAGTCCACCTAGATTATACACTGTTCAGTTTGTTTTCTGCCCTGCAGCACAAGCAATAACCAGCAGAGACTGGAACCACAGCTGAGGCTCTGTAAATGAGTTGACTGCTAAGGACTTCATGGGGATATTAACCTGGGGCATTAAGAGAATCAACATGCTAAAGTACTTGGAGACAGCTCTGTAATGTTTTATGAGGTTTTTTGTTTTTTTTTTTTGAGACAGAGTCTTGCACTGTCGCCCAGGCTGGAGTGCAGTGGCGCCATCTCGGCTCACTGCAAGCTCTGCCCCTCAGGTTCACCCCATTTTCCTGCCTCAGCCTCCCCAGTAGCTGGGACTGCAGGTGCCCTCCACCACGCCCAGCAAATTTTTTGTATTGTTAGTATACACAGGGTTTCACCGTGTTAGCCAGGATGGTCTCAATCTCCTGACCTCGTGATCTGCCTGCCGTGGCCTCCCAAAGTGCTGGGGTTACAGGTGTGAGCCACCATGCCTGGCCCTTAGGAGCTTTTAAAAAGGAATACAGCCTCACAAAACCTTCACAGTCAGAAAAGTCAAATGAAAAAATATCCACACCTCAAACCTTCTTTTGGGTCCTTTTCGCTGCATACTTAGTGCATAGTTGAGATTAAATTTTGTACTCTGCCTCTCCATTTAATTATAAAAGTCTCCTTTTTTTTTTTTTTGAAACAGAGTTTCGTTCTTGTTGCCCAGGCTGGAATGCAATGGCACTGTCTCGGCTCACCGCAACCTCCGCCTCCCGGGTTCAAGCTATTCTCCTGCCTCAGCCTCCCCAGTAGCTGGGATTACAGGCATGCGCCACCTCGCCCAACAAATTTTGTATTTTTAGTACAGACAGGGTTTCTCCATGTTGGTCAGGCTGGTGTCGAAGTCCTGACCTCAAGTGATCCACCCGCCTCGGCCTCCCAAAGTGCTGGAATTACAGGCGTGAGCCACGGTGCCTGGCCAAAAGTCTCCATATTATTAAACAATCTTCAGAAGCACAGTGCTGAATGACTACAGTAATAATATTCTGCCATGGATATATCATAATTTACTTAACAATTCTTGTTTTATTGGGCATTTTTGATGGAGGATGATGACATTTTCATATTTAATCAATATTTTAAATTGATGTATTGAAAGTTGAGAACATGAAGGTTTCTTTTGTTTAGTTTTGTTTGTTGGGTATGTATTACACTGTCTGACTTGAGCTTTATTCACATTTGCTCTCTAGGTTATCCAAGGACATGGAAAAGCCAACACCATGGTAGCATTAATGAAAGTTTACCAAGAGGAAGATGAAGCCTACCAGGAATTAGTTACCATGGCAACCATGTTTTTCCAGTACTTACTGCAGCCATTTAGGGCTATGCGAGAAGTTGCAACTTTATGTAAGCTTGATATTTTGGTATTTTTTTTAATTTTTATTTTATCACATTTACTATTTGTCATATATTATTTCTTTATTTACACTTAATGTTCAATCTCTGCACTTTGTTTGGGTTTACTTTTATGTTTCTTTACTTATTTATTGATAGAGATGAGGTTTTGCCATGTTGCTCAAGCTGGTTTCTAACTCCTGAGCTCAAGCAGTCTGCCCACCTCGGCCTCCCAAAGCGTAGCATTACAGGCGTCAGCCACTATGCCTAGTTCACCCTCATGTTTAAATATTGAATTTATATTTAAAATTGATAGAAAATGAAGACATTTATGTTGGTCATCTTACTAGCTTAAGATTCCTGCAGATTTTAAAGAGTTAAGAGTTTTTTTGTATCGATGCCTTTTTTTTTTTTTTTTTTTTTTTGAGATAGGGTCTCTCTTTGTCAGCCAGGCTAGAGTGCAGTGGCACAATCTTGACTCACTGCAACCTCCTCCAGGTTCAAGTGACTCTTCTGCCTCAGTCTCCTGAGTAGCTGGGATTACAGGTGTGCACTACCATGCCCAGCTAACTTTTTTTGTATTTTTAGTAGAGACGGGGTTTCACCATGTTGGCCAGGCTGGTCTCAAACTCCTGACCTCAAGTGAGCCACGCGTCTCAGCCTCCCAAAGTGCTGGGATTACAAGCGTGAGCCACTGCGCCCAGCCTGATGAATTGTTTTTGATGTGATATTTATTTGCTTCAGTTTGTTTTCCTCTAAGGACTCATCCAAATTTCTTAAAATAGGATGAAAATTTAAATAGCAGGACCCTAGATTGTAATTCAGTAACTTAAATTTTAGTAAATGCTGTTATCGCTCTTGCTTCATTGAGCCATCAAACAACCGTGTGACCCCATTCAGAAAAGGCATTCTTATTCCAGTGTTACAAATGAATCTGGAGTCCAGAGTTGTTAAATATCTTACCTTGGGTCTCAACAACGGGAATCAGAAGACACCTAAGAGATCTCTTGATTTCTGCCCCCTGCACTGGGCCATCTTTCCACATATAATCTCATGCCCCCTGCCAGATGATTGTACTATAAAAATAGTATCACATTTAGATGAAACTCATGCCACTCTAACCTGTGGATAAAGTTGTTCTGTTCATTATTTTGAAAGTCTATTATTTGGAGAGTCTACTTCTTGCATATATTTTGCTTTCTTCTTCTGTTTTTTTTTTTTTTTTGTGAGATGGAGTTTCGCTCTTGTTGACCAGGCTGGAGTGCAATGGCGTGATCTCAGCTCACTGCAACCTCCACCTCCTGGATTCAAGCGATTCTCCTGCCTCAGCCTTCCGAGTAGCTGGGATTACAGGCATGTACCACCATGCCCGGCCTGGCTAATTTTGTATTTTTTTAGTAGAGATGGGGTTTCTTCACGTTGGTCAGGCTGGTCTTGAACTCCTGACCTCAGGTGATCTGCCCACCTCAGGCTCCGAAAGTGCTGGGATTACAGGCATGAGCCACCGCACCCGGTCTATATTTTTCCTTTCTTTAAGTAACAGCTGTTTTAAGATACCATTCACAGATTATATATATATATATATATGTATATATATATGAATATATGTATGTATATATATGTGTATATATGTATATATATGTGTATATATGTGTGTATATGTGTATATATGTGTATGTGTATGTGTATGTGTATGTATATGTATGTGTATATATGTATATATAAAAGATGTACAATTCAGTGATTTTTAGTATATTGAAAGTTGCACAATGGTCATTACTATGTAATTTCAGGACATTTTCACCTCCAAAAGAAACCCTGTACCCATTAGTCACTCCCAACCCTGGGCAACCACCAATCTACTTTCTGTCTCTGTGGATTTCCCTACTCTGGACATAGCAACAGCATTATTGAATATGTGGTCCTTTCACTCAGCACAGTGTTTGCAAGACTAATCCATGTTGTAGCAAATACCAGGATTTCATTTCTTTTTATTGCTCAGTAATATTCATTGTATGGATATATTGCATTTTATTCATCAGTTGATGGACATTTGGGTTGTTTCCACTTTTTGGCTATCATGAATAATTCTGCTATGAATGTTTGTGTGTGAGTTTCTGTGTAGACATATCTTTTCATTGCTCTTGTGTACGTACTGAGGAGTAGGATTGCTGGGTCCTGTGATTACTCAATGTTTAACCTTTTGAAAGACGCCAGATGGTTTTCCAAAGTGGGTGCCTCATTTATATTCCCAAAAGCAGTAAATGAGGGTTCCAATTTGTCCACATTATCACCAACACTTGTAATTGTGTGTCTCTTTGGTTACAGCCATCCTAGTGGGTGTGAAGTGGTATCTCGTTATGGTTTTGATTTGTAATTCCTTGTCGGCTAACTTGTACATATTTCTTATGCTTTGTAGAAGAAAAATTGCATATTGGATGACATAGCTGTACATGTCTTAGTTCAGGCTGTTATAACAAAGTACCGTAGATTAGTGGCTTATAAACAACAAAACTTTTTTTCTCACAGTTCTGGAGGCTGGGTAGTCTAAGATCAAGGTGCTGGCAGATCCAGTGTCTTGTGAGGGCCAGTTTCTTAATTTGTAGATGACTGTCTTGCTGTGTCTTCACATGGTGAAGAGCAGAGAGAGAGATCCTGTGTCTCCTCTTCTTTTTATAAGGGCATTAATCCCATTCTTGAGGGCTGCACCCTCATGACCTAATTACCTCCCAAAGGCCCCATCTTCAAATACCATCACACTGGGGATTTAGGCTTCAACATATGCATTTTGGGGGGACCCAAACATTCAGTCCAATACCAGTGCATGTTATAAGCATGAATATACAGATACTGTCTTTTAGGTGATTATATTACATATCCCTAAAAGAAACGATAACAACAGCTAACACTTAAGTGCTGTGTTCCAGGCCCTATGCTGAGTGCTTGACAACACAGATCACTCATTTAAACAATTGTGTATTATTATTAATAGAGAGAAGCATAAGTTGACAACATTCCTCTCTAGAAAAAGTTATTCTAGGCATGTGAAGTGAAAGTAGGTTTTTTTTTCCCCTTTATGCCCCAGAGTGTCCTTTTGTCTTCCAGGTGGTGCTCAGCTTAGAGCCTTATTCATATGCAGTAAGGGACTGCTGAATGAATGAAAATTTAA
This sequence comes from Homo sapiens, assembly GCF_000001405.40. NCBI lineage: Eukaryota > Metazoa > Chordata > Mammalia > Primates > Hominidae > Homo > Homo sapiens. The sequence goes on along the minus strand of NT_187660.1, from coordinate 4,744,635 downwards.
CTGACTGAGTAGTACTGTAGTTAAATTAATCCATGTGACCAGTTTCCTTTCAATTTCCTAATGGGTCAACATAACTATTAGCTCTTAGTAAGATAATTTTCTCTTCTGTCTGTAGAATTCCTTGGATGAGGATGACGTAGGTCCTACGTCTCCAGGATAGTTGCCCTGGAGAAAGAAGCTGAAGAATGGACCAGACGGGCTGAAGAAGCTGTTGTCTCTATTCAAGATATCACAGTGAATTATTTTAATTAGACAGTAAAAGCATTAGCAGGTGATAATCTAAAAAATGCTTTACGCAGATACGTGTAATTGATTGTCATTTTATTCATATACCATTTGAGTCCCTCTTACGCACTAGGCACTGTGTTTTCTGGGTGGCAAGAATTCAGTGTCAAGCATTAAGAGACATTGTACAGTCTGGTGAAGGGAGAGAAATCTTAATTATCTATTCACTGAAGCACATGGAAAATGGCAGTGACAATAAATGGCACAAAGAAGAGAGACATCGGGCTCTGAGGGTCTGTGAGAGAGAAATTGGGCTTGATCAGGGTGGTCGCTGAAGGCCTCTGAGAAGTGGTGCTTGCCCCAGTAGCTGAAGGGTAAACGGAAGTTGAGAGAATAGAAAAAGTGAGGAGTGTTCCGGGCAGAAGGAATAGCACTGGTAAAGGTCCCCTGGCTTGAGGGAAGTTGGCAAATAGGAGCTTACAGAAAACCTGCAGGGCTGGATCACACAGAGTGCAGGACAGTGTGGCACGAGGGAGAATGCTGGCAAGACAGGCAGGGATCAGACCGTGCAGGGGCTTGCGGGCTGGGTGAAGGACTTTTTTTCAGTCTTAAATAATTGTTAATAAAAACACCAAATAGGAAACAACTTAATGTCTGTCAGTTTGTTAAGTTATGGTACATTCATAAAAGAGAAAACTACATAGCTATTAAGCATGATTCTTGATTTTTTTTATAAATGGCAAGAGTGTCTGATATATTGTGCAGAATCAACAAGATATAAAGCAGAATGATAATCCTGGTTTTTTGGTCAAACTATCCATATGAGCCTGTCTGTCTAGCTAGACATAGAAACAATATGGAAGCAAGTGTGCCAAAATATAAGAAGCAGTTGCCTCAACTAGGTGAGATCATGACTTATTATTGTCCTTTTAAAAATTGAATACCTAAAATTGTATATTAATGACCATGTATTATTTTTATAATAATAAAAAAGTTAATAAAACAAAATTTCTTTTAAAAAAGATGTTCTGCAGGTAGTATGGAAGCAATAAAAAAAGAATTAGCTCATGATCAATGTTTCCCTTTTTAATGAGGTGTAATTATATTTTATTTTTATAATCCAACAGGAATGCAGAAAGAAATGGAACAGGATGTGAAGAGATTTGGCCAGGCTGCCTGGGCCACAGCAATTCCCAGGTTGGAAAAACTTAAGCTAATGCTAGCTCAAGAGACTCTGCAGCTCATGAGAGCGAAAGAGTTATGTTTAAATCACAAAAGAGCTGAAATTCAGGGAAAGGTAAGACAAAGATAAACATAACTTTGTTTTAAAAATACACTTTTATTTATTTTTTATTTTTATTTTTTTTTTTGAGACAGAGTCTCGCTCTTTTGCCCAGGCTGTACCGCAGTGGTGCAGTCTCGGCTCACTGCAAGCTCCACCTCCCGGGTTCACGCCATTCTCCTGCCTCAGCCTCCCGAATAGCTGGGACTACAGGCGCCCACCACCACGCCCAGCTAATTTTTTGTATTTTTAGTAGAGACGGGGATACACTGTGTTAGCCAGGCTGGTCTCGATCTCCTGACCTCGTGATCCGCCCGCCTCGGCCTCCCAAAGTGCTGGGATTACAGGCGTGAGCCACCATGCCTGGCCCCACTTTTATTTTTTAAAAAGTTTGTGTAAATAAGGGATACAAGTACTGTTTTGTTCCATGGATATATTGTGTAGTGGTGAAGTTTGGGCTTTTAGTGTAATCTTCACCTGTATAATGTAATTGTACCCACTAAATATTTCTCATCCTCCCTCCCACCCTCTTACTCTTCTGAGTCTCCAGTGTCTATTATTCCACACTGTGTGTGTATACACACTACTTAGCTCCCACTTATAAGTGAGACCATGTGGTAAAGCACACTTTTATTTTTAGATAGCACTTTTCTTTCCAGGCATCGTTAAAGAGCTTCTTTTCTTCACTTATTCTAACACTGTCTTCTATGGAAGGTTAGACATAAAGTTTTCCTTTAGTTAAGATGTTTCAAAATACCATATTATAGGATTTACTTTATAGTAACACCGAGCCCAGTATTGAAGTGGGTACTGTACTTGAATATCAATCCAGCAATGTTTTCAGTACAGCTTTAAAATAATCAAAGAGATACTTCACTGAAGGATCATAGACACTTAAGTTTTTTCCTATAATCTTATGACCTTAAAGCAGAAAACACTGTAACCACCTGTCTTAGTTGGCTAAGGCTGCTATAACAAGATTAAATATCACAGATTGGGTGGCTTCAACAACGGACATGTATTTCTCACAGTTCTGGAGGCTGGGAAGTCCAAGATGCCTGCAGATTCACTGTCCGGTGAGGATCCTCTTCCTGTCTGGTAGACAGCTGCCTTCTTAACTGAGTGCTCATATAGCCTTTCTTCTGTGTGTAAGTTTAGAGAGAAAGAAAGTGATCCCTGTCTTTCTCTTCTAATGGCACTAATCCCATGATGGGGGTGCCATCCTTTTGACATAATCTGAACCTAATTACTTCCAAAGGACCCACCTCCAAATAACATCACATTGGGAGTTAGAGTGTCAACATATGAATTTTGTGGGGACACCAATATGCAATACATAATAATACCTCATTGCCATTTATGTTTCTCAAAACCTAAATGTTTTTCTGTTTCAAGGATGAGATAAAATATTAGCATCACTAGATGAAATGAAAAAGTGTTTCTTTCCTATTTGCTTTTTTATATTTAGTATTGAACAAGGAATAGAAAATAGCTAGAATGCTTCTGAAGTTTGTTTTTAATATACTATTTATTTTAACTTATTTTTCTTTTTTCTATGAAAATAAGATGGAAGATCTTCCAGAACAAGAAAAAAATATAAATGTTGTAGATGAATTAGAAATGCAATTTTATGAAATTCAGTTAGAACTATATGAAGTTAAATTTGAGATATTAAAAAACGAAGAAATACTGCTTACTACACAGTTGGACTCTCTTAAAAGACTTATAAAAGGTAAAGTTTATATTTAAGTATATAGATTACAATGTTTATAAATTTAAGGAAATACAGACCATATTATCAATTACTTTTTGTAAACTGTAACATCTGAAAATTTCCTAAAGTTTTCCTTCAGTAGTTTATTATTCAAATAATATATTCATTGTTAGCACATAGCAAAACAAAGAAAGAAAAATGATTATTACTCCAATCCCATCATCTAGAGATGCTTAGTGTTTGGCTGGGCACAGTGGCTCACGCCTATAATCCCAGCACTTTGGGAGGCTGAGGCGGGCGGATCACTTGAGGTCAGGAGTTCCAGACCAGTCTGACCAACATGGTGAAACCCCATCTCTACTAAAAATACAAAAATACTAAACCCTGTCTCTACTAAAAATACAAAGTCCGATGTGGTGGCACGTGCCTGTAATCCCAGCTACTTGGGAGGCTGAGGCAGGAGAATGGCTTGAACCCGTGAGGTGGAAGTTTCAGTGAGCCAAGATCGTGCCACTGCACTCCAGCCTGGAAGACAGAGCGAGACTCCGTCTAAAAAAGGAAAAAAAAAAAAGAGATACTTAGTGGTAACAATTTGCTGTATAACTTTGTAGATTTTAAAATATGCTGATATATAAAAATATAAATTTTTAACCAAAACTACATAACCAGTTCAGTAACATCTTTTTAAAAATTTTTTAATTTTTATGGGTGCATAGTAGATATATATATTTATGGGTTACATAAGATATTTTGACACAGGCATACAATGCATAATAGTCTCTTTTTCATTTAATACATACTAATTGTCTATTTCAGAAATAATAAAAGTATCAAAATTTTAATGGCTGCATAGTATTCCATTATATGGATATACCGTGATTTCCAAATTTCCGCTGTTTTGAACAGTAGTGTAGTGAACTTTCCTTTACACATGTCTTTTTGAGTATAGGACAGATTATCTCCTTAGAATAAATATGTAAGGATGGAATTATTGGGTCAAGGACAATGTATATTTTACATTTTGCTACGTAATAATACAACAATCATCTGAGATACATTTTTCCTCACCTCCGTATTATTTTCTGATTTCTAAATTTCATACTATGTAGTGGCCCTCTAGATAGGTTGTACATTTAAAATGACGCTCCCAGGCTGGGCGTGGTGGCTCACGCCTGTAATCTCAGCACTTTGGGAGGCTGAGGGGAGCAGATTACTTGAGGTCAGGAGTTCAAGACCAGCTTGGCCAACGTGGTGAAACTCTGTCTCTACTAAAAATACAAAAATTAGCTGGGCGTGGTGGTGGGTGCCTGTAATCCCAGCTACCTGGGAGGCTGAGGCAGGAGAATTGCTTGAACCTGGGAGGTCGAGATTGCAGTGAGCTGAGATGGCGCCACTGCACTCCAGCCTGGGCGACAGAGTAAGACTCTGTCTCAAAAAAAAAAAAAAAAAAAAAAAGACGCTCCCATCAGCAGAATATGAGTGTGTATGTTTCCCAGACTCATGCCATTTTTTTGCATTTTTGCTTGCTTGACAGAGAAAATGGCAGTCTTCCAATTTTCATTTATTTAATTATGAATGAATATTGAACAAAATTTTGTATGTTTACAAGCCATTTGTACTTATTTTATGAAATGCCTAGTCATAGTCTTTGTCCATTTTTCTTTGGAATATTTCCTTTCGACATTAAGAATAATATTCTCTATTGTCTGTCATATGTTGCAAATAATCTCTCCTTGTCATTTGCGTTTTCTTGCCTTTCAGAAATATTTAATTTTTATGAAGTCGTGTTTATTGATTTTTTCCCCTATGGCTTCTGCTTTTAGTATTATGTCTGGCAATAGGCTCCTATCCCAAAATTATGTCAATATATACTTATGTTTTCTTTCAGTATGTTTATGATGTTACTTTTTAAAACATTTAATTCTTTAGTCCAGGTGGAATTTATTTTGAATGTGGTAGGAATTGAACCTTTCCCTCAAATTGTTAAGCAGTCCCAATCACTGATTTTAAAAACATTTTCCCTAAATGTTTAACATTTCTCCAGTTAAGCATTAGATTGACTTTGGTCTGTTTCTGAGTTGTTCTCCTCCATTGGTTCGTGAGTGGCTTCTGCTGCTGGCTCCATACTGTTCCCACGACTGTCTTGGAGGCACATTTTAGGGTCTGGTAAGGCAAGTACCCCCCACATTACTTCACAAGTTTTCTGACTATTTTCACTCCTTTATTCTTCCAGATGAAATTTAGAATCAAGTTCAAAACAAAAAACTCTTTGGAATTTTGATTGTGATTTTGCTTAAAATTAGAGATTACTTTGGGGAGAATAGTGGTCTTTGCAATTTTGAATCTTCCTACCCAAGAACATGGTATGTCTCTCTCCATTTATTTAAATCTTTTTTCCTAAAGTTCCTCCAAGTTTAATAAATTTCTTCACATAGATCCTGAACTTTTAGTTTAATCCTGAGTATTCAGAATTTTTTTCAGTAGTTTCAGGTTATAAGCAGTTTACATATTTAGGAAAAAAATTACATTAAAAAAAGAAGTTAATCTGGAAGGATGCATGCCAAATTGTTCATAATGTTTTTCCTCTGAGAATGACTCAGAAGGTTTGGGGAATGAGCAATAGAATTTCACTGTTTATTTGATGTACTTCTGGAGGGTTTGAATTTGTTACAGTAAGCATGACTTTTAAAAAATCAATATGTAATCAAGATTAAATATCACTAAGGCATCTTAATAATATATTGCTGGTAGAATATAAGTTGCCTTTCTGGAGGGCAGTGTGGCAATGGGTATCAAGATCCTTAAACACTTATCTGCTAAGGAAGTGATAAAAAGTGTACACAAAGATTTATACAGAGATGTTTATCACAGTGAAATGAATAATAATGGAACATTGGAACAGCCTAACAACGTGGATTGCTTAAATTAGAGAATACTATGCTGCCATTAAAATTTATCTTTTTAAATTTTTTTTTATTTTTGGAGATGGAGTCTTGCTCTGTTGCCCAGGCTGGAGTGCAGTGGCACGATCTCGGCTCACTGCAACTTCTGCCTCCCAGGTTCATGCTGTTCTCCTGCCTCAGCCTCCTGAGTAGCTGGGATTACAGGCACACGCCACTGTGCCCAACTAGTTTTGTATTTTTAGTAGAGATGGGGTTTTGCCATGTTGGCCAGGCTGGTCTTGAACTCCTGACCTCAGGTGTGCCGCCTGTCTTGGCTTCCCAAAGTGCTGGGATTACAGGCGTGAGCCACCGCACCTGGCCTAAAAATTTATTTCCATCCCATGGAAAATGTTCTTTTAGAACTCCATTGATAAGTGTAGCTATGTAAGTAGTATGTGTATGTGCGTGTGTATATATACGTATGTCTGTACAGGTATATATACGTGCATATACTACTTACATGTATATACACACATGCTACTTAATACATGTGTATAGTCATGTATATATACACGTGTATATGTATATTACATTTATACACATACATTTTTTATATGTTAATAGTGATTCTCAGTGGTGGGATTACAAGTGATCTTTATTTTCCTTACATTTAAAAAAATTGAGTGCATTTTTACAAATAATAAAATATGTTTTAAACAATCATTAATACCTTTTTAGAAAAACAGGATGAAGTTGTCTATTACGATCCATGTGAAAGTCCAGAGGAACTTAGTCATTGACTGTGGTGGGGCTGCAGGACGATAAGAATTCGGAAGTGAAAGAACTCAGAAGGCAGTGCCAGCAGCTGGAGTCTGTTAAACGGGGCAGTCTGTGTCAAAAGAGCTTCTCTCCAGAGTAGAAAGGTAGGTACGCTCAGAGCGGCTTTCTTTTCTTTTCTCTTCCAGAGATTTATTCTTGTATGAAGGATAAAGAGGTATTGAAATAAGGTTTTTACCAACACAGTGATTAATTTTTTGTGTGCTTATGTACTTATCCATGGCTATAGTTAAAATGATTTTTAATATTTTTCTTAAAAATATTATTTTTTTCTTTTGGGTTTTAAGCATTTAGCAAATCTCAAGGTTTTAATTTATTCATTTAACAACTATTTGTTGAATGCCCACTGCATACACAGGCACTTTTATTTTTATTTTTTTGAGACAGAGTCTTGCTCTGTCACCCAGGCTGGAGTGTGGAGGCAAGATCTTGGCTCACTACAACTTCCGCCTCCTAGGTTGAAGCAATTCTAGTGCCTTAGCCTGCCAAGTAGCTCGGTTTACAGGTACGCGCCACCACGCCCAGCTAATTTTTGTATATTTTGTAGAGACGGGGTTTCGCCATGTTGGCTAGGCTGGTCTTGAACTCCCGACCTCAAGTGATCCGCCCACCTTGGCCTCCCAAAGTCCTGGGATTACAGGTGTGAGCCACTGCCCCTGGACCACAGGTACTTTAAAAACCACAATAGGTAGAAACTCTATTTCTAATAACCAACTATAACAATTCTAAATATATTTTACTGTAAATTATTGAGTACACAAAACAATAACAGGTAACTATTCAGCTCACCTCAGATTTAATACTTAAACATTAAAGAATATCAACCTACTTGCAAGAAACTTAACAAAACCTAAGGAACATAATACAAATAAAACTTTACCTATGCAGATTATAAGCTGGATATTATAATATCCAGGAAAATATCCAGGATGTTAGAATGGCTTGAAACAGAATTGAAAATTTTTGAGCTATAAGACACATAGGAGAAATTTTAAGTTCATTTTTTTTGGGTGAGACATTTATTAGTCTCAACAAGACTGAATGATTTTCTTTTAAGGTCACACATTTAAATAGTTAACAGGAGAAATACCAACCAGAATCATAGTCAAATACCCACCTACTCCCTTTCCAAGACAACTAAGGTCTCAAATTGCGCCCATTTTTCTCAAATTATTTCTAGAATATTTAGCAAAAGAGGCTTTTAATTTGGCATGTCTTTGTCTACAATTTTGTAGTTTATGTAAAGAAAGGTAGACTAAGGGAATTTCATTTTAAAGGTGAGGATCAGAATGACATTTGTGAAGCTATGATGCCTGTGCCATCTGGCATACACGAGGGTGTTGTACTAAATGGGATCAGAATGAGCTCCTTTTGGAAGGAAACCTTTAATAGACTGGGAAACATTAAGGGAATCTTCCCTTTTTTATTTATTTTATTTTATTTTATTTTTTTTTAGATGGAGTCTCACTCTGTTGCCCAGGCTGGAGTGCAGTGGCGCAGTCTCGGCTCACTGCAAGCTCCGCCTCCTGGGTTCACGCCATTCTCCTGCCTCAGCCTCCTGAGTAGCTGGGACTACAGGTGCCCGCCACCACACCCGGCTAATTTTTTGTATTTTTAGTAGAGACGGGGTTTCACCGTGTTAGCCAGGATGGTCTCCATCTCCTGACCTTGTGATCCACCCGCCTCAGCCTCCCAAAGTGCTGGGATTACAGGCGTGAGCCACCGTGCCCAGCCTCTTATTTTTAATAGAGCATTGGAAAATGAATTCTGTATACCTGGCTAATGAAGGAAATCCAGATTCGTTGCCAAAACCAAGTTTTAAAGGAATTTGCAATCCTTCACAGTTCATTCAAGGAGGCAATGGAAATTTTGATGAAGAAATTTTTTAAAATCTTTCTTAAAAGGAGTCCTTACATTGGCATTGTATCATGACTAAAGTCTTCCTCCCTCTCTCCCTTCTATGCTTTTTGTTTCTGTTTTCTATCTTTCAATGACATCAGTTTCATGGATATAAATGGTTAAAAGACAATGATTACAACACACAGTTGAGTGACACAAATCTTGTTGTAGTGTTAGAAATACATCAATACATTGGGATCATAAAGAGAAATGGCAAGAAAAAAAATCTTAAGTTAATAACAGAAAATGCTGATTCCCACAGTCCGTGTAGAAAATAACACGTTTTTTTTTCTGTCAGTGGAGATAACTGAGACTAGTTAATATTGTCAATTCTGTTCCTTCTGACTGAGCCAGGTGAGGCAAAATTTAGCATATGAGTTGAGGGACAAAACTATTACCTTGGCAACATAAAAATTAATACTGTCTACATTGTTTACTAGGAAATGCATGCAAAATTAATACACACTCTTGGTAGTACAGGTTCGTTTCACTTCTATAGTGTGTGGTTAATAGAAAGCTGATTCAACAGACGATAGATTCAACAGACGATGTAGAATTGTCTAAGATCCAGCCAGGCGCGGTGGTTCACGCCTGTACTCCCAGCACTTTGGGAGGCTGAGGCGGCAGATCACAATGTCAGGAGATCGAGACCATCCTGGCTAACATTGTGAAACCTCGTCTCTACTAAAAATACAAAAAAATTAGCCGGGAGTGGTGGTGGGCGCCTGTAGTCCCAGCTACTCGGGAGGCTGAGGCAGGAGAATAGCGTGAACCCAGGAGGCGGAGCTTGCAGTGAGCCGACATCGCGCCACTGCATTCCAGCCTGGGCGACAGAGCGAGACTCCATCTCAAAAAAAAAAAAAAAAAAAAAAAAGAATTGTCTAAAATTCATCGTCGGTGAGTCCATGGCATGTTTTGGAATTTATTCACTTGTTTGCCTCAGGAACAGTAGCTGTTCAGATTTGTTCTGTCTTTGATTTTGGAAATGAGGTTACCGTGCTCTGTAGTGTGAGGAAGATGACATGGCATAATTAGGCAAACGGCTAGGCATTTTCTCAGCAGTAAATTACCAGTGCCCTTACTTGCCATGATACCCACAACAGGCAGAGGCAGTTTCCTGAGGCAATCCAGGCCACAAAGAACTGTACATTTGGGGAAAACATATCTTCAAATATATATGTTAAAATCTAAAAAATTGGTTAGTATGTATTACTTTTGTGGATACTTAAACATTCCCTATGCATAAAGACCTAGTTAAAGAGATGCAGGCTTTTGGCATGTTAAATAACTCCTTGATGAGAAATCACACTATGAATAATAAATATGACTTAATAAAAATGAAAAATAATGAGATTAGTTACTATTGAACTATTCTTGCTTAGAATGCCCCTGAATTTCAGTCATTGAAATTCACTTGTACCTGGGTAAGTTACAAGTTCTTATTTGTGCTGGTTTCTGTTCCATTGGCAATTAAAATTTTGGTAAGTTGAATAAAAGATCTTTCTAAAAAGGGAGTTTTTTTTTTTTTTTTCTTTTTTGAGGGGGATGGAGTCTCGCTCTGTCGCCCAGGCTGGAGTGCAGTGGCACGATCTCGGCTCACCGCAAGCTCCACCTCCGGGGTCCATGCCATTCTCCTGCCTCAGCCTCCTGAGTAGCTGGGACTACGGGCGCCCGCCACCACGCCCGGCTAATTTTTTTTGTGTTTTTAGTAGAGACGGGGTTTCACCGTGTTAGCCAGGATGGTCTCCATCTCCTGACCTCGTGATCCGCCCTCCTCAGCCTCCCAACGTGCTGGGATTACAGGTGTGAGCCATCGCGCCCGGCCAAAAGGGAGTTCTTATATTGGCAGTGTATCATGATTAAAGTTATCCTCCCTCTTTCTCTCCCTCCCACATATATATTTTCGTGTCAGTATATGTATATGTGATTTGTGCTATTTGTGTGTGTGTAGGTAAATGAAAGTGGCATCAAGAGAATCTCACATTAAAAAAAATTTGAGATAGTACAATTCTTATGCATCATATGTTGCATAACGTTTGACTATTAAGAAATTTGCATCACACGTCTACTTATTTCATTAAACATGTTACAGTCAATTAATTCACTTACACCCTCCATTTCCTTCTTCCCCCTCTCTCGTTCTCCTGCTGCAGGGTCATTATACGTTCCTACTCACAAAATGTCCTTGTTTTTTCCCTTACTCCTGTCATTGATCTTCTGAATCTTTCCGGCGAACTTAACATGGATGTTTTGATAGAAAGCTCTGGCATTAACTCTGGAGTTGTTTTGCAAGGAAGGTTGTTCGCTTTTTCACCATTTTTTTTTTTTCAGGTCCTTGAAGTGTTTTCACATAGATATTTCACAAGAGCCATTTCAGAATTGAGAACATTTGGCGTGCACTCTTCCTCTTTTGGTCCCACAGTTTTTATGTGTCCTACTTGAAATTATGTTTGCTCCCGTTTCAATTGTAATATTGCACTTACTCATTAGTTTTTAGTTTGAACTCTCCTGCGAGGTCTAATGTAGAGTTTGGACAAGAACACAGATTCATAATAAACCTACCCAGTCAATTTGGTATAAAGGCTTAGAAGGTGGAACTGGCCACATTTTGAATTGGAGGTAAGGATCAGGAATGCTAATGGAGAGACATAGGATTTTCTTATGGAAACAAGAAACAAATAACCTCTGGGCAGTATTAGAGCCCAGAGAGTGATAAGCCTCTTCTAACTTCAATATTCTATGTACAAATTCACAAGACTTTTTTTTTCTTTCTTTTTTTTGAGACGGAGTCTCACTCTGTAGCCCAGGCTGGAGTGCAATGGCGCGATCTTGGCTCACCGCAAGCTCCCCCTCCCGGGTTCACGCCATTCTCCTGCCTCTGCCTCGCGAGTAGCTGGAACTACTGGCGCCCACCACCACATCCAGCTAATTTTTTTGTATTTTTAGTGCAGACTGGGTTTCACCGTGTTAGCCAGGATGGTCTGGATCTCCTGACCTTGGGATCCGCCTGCCTCGGCCTCCGAAAGTGCTGGGATTACAGGCGTGAGCCACCGTGCCCGGCCGAGACTTTTAATTATGCAATGCCAGACTGCATTGCATAAACCAAAGGCCAACAGAGAGGTGACCTTTCAAATTACTGGCACAAGAAGAGCCGAGATCAGAAAGCTCCAACTTAATGCAAACATCGACAAGAAATCCGACAGAAATGACTTCTGTGTCTGGTCAACTTAACATAACATGACATATTGTCAAGCACATTTGGCTTTTTAGGTAGAATTGTCTATAAAGGTTTAACTGCTTTAGAAAATATAAATGTGAAGATTTGTGGTATTTGGGTTTATATATAAGATATTTCTACATTGAAAAGAGACAGTGGAAAAGCTTGGTATAAGATTTGTAAAATATGTTTGTAATAATGCTAATGGAAGAGGTGAGATTTGGGTGGGGTGGGGTGTAGATGGGAACATGGTTTGGGGATTGGGGAAAGGGAAGTCATGCTGTTAATAAAATAGTGAGGCATGTTGTATAAAGTGTGTTTTATGTCTCAATTGAAATGTTATAGAGATAAATTTAAAATAGATCATGATGGGTTTTGAATCTGATTTCTAATTTTAAAATGTTATGAGCTTTTGTTGCTTTCCTATTTCATACACATTTCTTTATGGGTTTCACTTAGACTGCATGAAATTGCAGATGCCAATTACCTTTTAACAAAATTAAATTCACATATATGTATAATTTACATGTATATATTCATGGAATTTTTTATTCTACACGATATATTATTTTAAAATGGTTTTTCAATGACAAAAAGTATTTTTCTATACTTTCAGTTTTCTGGTTTGAATTTTTTCTGGCAACACTAATTTTCACCTACCTATACTCATTGATAGTATAAAATTGTACAAGTGCATATTTTACCATGTTTACATTTGAATGGATGACTGGAGGTACATCTATGATGACTAATACTTTCTAAACACATATTTACCTCTCATATATCTGTGTAAATGATTGTAAGAGGAAGGGGAAAATAGAGATGTATCATTAGGTATACTGTCTTAAAGCACATTCAGCTGCTCTCATGTTTGGAGAATTTTGAATGTGATGAATGTTTCTCTTTCACCGCTAACAGGTTGTATGTGTGAGCCACATTTTATTGCAAGTGTTTGAAAGGCCATTGCAAATATGGGATATTGCCAGACAGTAAAAAGCAAATTGAGTCTATTGAGAAATTAATTCACCAGCTGAAGGAAGTACATTTGCCTTAGAGTCATCAGATATTCTACCCACCAGACTCATCTCCGAGATAGCATCCTAATGAGCTTCCTAAACCAACTAAACATGAGCAGGAAGCATCAGTCGTCAAAACTGACTCTTTTCAGCCAATCAGCTGACTGCACAAACTGTATGGCATTGAGGAAAGGAAGAACATTCTGAAAGTTTTTTTCTTTTTTCATTCTGTCCTCATTCTGTTGGTTTCTCAGTTTTACGGATGCAGGATCATGCACAGAACCCTGTAAATGAGCATAGTTCGTTTAAGTATATAAAGTGCTTTCGGTGGATAAAATGAATTTTAACAGGCTTAAGTGATGTGCCTAAATGCACACAATTAATGCATGGCTGGAATTCAAAATCATGTCTTTTCCTCTGTTCTGATTGTTTTATAAATATGGGTTGTTTTAATGTGTGGCTGGAATTCAAAATTGTGTCTTTTCCTCTGTTCTGATTGTTTTATAAATACAGGTGTAGTGATTGATTTTCTACCCACCATGACAGGGAATAGGTTCAAAACTTAAAACCCTGTTTGTTTTATAATTAGGTAGACTCAAATGACAGGTCAAGGCAGGGAGGGGAGCCAGTCATTTTTACTCCCATATGGGTTTGCTCCTTCAAAGACAGGATTGGGGTAGCAGTGTCAGTTCCTACAGGTTATAACGATCTTAATGATAAACTTAAATAACCGTAACTGAATACTTATAATGTGCTAGCACTTTTCATAATGTATCCCAATAATACTCACAAAACCTTCCAAATATTACCTTTTTGTTGTCTTTGTTTTATTTTGTTTTGTTTTGAGACAGGGTCTCACTCTGCTGCCCAGGCTTTAGTGCAGTGATGCAATCATGGTTCACTGCAGCGTCAAACTCCTGGGCTTAAGCAATCCTCCCACCTCAGCCTCCCAAGAAGCTGAGACTACAGGCATGCACCACCACTCCCAGCTCCAAATAAATATTCTTATCCCATTTTACTGATGCAGAAAAATGTATGGCCCAGAGAAGTAATGTTAAGTTTATTGGGGGATTTAAGTTGTAAAAAATTATTTTATCGAACCCTAATGTAAACTGTGGACTCTGGGTGATAGTGATGTGTCAGTGTAGGTTCATCGATTATAGCAAATGCATCATTCTGGTGCAGGATGTTGACAGTGGGGGAAGCTGTGTGTGTATGGGAGTAGGGAGTCTATGGGAACTCTTCTACTTTCCACTCAATTTTGCTGTGAGCCTAAAACTACTCTAAAAAATGAAGTTTATTAATCAAGAAAAAAATTCTTATGTTTTATGAATATATGGGACAGCTATTCATGTATGTGGTAAAAATGAAGAGATTTGTTACAGTACTCGGCAGGAGTGTGTCTAATCGACTGATATTCATGTGTCACTTATAAAAACTGGCTTCATTATCAATCTATAGATTCATTTCATTTGTGTATGTTCGCTTAAGGGCACACACATGGAAACCCTTTGGTGTTATTAGAGGTCTGTTGGGAGGGCTCCTCTTTGGTGGAAGCTATGTCTGTTTCTCAGAAGTGATTTAAGAGTAAGATGTGAAATAGCACTTGTCCCCGAGGATGGAGCCAACAGAGCACAGAGCATAGGGGAGTTATGTGATGCTGTCTCTGAGGGACTGGAGAGAGGAATATAAAGAGCTTATCCCTTAAGAAAGAATAGGGGAGGACTTCCTTGCCTGATATCTCAGATCATGAAGCTACAGTTCTCTCCCTGCTTTAGAGAAAAAAAAAAACAGACTTTTTGCAAAAATCAATTATTGAACATATTCCTATATTCTAGATTTATAATGAAGCATTTTTGTACATATTCATTAAAAAGAGCAATTAGAACATTTTTCTCTGGTTTATAGTAACTAGGATGGCAACACATATATATCTTGGAAGTATTTTGTGGTATGATTCTTCAACATAAAATTATTTTTCAAAACTTCTTAGAAGTCTCCAGGTACTCAGGAATAAGGTCATTTTAAATTATTCCTTATTGACTATAAGAAAAATAATTAGGCAAGATCACAAAATAAATGTTTAGACTGTTTCTCCTGTTTCCTGATTTTCAGGTTATTTTTTATCCCAATTTTATTTTGCTGTATAGTCATAAATTTCATCTTTGAAATAAAGCATATAATCACTTTTTTTGTTTGTTTGTTTTTTTGAGATGGAGTCTCGCTCTGTAGCCCAGGCTGGAGTGCAGTGGCGCAATCTCGGCTCACTGCAAGCTCTGCCTCCCGCGTTCACGCCATTCTCCTGCCTCAGCCTCCTGAGTAGCTGGGACTACAGGTGCCTGCCACCACGATCGGCTAATTTTTTTGTATTTTTTGTAGAAACGAGGTTTCACCGTGTTAGCCAGGATGGTCTGGATCTCCTGACCTTGTGATCTGCCCACCTCGGCCTCCCAAAGTGCTGGGATTACAGGCGTGAGCCACAGCGCCTGGCCATGCTTTCTATTTTATATGCTGTTTTTGTTTCTTTTTCATCCCTGATCTTCAGTTAGCTGCTGGCATTTTACTTGTTCCCAACTAATTTTTCTTCTAATGACTTGAAAAGTATATGTTTAGTTCCTATATCTTTATATTTTTATACACATAGCTACACATATGATTGACATCCAGAGCTAATCGTATAGATAAAATGAGACTCCTAGCATGCTTTTACTTCTCTCTCCTTCCTCCTTTCCAGACTTCATAACTTTCCATCCCGAGTTATTTCAGATTTTAGTTTTTTATTATAGGTTTATTTTTATAATTTAGACTTAAAAGTAAACTTCACTGATTATCTTGCTCACCTGTGCTTCTTATATCCCTTTTTTTCTTCCCAGATTTATTTTCTTTTTGAATATATTTTCTACACCATGGTTTCTCAACCAGAGGTGATACAGCACTGTCTCCAAATGTGGGGCTGTTGTGTATTGTCACGGGGAGGAGAAATGCTACTGGCATTTAGTGGATGATGGTCAAGGACACTAAGCAACCTGCAATGTGTGGATCAATCTTACACAACGAAGGACTGTTCCACCCCAAATGCCAATGGTACCCTGTTGAGAAAGGTTAGTCTATGTGGACAGTGAATTATAAACTTTTTGAATCTGTTTTTGTGTCTTAAAATGTCTTTATGATGCCCTCACATTCACTTGCACTTTGGCTGGTTAAACAATATTAAAAGAAAACTTCAAATTAAATGGAATTTAATTGAGCAAGAAAAAAAAAACAATTCACAAGTTGGGCAGCCTCCAGAACCACAGCAGATTCAGAGAGACTTCAGGGATGCCTCATGGTCAGAACAAATGTATAGACAAGAAAAGGAAAGTGACACACAGAAATTGAAAGTGAGGTAAAGAAACAGCTGGATTGGTTACAGGTTGGCATTTGCCTTATTTGAACACAGTTTGAACCCTCAGCAGTGTATGAGTGATTGAAGTATAGTTGCTGGGATTGGCCAAGACTCAGCTGCTGTTACAGATGCATACTCCTAAGCTAGGTTTTCAATCTTGTCTATTAAGTTAGGTTATGGTTAGTCCACAAGGACTCAAATACAGAAGTACAGAGTCCTCAGGCCATATTTAGTTCGCTTTAACAAGAATCATAAGTTCACAAGTATTTTCACCAGAAAACTGTAAAGACATTATTCTGTTTTCTTACTTACCATGTTGCCAATGTGAAGTCTGGTATCGATCTTATTCCATCCCACACAATTGTTTTCACGCTGAAAACATTCAGTTTCCTCCTTATCCTTAGTATCCTGAAATTTTATCATGATTTACTTACATGTCAGTCTTTTTACATTCTTCCTGTAAATATTCACTGGTTCCTCTCAATATGAGTATTTCCAATTTCTAAGAAATTGTCTTAAATTTTTGCCTTGTTTTAGGCACTCTCCTTCCTTAATTTTCTTCTCTCCTGTAATTCATATTAAGCAGATAGTGGAACTTTTACAGCTGTCATTCATGTCTCATAACATTTTGTTCATTCTTTCCATCTATTGTTTTGCACTGCATTCTGGGAGAATTACTTAGCATGATATTCTGGTTCACTGATTTACTCTTCAATCCATTTTGCTATTCAACCCATCTATTGAGATTTTTATTTCAAGAATAAAATTTTTTAATTTCTAAAACCTTGATGCATTTTTAATTTTTTTTAAAAATGAAAGCAGTAAGCTCTGCCATTTGTCCAAGGTATATAATGATACTTATTCCATAGTCTGTTTCTTTTTTTTTTTTTTTTGCTCTGTCGCCCAGGCTGGAGTGCAGTGGTGCGATCTCGGCTCACTGCAAGCTCCACCTCCCGGGTTCACGCCATTCTCCTGCCTCAGCCTCCCAAGTAGCTGAGACTACAGGCGCCTGCCACCACACCTGGCTAATTTTGTTGTAGTTTTAGTAGAGACGGGTATTCACCATGTTAGCCAGGATGGTCTCAATCTCTTTACCTTGTGATCCACCCGCCTCGGCCTCCCAAAGTGCTGGGATTACAGGCGTGAGCCACCGTGCGCGGCCGCAAACTCGTTTCTTAACTGTATGTGGATTCTCCTTCATCATACAACATCTAGATCTGTGGAACTGAACCAAACCTAGAAAATGGGCAATAGGCTACCACTGTCAGATACGTATTTGCCAGATTCAGAGATTCTGTTTTTACTTCTAAAAATTTAAATAGACAAGACTTTGAGAGTTGACAGAATCACCTTGACTTGTCATTCTCTGCCCCTCCCTACTAAGTACAATTATAAACACTGAGAATAGTAAAAGGAACAGCTACAGGAGAATTCTGAAAGGTGGTAAGAGGAAGGTGAATTGGTCGGGGCCTCGATTCTGGAGGCACAAAATACAACCCCCATCCAACAAGAGAGGTGATCCAGGCTTGACAATTCCCACCTCCCAATGTAGTAACAGAAGGTAGCTCAAGTAGGCTCATTCTTCTGCAACAAATGAGAGTTCTGCCAGAAATAGCAGGCAAGCAGAGGAGAACCAACAATGGAGACGGGTTGATTAGAAGCCCTGTTAACGGTAAGCTGCCAGAAAACTCTACTTTTTCACCAAGTGTGAGACACCATTTTCTCTACGTCTCTACTCCTCTCCTTCCACCCCTGTTCCCAAGCCCTTGGTTGAGGGCACTAGCAACTGGAATTGCCAAAATCCAACTTTCCAATTCTTTCCCACAAAGGACACAACTCATTTCCTTCACCAGAGACACTGCACAACCAAGGGCACAGGGAAGGGAATTCACACTGCAATGTGCACTTGGCCAGGGAAGCACTCTGCCCCTGTAGGACGGAGTCTCCATTCATTCACTTAGAGATACAGACAACTGATCCTGGGGAAGCTCCATCAGAAACCAGTAGGAGCCCCAGTGGAATGATATTTTTTTAAAAAGCAAACTAAAATAGCTCTGCAAAGACTGAAAATTAAATTGTTGTAGGAGTCAAATCCTTCAAATTAGGTCCAGACCGGCATGCTGAATCCAAAAAGGTGAATGCTTACTAAAATTAAACAAAATGTAAATAGAACCCAGATTTCCTAACATAATATAAAAAATGCGCAAGGCACAGGGAAATGGGAATTGAAATGACAAAAGGCAATCAGTTGATGTTAACAGTGAAATAAACCACATGTTGGAATTATCTGACAACAATTTCAAAGCAACCAGCATAAAAATGGTTCAAGTAATAAAAAAATTATCTTAAATGAAAAAATGGAATATTCTAGCAAAGAAATAGGAGTTATAAAAAAGAAACAAGACATTCATGAAACAGATAAATGCAGTAACAGAAATTAAAAGCTTTCTAGGTGGGCTCAATAGTAGAGGGTGGAGGGCAGGAGATATGATCAGTGAACTTGAAAATGTGTAGAATTTCCCTAATCTGAACAATAGAGGAAATAGACTGAAAATAATGAACAGAACTTCACAGACCAATAACAAAAGATCCAACATTAATATTATCGGAGTTGGGGAAGAAGAGGAGAAAGTCAGTGGGGCTGAAAGAGTATTTGAAGACATAATGGGTAAACATTTCCCAAATTTGTTAAACGAAATACACTCAGATTCAAGAAGTTTAATATATCCCAAATAGTATGAACCCAAAGAAATATATACCAGGACACATCATACTAAACTTCTGAAAAGACAGAAAATATTGAAAGCAGGCACAGAAACATGACTTGTTATCCTTAGGGGCACATGAATTGGAATGACAGTGAATTTCTTATCTAAAGCCATGGGGGCAAGTAGGAAGTGGCACAATATTTTTCAAGTGCCAAAAGAAAAGAACTGTAACTGTTGATCTACACAAATGTTGATGAATTTAAAAGATGTTATGCTAGATTAAAGGATGTAATGTTTAAAGTTAAACATTAAGTTGACTTGGTAGATAGCTGGTAAAACATTTCTAAGTGTGTGAGGGTGTTTTTGGAAAATAGTATTTGTTTATATTTTTTGTTTTTGGAAGTGTGCAATTACTTTAGTTTTTTTCAGCTTTATTGAGGTATAGACAAAAGATTAGTATTTGATTCAATAGACAAACAAGATCTGCCCTCACAAATGTGGGCAGGCATCACCTAGTTCATTGAAGGCCTAGATAGAACAAAAAGGGCAGAGGAAGTGCAAATTATCTTTCTCCTTGAGCTGGGACATACTTTTCCTGCCCTTAGACATCATATCTCCTGGTACTCAGGTCTTTGGACTCAGACTGGTAGTTTCACCATTCACTCTGTTGGTTCTCAGGCCTTTGGACTCAGACTGAATTGTGCCACCAGTTTTCATAGGTCTGCAGGTTATAGGTGGCATATTGTGGGATTTCTTGGCCTTCATAATTATGTAAGCCAATTCTGATTATAGATCTCCTCTTATCTCTGCACCTATCCACAGAGATAGAGAATCTATTATCTATCTACAGGGATAAGAGTGATATGCACAGGCGACAGGGAAATACTGGGTAGAAGAGGCGGTTCCCTGTCAAAGGCCCCACCCTGAAGCCAGGAAACCTGCAGCCCTAAATGGGAACAGTCATTCCTGTTTTTGCACCCAGCTGTTGCCTTTTGGCCCACCATGCCCCCCTCTCCTGAACCCTTATAAACCCCAAGTCCCAGGCTTCACAAGCAGAAGAGCAGAGGGTTGGAAGAGCAGGGTGGCAGAGAAGGAGAGAAGAGAAGGAACGTCTGAACATCGAGAGGTGGTTGGCTGGGGATGGTTGGAGAACAGATTGGCCACGGGATGGCCAAACTCCAGAGGAAGATCATCTTCCTACTGCAACTCCTCTCCAGCTCCCCATCCACCCTGCTGAGAGCCACTTCCGTCTGGCAATAAAATCCCCCACATTTGTCATCCTTCAATTTTTCCATGTCACCTGATTCTTCCTGGATGCCAGGCAAGGACCTTGGTACCAAGAGGGCACTGAGCTGGTTAACACTTAAGTGGTCTGCAGATGGCAGAGCTAAAGAGTACTGTAATATGCCCACTGGAGCTTTGGGAGTTGCAGGCACCCACCCATATATGGTAACGTGGGGCCAGAGTCCAAAAGTGCTTGCCCCAGCTCCTACACCTCCCTGTCTGCGTGCTTCCCCTCCCATGAGGGGTTTGAGCAGGAGGCAGCAGAACAGATGAGCCACACCCACCAATCATCCTGTGTAGGGGATCAGGGAACTCTCCTGTTTCAAGAGGAGATATGAGATACAGATAGGTAGCTAGCTAGCTGTGTACCTATCTACCTATCTACCTATCTATATCAGATTGGTTCTATTTTTCTGGAGAAACCTGAATAATACAGATTTTTGCCCCAAGAGTGGATCTAGAGGAACAGAATTTTAAGGATAAATTCTGTGAATTGGTTTTGAGGTTTCTGGAATTGTTTCTCTAATATGATTAAACTTGAAAATACTAATGACTTTACTTTCAGTGGTAAGATATTACTGATAGTCCATGACGTGAATTTTTTATTGAGATACCCAAAATATCTGCATTGGATAGTCCTAGTCAACTAAAGTAATGCGATATATAATACTTTCAAAAGATTTTGGAAAACTAAGGAAAATAATGACAATAATTCCCAGCTCAAGCACCACACAAATGACCTAAGACCTTCTAGGTGCACCCTGAGGGAGAGTGTTAGGTCTTGTAGCTTCAGGGCTGAAATTGCTGAAAATCAAATGCAAGACTTTATCCTGTGATTGGCTGAATTACAAGGCAAATATAACTCCCAGCCTCACAGGGTGCCCACTGATAAAGTGAGGGCATTGACTGGGAAAAAAATGGGATCCTGTAAATTGGGATGGAAAGCCTTGGTAAAGCTGGGAACATTGAGCCCCTCTGATGAGCCTTTGTTGCCCATGTCAACTTAAGGAAAGAAAATGAGGCAAAATTAATATAAGTAGAGAGTTTATATGGGCCAAGATTAAGGACTGCAGCCTAGGAGTAATAGATTCAAGTTGCCCTACATATATACCCAGATTAGCAGCAGTTACAAGTGGGTGTTTAAGAGAAAAAATAAGCTGGGGGCAGTTTCTAAGTTGCTTATCAATAATCTACATAGGTTCATTAAAATAACACAACACAAACTATTTGTTGGCTATGCATTGTTTTTGTATCACAGATTCCAGGAACATGAAGATATTGGGTGAGGGCCACATTGTGCAACTTATGGTAATGTTTTAGGAAATTTATCCGCTAGTCTGGAAACTGCAGGAAAGGAAAGAAAGCCAAAGTGCCTTTAAACAATTATGCCCAGGCACGGGTGCCAGGACATGAGTGAAGCCTCGTGCTCATCTCTCAGGGCCCGATAAATTTTGCAGACCTCACATTTCTAAGACGACTCGGAGCCACTTTTCTTTCTCACCAGTGGAACAGGTCTCCCTACCACCAGCAGAAGTAGCCACCCCACCCCTGGCAAAAGTGAATTCCCCAACCCCAGAGGAAGTGCCTCCCCATCCCCAGTGGCATCAACCTTTCCACCTCTGTCTGAGGGGATAACCCTGCACTGCCTGAGGAAATGGGAATGGCCTCCCGTAAGGCAGCTGTGGAGCAAGACAATGCTGATTCTCCTTAGGAGCCACCCCACCACCCCTCTTTGCTTTTAGGCCAAGTTCATCCAACCTGTGGCCTGCAGGCCACATGTGGCCCAAGACAGCTTTGAATGCAGTCCCATACAAATTCGTTAACTTTCTTAAAACTATGAAATTTTTTGGCCAGGCGCGGTGGCTCACGCCTGTAATCCCAGCACTTTGGGAGGCCAAGGCAGGCAGATCACGAGGTCAGGAGATCGAGACCATCCTGGCTAACATGGTAAAACCCCATCTCTACTAAAAACACAAAAAATTAGCCGAGTGTGGTCTCCGGAGCCTGTAGTCCCAGCTACTTGGGAGGCTGAGGCAGGAGAATGGCGTGAGCCCAGGGGGAAGAGCTTGCAGTGAGCCGAGATTGCGCCACTGCACTCCAGCCTGGGCGACAGCGAGACTCTGTCTCAAAAAAAAAAAAATTATGAAATTTTTTTGCTATTTTCTTTTTTTAGCCCATCAGCTATCATTAGTGTTACTGTAGTTTATGTGTGGCCCAAGACAATTCTTCTTCTAATGTGGCCCAGGGAAGCCAAAAGATTGGACACCCATATTCTAGACCTATAAGTAGACTCCAGTCCCGCAATCCCCTAAGGTGAGTTACAGAGTATGATCTCTGAGGAGGCTGACTACATCCAGGAACAGGTAGGAAACTGGGGAACATGTGTGGGAATGGATATTAGGGGTGTGAAAGGAAAATAAATATTGGGATGCCAAACTCATTAAGCCGAAGGGAAAAGTTAAGCTGGGAACTGGGTCATGCAAACCTGCCTCCCCTTTTGCTTCCTAACTAAGATGGCTACAAGATGAAAATCTTCATGCCTCCCCCACATTTTGTCCATGAGGAAATTCCTAGTGAGCTCCAAGATCTTTACCCTAAGGTGTGTCTGTTAAAATTTCACCATGATAATGTCAATTGTCTTTACAGTGCAGTCACCCCCCTGCCCTCCAGACACAAATGCATATCTGATCGGTCCCCTGCCCCATTTTGTCTGTTATCTTATGTAAAAATGCAGATTCCAGCATTTTTCCTCTGCCCCATTTGTCTATGTCATCTTATGTAAAACAATGCAAATTCACTGAGCCAGACAAATAAATGAATATTTTTCCCTACCCCACTCTCACATGAAAATTGTGTACCTCTCAATATCCTGCCCTTTCCTCTTTAAATTTGGAGCCCTCAAAATCATCTTTGAAGAAAGGCATAGACCTGTCTCCTGGGCATGCATCCTTAACTTTGGCAAATAAACCTCCTAAAATGATTGAGATTTGTCTCATCATTTTTCTCGATTGACAGGGGTATGAGACAATGGTGGAAGGAACATAAAGTTCCCCGTTTGTTGATACGGTCCCACAGAGCAGAGATTCTGCATTTAATGTTGTAGTTCAGGGAGTTACAAAAGGCTCTACCAGTTTGGTTTGTTGGCTGCAATCTGGATCAAAAGATGTCCCACTGTGAGTGAATTGGAAATGCCAGATATCCCTTGATTTAATGTAGAGGAAGGGATTCAAAGACTAAGGAAAATTAGAATGATGGAGTTAACTTATCATTTAGGAATTACTCATTCACACAGGGAAAGCCCAGAATACATACCTTTCGCCAATACTTAATGAAATGAATTTGTGACAAGAGACCTAGCTATTTTATGCTATGTTATGTTATGTTATGTTATGTTATGTTATGTTATGTTATGTTATGTTATGATGTAGCAGGATGAGCCGCAGACAAAACCTCTCAGACACCGAGTTGTAGAAGGAAGGGCTTTATTCAACTGGGAGCATCAGCAAGCTACTGCCTTAAAATCCGAGCTTCTTCGAGTGCACAATTTCCATCCCTTTTAAGGGCTCACAACACTAAAGATTTCATGTGAAAGGGTCGTGATTGATTGAGCAATCGAGGGGATACATGACAGGGGTTTCATGCACTGGTGGTCAGAGTGAAACAGAACAGAGCAGGGAGTTTCATAATATTCTTTTATACAATGCCTGAAATCTATGGGTAACATCGCGTTCTAAGTCATGAGTTGATTTTTAACTACTAGGTTTAGGCCGGGCAGGCCCAGGCCTGGTTTTGGGCCTGGTGCCAGGCTGCCTGTCTTTGATTTCACTTCCTTGTTTTTTTTCTTTTTTCTTTAAACAGGTACTGAGTATGAAACAATATAAAACAATATGAGAGGGTCTTTGTCTTCCCTCAATGAGATGGAGTCTCACTCTGTTGCCCAGGCTGGAGTGCAATGGCACAATCTCAGCTCACTGCAACCTCCACCTCTTGGGTTCAAGCGATTCTCTCACCTCAGCCTCCGGAGTAGCTGGGATTACAGATGCGTGCCAACATGCCCAGCTAATTTTTGTATTTTCTGTAGAAATGGGGTTTCACCCTGTTGGCCAGGCTGGTCTCAAACTCCTGACCTCAAGTGATCCACCCGCCTCGGCCTCCCAAAGTGCTGGGATTACAGGTGTGAGCTACCGCCCCCGGCCAAGCCTCTTTAATAATATATAATCCTTCTTTTCTTGGGAAGCCTCCGTACTACATAATGAAGTAGAAAGAAGTTGGGAGAATAGTAAGGAGGCATTTGTAAGAGTCCATGTGAGAAATCACAATAATTTGAATTACATAGAATAAGAAGAACTTTGGAAAGATGCTCTGAAAACAAGCAATAAGAAGATATTTCTGTAGAGAGGACCTGTGTGGCTTGAAGTCAATTGTGAGAGACAAGATGTTCACTGTACATAAGACGAACAGAGCGGTAAAGAGAGAGACTGGGCCCCTTCCAGCCTATGACTTAAGAGAGCTTCCATAAAGGTCTGCATGGTCTATGCTCATGACTTAAAACTAAGGGCCAGGAAAAGAGAGGAGAGGTAAAGACTCAAACTGAAGCAAAGGGCTCCTTGTTACAGTTTTGTGGGTGCAGTGACTCCCGAGGCAAAGTCCATATATAAGGATACAATGTGTTTGGGGGCATAGCCATTGGACCCTTTAAGTCATATTCTAGGCTACATAGCTTTTATGTCCAAAATGATCTGAGCTCCAGGACAGCTCTCTTATAGGAAACAATGCCAGATGAGGTCACTAGTGAAGGACTTGCTTTACCACAGGGAAATGGTACCATTTCTCTCAGGTCAATTAGGAGCTTTCAAAGAGAAATATAGATAGAGCTCCAATGTTTCAGGGCAGACAAAGTACAGTCAGGTGACATCTGCCATGCTGTGATGTAATACTGGCACTGTTGGTAAGATTATAATATTGACATCGAGAGCCAAATGTATTGTGAAATTCAGTTAAAAGTTTTCTGGCTCCCCCAGATATTAGTCATATAACAAGAATCGCAGTCAAAGAACAAGGGGTGGCTTGTTGCATAGTAATTAATTTGGCTGATCTTTTTCTCTGGGTCCTGAGAGGAGCCCTCTAAACCCTTGAAGTTTCCTATGATACAATTATATTTTGTTACTGATGGCGGGCCTGACAATATCTGAGCTTATGCTGTGGAGATGACACAGGATGGGGCCCATCACACCAGAAAGAACAACTGTGTGATTCAAGGGTTGGGCTTCGAAGCATGTGCTATCAGCCCAGCCTTCTGGGAGGAGAGAGAGGCTAGAGGCTGAGCTCAATAATGTGGCCAAAGATTCAATCCGTCATGTGTCCATAATGAAACCCTGATAAAAACTTTGGCCACGGAAGCTCAGGTGTGCTTTCCTGGGTAGTGATACACATCGATGCGCCAGGAGGGTGACTTGTCCTGAGGAAGCGGAAGTCGTGTGTCTCAGGTCCTCCTAAACCTTACCCTGACGGTTTCTTTCTTTGGCTGGTCCTGATTTACATCCTTTATTATATAACTGTAATTATAACTACAGCTTTTTCCTGAGTAATGTGTTATTCTAGCAAAGTTGTGTATCCAATTTGAGTGGGTAGTGGGAATCTCCAGCTTTGTAGCCAGTTGGTCAGAAGTGTGTGTGTCCTGGAAGCCCCCTCCCCTGCTTGTAGCTGATGTCTGAAATGAGGGAGGCCCTTTTAAGGCCCTGTGCCCTTGACCTGTGAGGTTTGACCTAATTCTGTGTAGATAGCATGACAATTGCACTGCACAGGACAGATAACCACCCCAAAATCTAAAAAGAGAGGTACAAACAGACACTGCAACTGATAAAGCCTAGAGATGTGCTTCAGACAGCAGGAGCCTCTAGAGCTATTGGTCCAAACAATGAAATGACAATTTTAACAAACTGCTGGAGGAAGAGTTTCTTAGGAGGCTCCCTCCAGTAACCTTGCCATATTTTTATGGTAAGAATCCCCAAAAGATCCCTTCATGCCTTTGCAGAAGAAGGAAAGAGTGACCATTGTGAAATGTAACCAGAGCCTTCTCCAGGGGAAGGACTTTACCAGAGCTCCATTCTGATACTGTATCCAAGCTTGGGGAAAGGAATCCCCCCTCACTTCAGCTCTCTTTAGCCTTCTTTCATCACGTAGTGGCAGAAATAATCATCAACGGATAGAGTGCTTCATGGAGATATACTGGGAGCTCGGCAGCCAGGGAAAGGAGCTAGAAGGTGAACATGCTACTGGAGGAAAGGCAGACACAGCTGGGATAGCCACAGCCATGAGCTACTGGCTTAGGAAATGACCCACACTTCATTAGAAGGTTGGAGAATGCTTACTGTCTTCTATATCCTATCATCACTGTTATAAAGCTTGAGTTTAAAAGCAGTGACTACAGCTGTTTTCAGTGGAATGAACTGAAAGACACAGACTCACTATGAGGAGCAGTGCAGAGACAAGCTGTGAAGCCAGGCGAAGAGCCAAAACAAAGACACTAAAGGAATTTGGAACTTCTGATACTTATGGCTGCAACAAACATTAAACATAGCTTAACTCTTAACCAAATTAACATACATTCTCACATAAAGGCCTATGTACCTCAGTTGTTATTACCTAATGCAATATCTGTCTTTTAACAAAAAAATTACACAAGACACGTCAAAGGCAGGAAAAAACAGTCTGAAGAGAAAGCAATCATCAGAATCAAACTCAGATACGACACAGATGTTGGAGTACCAGAGACGGAATGTAAAAATAACTGTGATAAATATGTTAAGGGCTCTCATGAAAAAAGTAGACAATGTGCAAGAACAAATGGATAATATCAGCACTAAGATGGTAGCTTCTAAAAGCCCATGAGCCAAAGAAGAAATCTCAAAAAGTGTTTCGGAATAAATGAAAAGGAAAATATAACTCATCAAAACTTATGGGTTGTAGCTAAAGCAGTGCTTAGAAAATAATTTATAGCACTCAGTTTCTGTATGCATATATTACAAAGTAAGAATTAATAATATAAATAAATTACGCTTGCACCTTAGGAGCTTGAGAAAGAACAGCAATTTAAACCTGAAGAGAACACAGAAAAGAAATCCATGCAAATTAGAATATACATCAATAAAATTTTAAACAGGAAAACAATAGAAAAATTCAACAAAACCAAAAGCTAGGCTTTCACAAACGTAAATAAAATTGATAAACCTCTTCCCAGGCATGAGCGTACAAGATGAGAGAAAGAGAGAATACAAATTACCAATATCAGCAATGAAAGAAGAATCATTACTACTGATTATTGATACCGTGCACTTTTAAAAGATTCTAAGATTCTACAAGCAACTTTATCCTTGTAAATTTGATACCTTAAATAAAGTGGACCAATTCCTTAAAAGACACAAACTAATAAATTCATGCAAGGAAAAACAGACTAGCCCTATACATATTTTCTTTTTTTTTTTTTTTCTGAGATGGAGTCTTGCTCTTTCGCCCAGGCCAGAGTGCAGTGGCGCTACCTCGGCTCACTGCAAGCGTCACCTCCTGGGGTTCACGCCATTCTCCTGCCTCAGCCTCCCAAGTAGCTGGGACTACAGGCGCCTGCCACCGCGCCCGGCTAATTTTTTATATTTTTAGTAGAGACGGGGTTTCACCGTGTTAACCAGGATTGTCTTGATCTCCTGACCTTGTGATCCACCCACCTCGGCCTCCCAAAGTGCTGGGATTACAGGCATGAGCCACCGCGCCCGGCCGCCCTATACATATTTTCTAAAAATTAAATTAATAATAAAAACCTTCCAAAAAAGCAACAGGCTCAAGCTCAGATGATTACACTGGTGAATTATACCAGTGAAAAAATTACTCTCCATATTTTTTTTCCAGAAAAGAGAAGCAGAGGAAAAACCTCCCAACTCATTTTATGATATCATCATTACTCTAATCCCAAAACCAGATAAAGACATTACAACATTGAAAAGAAACTATAGATCAGTATCTCTTATGAACCTAGACACAAAAGCTTCCACCAAACATTAGCAAGTCAAATCCAGTAATGTAGAAAAAGGATAATACATCACAACAAAATGGAGTCCGTTTCTGAATATAAGGATTCAATATTTTAAAATACATCATTGTACTTTATCATATTAATATTAATAGACTAAGAAAAACAACACAATTGTATCAGTAGAAGCAGAAGAAGCATTAAACAGAATTCAAGACCTGTTCATGATAGAAACTCCACAAAGTAATGTGAACTATGGATTTTGAGTGATAATAATGTGTCAGTGTATGTTTATAGTTTATAACAAATGTACCACTCTGGTGTGGGGGGTTGACAGTGGACGGGACTGTGTGTGAGTAGGGTGTATAGGGGGACTTTGTGTGGGTAGGGTGTATATGGGGACTGTGTGTGGGTAGGGTGTATATGGGAACTGCGTGTACTTTCTGCTCAATTTTGCTGTGAACCTAAAACTGCTTTAAAAAAAAAAATAAAGCCAGCCAGCTGCGATGGCTTATGCCTGTAATCTCAGCACTTTGGGAGGCCGAGGTGAGCAGATCGTGAGGTTGGGAGATCGAGACCATCCTGGTTAACATGGTGAAACCCCATCTCTACTAAAAATACAAAAAATTAGCCAGGCGTGGTGGCACTCACCTGTAGTCCCAGCTACTTGGGAGGCTGAGGCAGGAAAATCATTTGAACCGGGGAGGCAGAGGTTGCAGTGAGCTCAGATCACGCCACTGCACTCCAGCCTGGGTGACAGAGCGAGACTCTATCTCAAAATAAATAAATAAACAAATAAATAAATAAAGCCTATTTTATAAAAAAGAAAAATTCAGCCGGGCACGGTGGCTCACGCCTGTAATCCCAGCACTTTTTTGGGAGGCCGAGGTGGGTGGATCATGAGGTCAGGAGATCCAGACCATCCTGACTAACATGAGTGAAAGAATGGAGTGGTATATAATGTAGCAGAGTTGATAATTTAAGGCTAATTCACTATATATCTCCAAGCAAATAGATTTGTAATGCTTTTCCTGCCTAAAATCTGTACAGCTGATTCACAAATACTTGGTTGACAGGTTTTATATATCAGTGTGGCTCATCAGCTTGTATGTTGTTGGGGCCAGAATCTATACTTACACTTCATTCAAATTTGATTTTACAGAAGAGTTGTGGTTTTTATTTTTCTTTTAATTAAGAGGGCTGTGAAATTATCAACTATAACTCTAAATCTCATTTAATTCCTCCCATTAGGATTCAAGATGGATTGGCATCAAAGTTCACTTCTTTAACAAAAGTGCTTTATGACCTTAATAAAATATTAGAGAATGGTAGGATCCATGGAAGCCCTTTACAAAAACTTGTGATAGAAAGTTTTGATGATAAGCAGACTTTGCAACAACTGGAATTGCAAAATGACCCAATTTTACAAAGCTTCCAGAATGCAGTTAGTGAAACAAAGATGAAGATATCAGTATCCCAGAGAGTGAAGAACAGGAGCATGAAGAGGATGGTTCAGAGACAGAGGCTGATGGCCAGGAGGACCTAGAAGATTTAGAGGAGGAGGAGGAAGTGTCAGATATGGGTGGTGACAATCCTGAAGTGAGTGAGAGAGCAAACTCAAGCAAATTCGATCCGATGAAAAGCCCAGTTCTCAGTGATGAGGATTCTGACCTTGACTTTCATATCAACAAATTGGAACAGCAGAGCAAGGTGCAAAAAAAGGACACGGGAAACCAAGAGAAAAGTCCATAGCAGACGAGAAATTCTTCCAACTCTCTGAAATGGAGGCCTATTTAGAAAACAGAAAAAGAAGAGGAACGAAAAGATGGTAATGATGATGACGTAGAAGATACTGATTTTTTTAAGATATTGATTCTGATGAAGATGAAGGGGCACTGTTTAGAAGTAAAAAAACTTAAGGTAAAATTTTGAGAGAGGAGAGAGCACTTTCCTCCTCCTCAAATTACCTTTTGTTCTGTTTTTCTAGGACAGATGTAATTGTAGTTAGAAGATTTGGATCTAAGAAATATTGTGCTCTATCTTATCAGTTATAAATGAATCTGTACTTCCATTCAGTTTCTGTTCCAGTTGTTCTTATAATAGTTTTATGGTAATGTTTTTAGTTGCTGATTTCACCTAATAACTATTTTTGGCTTGTAGTGTTATTAAGTTAGAAAGTAACGTAGACATACAGTATACACACAAATATATATGTGTGTGCTAACGATGTATTTTTCTCTTCCTAATTAATAGTTTTAAAAATCTTTTTATTTTAGTCAGGTAAAAGTTCCAGAAATGTGAAGGACAAAGACTTTTTTTGATCCAGTTGAAAGTGATGAAGACATAGCAAGTGATGATGATGATGATCTGGGTTCAAACAAGCTGATGAAATTGCTGAAGAAGCAGCAGAAGAACTAAGCATTTCTGAAATGTAAGTATTTGAACCATCCTTTATATTGTGAGCTGGAACTGTCCAATCATGTATTGGTACTTGTGGTTTTCACATATGTTTGTTTTAAGAAGTTAGATTCTCTCCTATCAGATATTCTCAAGATAGCCACAGGAAAGTCTGTGTATTTGAAGGGACATTAGAGATCATTTAATGAAGAAAAATATTACTGGCAATGGCAATCAAACCTTTCTGACCAGGAACTTTGATTTGGTTTTGTGCCCCAAAAATCCTGTTATTTCTGTGAGATTGAACAATTTATTTTCTATATATTGGACACTTTTTGTTCTGTTTCTTACATAGCATTTCACTTAAATGATACCTTCTGTTCCTTAATACCTGAATGATTTTGGAACTTCTGAGTATTTGGTTGCATTAGGCATATAAAAGAAGAACTTTATTAAGGGAAATATGTTTCCTTTTGTTTTTCTAATGGAAAGCAGTATATTTCTTTTTATAAGAATTTTGTAGTGTAGGGATGAAGATGATGACCTGGAAGAAAGTGAAGACAGTAAACAATGTAAAGAAAGCTTGAAAAGAGTGACCTTCACTTTGCCAGATGATGAGGCAATTGAAGATGCAGGTGTTTCACATGTAAAGAAAAATTCTGATGAAGTTAAATCCTCTTTTAAAAAAAGACAGGAAAAGGTAATTAGGAATTTAAGGAATTTTTAATATGCTTGACATGATTGTGGAACTCACAGACTACTAACAAATCTTCCCTATTTTTCTTTTTTTTTTCTTGAGATAGAGTCTTGCTCTGTCACCCAGGCTGGAGTGCAATGGCATGATCTCAGCTCACTGCAGCCTCCACCTCCCGGGTTCAAGTGATTCTGCCTCAGCCTCCTGAGTAGCTGAGATTAGAGGTGCATGACACCATGCCTGGCTAATTTTTGTATTTTTAGAAGACATGGGGTTTCACCGTGTTGGGCAGGCTGGTCTCGAACTCCTGACCTCAGGTGATCCTCCTGCCTCAGCCTCCCAAAGTGCTGAGGTTACAGGCATGAGCCACTGTGCCCCAGCCTTCCTATTTTTCTTGTTGTAACTATTAACCATCCTTTGCAAACAAATATCTTGGCCAGGTGCAGTGGCTTATGCCTGTAATCCTAAAACTTTGGTTGTCTGATGCAGGAGGATCGCTTGAGCTCAGGAGTTCAAGATCAGCCTGGGTGACATAGTGAGATCTTGTCTCTTCAAAAAATACAAAAATTAGTGGGGGCATAGTGGTGTATGCCTGTAGTCCAGCTACTCAGGTGGCTGAGGCAGGAGGATCACTTGAGCCCAGGAGGTTGATGTTGCAGTGAGCTATGATCACATCACTGCTCTCCAGCTTGGGCGGTGGAGCAAGATCCTGTCTTCAAACAAACAAACAAAACCAAAAATCTTGCTGCCACTCTCTAAAGCAAAAGCACACTATATGGAGATGCCATATGGAAAGCATCTGATTTGCAAAAATCAGTGCCTGCATTACCCAGCCTATAGCTTTCAATTTGGGGCCTGTGTGTAAAATGGTTGTTTCTTTTCTGTCTCCCTTATGTCTTTATATGCATAGCATGTCTCTTCTGACAAAGCTGTCCCGACAGCCTCTTCTTGTAACTGTTTTGACTGCTCCGGAGGATGCCGCCTATGTCTTTAAGGTGCTCCACAGATTTTGGTGAGTGCCAAATAGCCGTAATTTTAATTAATACCATGACAAAGATATCTTCCAAAGTATGTCATGATTTCAGACAAGTGAAATTTCATTTAATTTTTGTAGATGTAGTCTGGCTCCAATAATTGGGCTATATTATTTATCCAATCTTAAAATTTTATTATAAAAATGAGAATAGTGCCAGGTACAGTAGCTCACACTTGTAATCCCAGCACTTTGGGAGGCTCAGAAGGGAGGATTGCTTGAGCCCAGGAGTTCGAGACCAGCCTGGGCAACATGTTGAAACCCCATCTCCACTAAAAATATAAAAAATTAGCTGGGTGTGGTAGCGTGAGCCTATAGTCTCTGCTACTCAAGAGGCTGATCGGGGATGATCGCTTGAGTCCAGGAGTTCAAGGCTGCAGTGAGCTATGATTGGACTATGGCACTCCAGCCTGGGCAACAGAGCTGCAGAATAGGTAAATAAATGATACCAAGAATATCAAAAGAATTATTTTTAAAATCTGTGAATCTAAATTAAATTCATCATTGTCAGATTGTCCCCAGAAGATAAATTCTAAAGGGAAAAAACAAAACATAAAATATCAACGAGTTAATGTCCTCCTGTCCCGCTCCTCCCACCCTCCCCCAACAAGAAAGAAAAAAAGGTTTGGTTTTGCTTTGAAATTATATCAGACCTTCAAGTAAAATTTTCAATAAATCACAAATAATTTATTGAAATTTCCACATATAAAGAATAAAGTAGAACTTTCAAACTTTTTTCTTTTGAAACTGTTCGAACATGAAAACCCAAACCTGACAAAGGTACCTGACAAAGGTAACATTAAAACAGACACACTCTCTCATTCATGGCTAGTGATGCAAACATAGCACAGTGGGAAAATTATGCCGCACAATCACATGAAGCTCATTCCCTTGAATCACTACTAGAAGATCTGGTATGATTCCTGGTTGCAAGACATTAAGAAGAAAATACATGGTTCCCTCCATATATGTTAGAAAGACATTTGATAAAATTCAATATTTATTTCTAATTTTTTTTACTCCTAGTGGATTATAAATACATCTAGCCAAAAGCTGCCATCATGCATGATGAGTGAAACTGTAGAAACATCCCTTTAAGATCAGGAATAAGACAAAATGTCCAGTATTGCAGTTATCCCTGTTAATTAACACTAACAGTTAATAACCACATAAGCCAGTGCAACTACAAAAGATAAAGAGAAGGGATTAGGAAAACTGCCAGGAGCAGTGGTTCTCACCTGCAATCCCAGCACTTTGGGAGCTCAGGAGCTCCCAGCACTTGAGCTCAGGAGTTTGAGACCAGCCTGGGCAACGTAGTGAGACCTCATCTCTGCAAAAAATACAAAATTAGCTGGGTGTGGTTACATGCACCTGTGGTCCCAGCTACTTGGGAGACTGAGGTAAAAGGACTGCTTGAGCCTGGGAGTTGGAGGTTGCAATGAGCTGAGATCATGCAACTGTACTCCAGAGCAAGACTCTGTCTCAAAAAAAAAAAAAAAAAAAAAAAAGATTAGGGATACTAAAACGAAAACATTAGTGTTTGGAGAGAAAACCGAATGGATAAATGGAATCGATATTAGGAAAATAAGAGAATTCTGTAAGGTAGCTGAAAAAGCTGACATTTTATACATTGAAGTCATAATTGTTCATAACTTTTAGAAGTTAGAGATAATAAGAATTTGAGTTTAGAGTCAAAAGGGTCAGGCTCCATCAAATACTAATATCCTAATCAAAGAATTACTTGGCCAGGTGCGGCGGCTCATGCCTGTAATCCCAGCACTTTGGGAGGCCAAGGCAGACACATCACGAGGTCAGGAGATCGAGACCATCCTGGCTAACACGGTGAAACCCCGTCTCTTCTGAAAATAGAAAAAATTAGCCGGGCGAGGTGGCGGGTGCCTGTAGTCCCAGCTACTCGGGAGGCTGAGGCAGGAGAATGGTGTGAACCCGGGAGGTGGAGCTTTCAGTGAGCCGAAATCACGCCACTGCACTCCAGCCTGGGCAACAGAGCGAGAGACTTTGTCTCGAAAAGAAAAA
The DNA here is from genome assembly GCF_000001405.40 of Homo sapiens. Classification (NCBI taxonomy): domain Eukaryota; kingdom Metazoa; phylum Chordata; class Mammalia; order Primates; family Hominidae; genus Homo; species Homo sapiens. The sequence continues at coordinate 4,710,002 of NT_187660.1, read as the reverse complement.
AAAGAATTATTTAACTTAACTTTAGGGTGCTCTAATAATCAAAATTGATAGTGGCTTGTGAACAGATAGATCACTTGAATAGAATAGAGCCCAGAAATAAACCCAAATGCTTCTGGGGGAGTTTAGTATATTATAAACATGGCATTTCAAATCAATGAGGAAAAGAAATCATTTGCAGCTCACCCCACCATAGGCAGCAGGAATAGGAAGTCATTGGCACAATAAAAAGATGGTAAGGACAGAATTGTAGAACAGTACATTTCTTGCTTCCCCACTTTTCAAAGTATTTTTTGCTTTTACACAAGTATAAGTGTAATTTGATTTTCTCAATGTATACTAATTCTTTTGTCTCTTTCTTAGATGAATGAAAAAAATTACACCTTTAGAAAAAGAGTTGTTAGAAAAAAGCCTTGGTTGCGTCTGGGGGAAGTGACAGCACAGAAGGGACCAGAGAATAGCCTGCTGGAGGAGACCCTGCACTTTGACCATGCTGTCCGGATGGGTACGGTGCCCTCTTCTGCAAAGTTTTTCTATGGTTCCATTTTGTAGGAAGATTTGGGGTGATGTTTCTTTTCCCTCAACTTTTTATTTTAAAAACTTGCAAACACAGAAAAGTTGATAAAATAATACAGTGAACATCAGTATGCTATTCAACTGGATTCACCAATTAACATTTTATCATATTTGTTTTGTCTCCCCTGCATATGGAAGATTGTATATGTGCCCTTTTCCCCCCTGAATCATTTCAAAGTAAGTTGCCAGTATCAGCATTTCAGTGTTAAGTACTTTCGCAGATATCTTCTAGGAACCAGGACGTTCTCCTATATAATCACAATACCATTAATCCCACCCCAAAAATTTAACATCAATACACTAATGATACCTACTGTATAGATTATAATCAGCTTTCTTGCAGTAATCTGTTTAGAAGGCTTGCACCCTGTCACCATCCACTGATTAAATTTTGAACTCTAACTTGAAACCCTGCTCATCTCATTGCCTTCTTTCTTATACCCATTAAGTCAAAAAGAGCTCTCATTTTATTTCAACGGAAAAGAGAATGGAAAAGAGGGGAAGGTACCTGGGATAAAGTATGAGCACTTACTGCCATATGTATTCTAGTTCTGTAGTTTTCAAACTTCAGGGAGCATCTCAAGGCTTATTAAAGGACAGACAGCTGTCCCTCTTCCCCACTTTCTGATTCAGGAGGTGTGGGGCTGGCCCAGGAATTTACATGTCTAACAAGTTCCCACATGTTGCTGATGCTGAGGGTCTAAGGACTACAATGGGAGAATCCGTGGTTTAGTGGATATCCACCTAAAGAATACTTGTTGTATTTCCTTTAGTGCCTGTGATTACAGAGGAAATACCTTTCAACTGGAAGATATCATTAAACACAGGAAAAGAGATCAGGTCAGTAAGAATTAAATTTAACTTAATTGAAATGTCACTGAAATTTTTAGAAATAATATGACAGGCCAGGCACAGTGGCTCATGCCTGTAATCCCAGCACTTTGGGAGGCCAAGGCGGACAGATCTCTTGAGGTCAAGAGTTTGAGACCAGGCTGTCCAAGATGGTAAACCCCCCTCTCTACTAAAAATACAAAAATTAGCTGGGCATGGTAGTGCATGCCTGTAGTCCCAGCTACTTGGGAGGCTGAGGCAGGGGAATTGCTTGAACTCGGGAGATGGAGGTTGCAGTGAGCTGAGATGCGCCACTGCACTCTGAGACTCTATCTCAAAATAAATAAATAAATAAATAAATAAATAAAATAAATAAATAAAAATAAAAAATAAAGGGAAGATGGGGCAGCTTTGTGTAGTGCACTTCCCGAAAATGGGCTGATTTCCCTCAAGAGGCAGGGATTGAAGCTCTCTAGCCTACATGGGATACATACAGGAGAAAAAAGAAGAAAAAGAAAAGAAATGTAAACATAAATAAATGAAAATAACACTTCTCCCTGATTATAAAGGAAATCACATTCTTTTTGTAATAATTTGGATGACAAAATATAAAGAAAAATCTTTAATTTTGCCACTCAAAACATTCTGGTTTGTTGCTTTTTACACTTTTTATGCATATAAACATATTTAAAAGTAGAATCTGCCATGTTGAGACTGTGAGGTTGAAGCCTTCGGGAAAGAACATCAAGATGAATGGAGTCTGAGTTCCTGACAACATGGAGCATCATGCCAGCCATGAACCACTTCTGAGACATCCCTATGAGACAAAAATAAACTTCCATGTTCTTTAATTTATCATTTTGGAGGGTTTTCTGTTATTGCCGCAAAACCTAATCTTAACTAATACAGACATTGTATCTGAAATTCCCAGGAAAATCCCTGTAAACGTGTTGCTTGCCACGAATAACTGGCCTCTACCAGTATCACATTCCAGATGAGCAGAACAGGGAAAGGATTGGAAGACAAGAGAGGGGAGGAACACACCTCGCTCTCTCCTGCTATTGGCTGTGCCTGGCTGCAAGCTAGAAATGCTGGGTCCATTGCAAATGGCCACACATCTAAGGCCCTACCACCATGGGAACAGCCACTGGGAGATAACTAGCAGCTTTTACCATTTGTCATTTAATTATTTTAAAGTTAGAAACTTTTTCTTTTTGAATGTCTGAAAGAGAATGGCCTGAGAAATATTTTGGAAAAGTTAAATAAAGCTGATTTGTGACTGTTAAAAAAAATAAAAGTACAATCATAGTAAATGGGCTTTTGTCACTTATTATATTTTAAACATGTTTCTAGGGCAGAAGTATATCCTGGCATCATCATTTTTAATAGCTGGATTATGTTAAGTGAATCATTGCCACCCCAGAGGTGAATTTCCTCTATATACATTTTAATGGACTCCAGTAAGGATTTTTGCACTGAATTCATAGAAGTAGAATTTCTAGAGGAAAATAATGTAAAACTGTTTTAGGATTTTTAAAAGAAATGTTCAAATTATCCTGTAGGAAAATTGGTTCAGTTTATGCTCCCACCAACAGGGACAGAGCTCCAGGTTCCCCCTTCCATTTGTCATCTTTGCTGGTCTTTAAGCAGAAAATCTCATTGTTTTCATTACATTTCTTTGATTTCTAGTGCTTTTGAATCTTTTTCGTTTGCTCATTGGCCATTTTTATTCTTGTGGGAAGTGCCGGTTTCTCCATTGCCCATTTTCTGCTGGAAATCATTCATTTTTTTAATGAGTAATTTTAAATTTTTCTTTTTAGGCTAAGGATAAGTCAGGATCAGTCAGTTCAAGACTAGACTGATCAACATGGAGAAACCCCGTCTCTACTAAAAAGACAAAATTAGCTGGGTGTGGTGGCACATGCCTATAATCCCAGCTACTCAGGACTCTGAGGCAGGAGAATTGCTTGAATCCAGGAGGTGGAGGTTGTGGTGAGCCGAGATTGCACCATTGCACTCCAGCCAGGGCAACAAGAGCCAAACTCTGCAAGAAAGAAAAAGCAAGAAAGCAAGAAAGCAAGAAAGCAAGGGAAGCACGGGAAGCAAGGGAGAAAGGAAATAAAGGGAAGAAAGAAAGAAGGAAGGAAGAAAGGAAGGAAGGAAGGAAGGAAGGAAGGAAAGAAAGAAAGAAGAAAGAAAGAAAGAGAAAACAAAGAAAAAACAAATGAGACCATGGGCTTGGAAATGCCTTGAGAACATGTCAGGTGTGATTGAGAGTGAGGGAGTGTTACTGTGGAGTATCAGTGTAGCTGTTGTTCTGGTCGTCCAGCTACTCCTCTGCCTGCTCTATCCTGACTTAACCTTTCTCTATTTGCAGTACATCGAGAAATTAACAAAGGAGAGGGACGCTCCGAGTCTGGAACTGTACAGGAACACGTAGGATGGGGGAAGGTGGAATGGGAGGTCTGGGGGCCCTTAGAGTGGGTGGTGTGCTGGGAGGTGGGGGGTACAGGTGAGCATGGTGAGAGGCTTCTACAGGTTTTCATGTGTGCACAGGGAAGCTCTAGTGCCGGCGGTGCCACTGACTCATGGGGAAGCCTCAGGCAACTCATGTCTTCTCTCTGGCCTGCCACCTGTGACTTTTAATTCCTGGGGTCCTTTCCAATGCCACCGTTCTGTGGTTGTGGGGTGAAAGTAGAGGGTTGATCACCAAAGCGGTCCTTTCTATTCTTCGTTCATTCCTTTCTCTACTGCCTCTGGCCACAGCATAACCGATGAGGAGTTGAAGGAGAAAAATGCCGAACTACAAGAAAAACTTCGACTTGTAGAATCTGAAAAGTCTGAGATCCAGCTCAACGTAAAGGACCTTAAAAGGAAGCTGGAAAGGGCCCAGCTCCTGCTGCCACAGGCGAGCAGCTGCAGCCCCGGGGGTTGTGGGAGCCCCATCCGGCTGGGGCCATGGTCTAGGGATCATGTAGGGTGTGGGGAGGCTCCAGCCAAGAGCTGGAAAATTTGGGTCCTTGTTCTGGTCCCACCATAGAATCCTCTGGAGTGTGCTAAAAATATACAAATTGGGGCCCTGCCTGGGGAATCAGAATCTCAGAGTTTGGGCTTAAAAAAATATTTTTCAAAGGATCATAGATGAAAACCATTATTTTATAGATTACATTTATATGGCTAGCTCATGAGTCTGTTTCCTTCTGAGGTTTGAACCAACACTTTCACTATTCCAGCAGCAGCTGCAGGTGGAGGCTGACCACCTGGGTAAGGAGCTACAGAGTGTGTCAGCAAAGCTCCAAGCCCAGGTGGAAGAGAACGAGTTGTGGAACCTCCTGAACCAGCAACAAGAGGAGAAGATGTGGAGGCAGGAGGAGAAGATACAGGAGCAGGAAGAGAAGATGTGTGAGCAGGAGCTGAAGATAAGGGAGCAGGAGGAGAAGATGTGGAGGCAGGAGGAGAAGATGCATGAGCAGGAAGAGAAGATACGGGAGCAGGAGGACAAGATGTGGAGGCAGGAGGAGAAGATACGGGAGGAGGAGAAGATGCAGGAACAGGAGGAGAAGATGCAGAGGCAGGAGGAGAAGATGCGGGAGCAGGAAGTGAGGCTGTGGCACCAGGAGGAGAAGATGCAGGAACAGGAGGTGAGGCTGCAGGAGCTGGAGGAGAGGCTGGGGAAGCTGGGGCAGAAGGCGGAGCTCTTGGGGGGAGCAGGCAGAGGTGTGTGCAAACCCTGGAGATCATACAGAACGACCTCACCACAACTTAGCAGATGGTGGTTGGCTCCCTCTGCTTTTCCACCAGTCTGCGGCCTACAGTTTAAATGGTGGGAAGAAGGGTGTGAGATTTGAGGCTGGGGAGGGAGGCATGGGCCTCTAGGCAAGGGAGGCAGTCACTTAGGCCTGGAGGAAGGGGCCAGGGCCAGGGGCCTGAGCAGGCGACAGAGCCCCGCAGTGCCCTTGCCACCCTGTTTATGGGCCCAGAATCTGGAAGCCAGCGACTACCTACCCTGACGCCTATCCTGCAGGTGGAGCTGAAGAGCCAAGAGGCTCAGAGTCTGCAGCAGCAGCAAGACCACTACCGGGGTCACCTGCAGCAGTACGTGGCCGCCTATCAGCAGCTGGCCTCTGGGAAGGAGGCACTGCCCAGCTGCAGCAGCAGGAAGCTCAGGGCGAAGCGGTGGCTGAGATGGCCCACCAATAGTTGCAGGAGACCCAGCTGAGGGAGTTGATGAGGGTGGGGCCCTGAGGGGGACGACCTGGCAAACTCGGTGCCTTCTCACTCTCTTTCCTGGCCCCTTAGGAGCACCTGGAAGCTGCCATCTACCAAGCAGATGACAAGAACACAAATATAATAAACATGTAAAAGCCGGCAGCAAGGCCTGGAGAAGAGTAAGCTGCCATGTGACTGTTTAGAATAGAGTCTGAGCACAAACCTGAAAAAAAAAAAAAGAAAATTTATTTATTTTAAATTTTGGCAAAATACTGGCCAGGCACGGTGGCTCATGCCTGTAATCCCAGCAATTTGAGAGGCTGAGGTGAATGGATGACCTGAGGTCAGGAGTTCAAGGCCAGCCTGGCCAATACAAAAATTAGCCGGGCATGGTGGCACATGCCTGTAATCCCAACTACTTGGGAGGCTGAGGCAGGAGAATCACTTGAACCTGGGAGGCAGAGGTTGCAGTGAGCTGAGATTGTGCCACTGCACTCAAGCCTGGGTGACAGAGTGAGACTCTGTCTCAAAAAAAAAAAAAAGTTTCTTCCTTACATGTATGTTTCTATTAGTTTTTTTCTTGGTCTTTCTCATTTAGTCTGATGTTGTCTTATGGCATTCCTAGTAAAGTTTTATCTGCCTCCAGAGAGTATTGACTTTGACTTTATGGCACACAATTGGAGTAAGGGCAGATCGCCTTCATCTAGTTTGTGACTAAGCTAGTTCAAAGCAGGTTTTAGGTTTTGTGATGGCTGGTCTATATTTTATTCATTTGGACTCCTAGGGGTGGCCCTTCCAGGGTCCCCACCAATGTCCCATCTCCTTCCTGGGACCCAAATTCTCATTAGGTCATTTCAGCCCTGTGAGAGTGCCAACATTCAGCTAGGCTCTCCAGCCCCTTAACTACCACTTCATATTCAGTTTCTTAGCCTCTTAGCCCTCTACTGTTGACCGATCACCAAATGTGGGAAAAGCACTACAGACTGTCAGGATCACCTCCCAGGCCTGGTCACTCAAGTGCTGGCTGAGGTCTCCAATTACCTTCCAACAATTGTTTTTGGTGGTGGGGCACATTTTTGTCCAGTTTTTCTAACTGTTCCTATGGGGAGGCGAATCTGTAACAAGCTCCTCTGCCTTTAGTGAAAGTTGAAAACCTTCATCTGTCTCTCTCTCTTTTTTTTTTTTTTTTTTTTGAGATGGAGTCTTGGTCTGTTGCCCAGGCTCTAGTGCAGTGGCATGATCTCTGCTCACTGTAACCTCTGCCTCCTGGGTTCAAGCAATTCTCCTGCCTCAGCTTCCCGAGTAGCTGGGATTACAGGCGTGTGCCACCATGCCTGGCTAATTTTTATTTTTTAAATAGAGACAGGATTTCACCACATTTTCCAGGCTGGTCTCGAGCTCCTGACTCAGGTGAGCTACCTGCCTCAGCCTCCCAAAGTGCTGGGATTACAGACGTGAGCCATTGCATCCGGCCCATCTGTCTTTTAAGAAATGTATTTAATTTGAGGTATAATTTATATTCAGTGAAATGCACAGATCTGGTTTCCATTTTGATCAGTTTCAACAAATGCATTACCCATGTAACCCACCTCCTTTGAAGATATAGGGTATTTCTATCATCCAGAAAGTTCTCCTACGCTTTCATCCTGTCTGGCACTCCCCCAGCAGCTGAAGAACGTGCTGAGGACATTGGTACAGGATTCTGGCCTCCCCAGAAGAGCTGCTTTGACAAGCCTTCTTGCCTTACCCAGCACTAAATCCCTGCCTACTCTCTCAAAATTTCCATCTTTTAACTGGTTGTACGTATAACCCTCCCTCATCAAGTCAATAGATAAACAAACCCTGAAAAATAAACACCCCTTCCTGGCCCAGCAGCCCACAGCCTAATATTTACTGTCTTCCCGGGCTTTCAGAAATGCAACTCGCCTGCCGGTTCACCCTAACTAGGGCGGCAGCTGCACGGGAGCTGCTGGGCTCACCCGTTAAGCAAGAAGCCAATAGCTGGACAGTGACACTCAGACCCCAGCCTGGGTGAGCCTGGTTGAAAGCCCCCTTCTTTCCCGTCCGACTGTGGAGAAAGGGGGCGGAGCACACACAACTCTACTGCCCTCCGCATCCTTCACCTGTGCTTCCTCCTGGGAGAGGGAGCTACTCATTAATTCGGCCAAAACCTTCTTGAGGGCTGTAGGTTTCACAGGCTGGGTGTGTGGGGGCCACCATGCTAGAGAGAGAGGCTGGTGTGTCAGAAGGCAGCCACCTGGCCAGGGGAGGGTCAACCTGCTTGGTGACCTCCTTCCCCCGGCTGGACACAGCGCCCTGCACTCTCTACATGTGACTGTTCCCCTCAGAGCTGCTTCCAGAGGAGAGGTTCTAACCCTGTGGGTGGGGACATTGTGTTACTTTACAGTGGGCCATGGCTCCCTCTGACATCTCCAACTCAGAGGCAGTAGAGAGAAGATGAGAAACTCCATGCACCTCCTCGCTCAGCACCCCCACCTCTGCACACGTCCACATATGGAGACCCTGACGATGGGCCCTGGGAGTGCCGCCATCTGCGCCTCCTTTCCATGCCTGCAGCAGCCATGCCCACTCTCCAGACCCTCACCCGCCTCGCTCAGTAGACGCTGCACTGCCTGTGGTCCTGCCCCTACACCTGGGCCTCTGTACCCATCGGTTCTCGCAGTCTGGTTCTTATTCCTCGCAAAGAGTAGGGAGCCTGTAAGGTCACCTGTTGAGCAAGCTGGGGGAGAGAGTAGGGTGGGGCTGGGAGGATGAGGAGGAGAAGCTGATGGTCGTGCTGGAGACTCAGCTGAGCAGAGTCTCTGCAGGCCCATTGGCTGCCTAGCCAGTGGTGATCCTGCTCCCACCCTCATTTCTTCTTTGTTAACAAAACCATGACCTCATTAAATATTGGACACCTATAAACCTCATGGACCCTCCTCCAGCCTCCCCGCCATGTATTGGTGAGTCTAAGTCAACTCTAGTCATTTCATTCCTCTGGACATTGATTGCTTTGGGCTTGGGCATGAGCTGCCTCTTCGCCTGAGCCTGAGCCACAGGTGCCCTCTGCACCTACCACACTGATGCACTGGGCCAGGGAGAGCTCCATCTCGATGGAGATGAGCTGTGAGGAGCTGGCGGCTGGGCGGATCAGGTTGTGGTAACGGGTTTTGTTCAGAAGGTCGTCCATCAGCTTCTGCTCGGCAGGGCCATGCGGCAGAACCCTGCGTAAACACACAGACCTGCTTGGTCCTTGTGCAGCTGTCCCCCACTGCAGCTGACAGCTATGAAGCAGGAGCTGAGAGGGCCAGGGAGCACAGACACCCTGAGAGCTGGCTGAAGCAGTGAAGGGGCTGGCCGGCCTGGCTCTCCCTGGGGACTTCAAATGACATTCATGACAGAGCTCAGCTACCTCCTCCCATGCCATACCTCTTCCTCCTCCTCCTCCCTCAATCAATGAACAGCATCCCACGCTCTACACATCTGATACAAAACTGGGTGTCTCTTCCTGACCCCTCCCTTGGTTCATATAAGTGGCCACCAAGTCCTGTCTGTCCTCCCATCTCCACGGCTACAGCCATGTCCCTGCCTCCCCCGCCCTGCCCACCTTCTATTCTCTCCACCCACACTCTGCCCGTGCCATCCATGTGCCATACAGTGGCAGACTGGTCTTTCTACAGCAAACTGGACTTGGGCCCTTCCCTACCCACAGCTCTCAGAGCTGGAGGTGGAGTTGAAACTCATGTTTTGGCTTGGCATTCAGAGCTCTTTCCCCCTCAGCTCTGGCTTATCCAGAGTGCTCACAGTGCAGGGCAGGAGCCCCATCACTCAAGTGTGGGTTTGGTGCAGAACTGGGTCAGAGGTGGTGCTTTCCCTATGAAGAGACAGGGCTGAGATGGGATATTCGGGGTTCAGAGTCAGATCTATGGAGTGCAAGGTTTCTCTGAGGCACCAAATGGAGGGGTCCAGCTAGCAGCTGGCTCCTGGTCTGGAGCTTCAAGGAGAGGTCTCAGCTCAGAGCCACATTCAATAGCCAGCTTACATGCGGCCTCCTGCAGGGAGCCCCTGGAGCTTCCACAGCCTCCGATCTGCCCCTCTGCATACCCCAGATCTCCTGCTAAGTGGCGTTTGGGTCTTCATGTCATCTCCCTCCCATGTCTGGGAGTAAAGGTGAGGTGCAGGGACTTGCGCTTGTGTACTCTGGTGTCTTAAGGGAGAGTGTGTCAAGTAGAGTGGAGGCAGCTTGGAAAGAGGGAGACTCAGAGGAGAGTGAAGGACACATGACCAGGCGAGCCTGGGAGCAGGAAAAGAGTGAGCAGAGGAAACTGCTGGGTCAGGGGAGTGGATGGGAGGATCAGGGAATGCGGGGGGCTGGAGAGGTGGGTGTGGGGATGCTGGCAAGGGGCTGCCTGGCTCGCCAGGCTCAGGAGTTTTTACATCCTCCCACAATGGCCAGCTCACCTGGTCGCTCCAAAGCCCTCCCTCTGTGGGTGGGACCAGAGGGCCCAGAGCACGGATGACCCAGTTGAGCAGGACTGAGGTGGACTCAGGTGGGTGCTGGGCTGGACTCCTGGCCGTAGGGAGCAGCTGCCACCCTGCCTACTGCATCCACATTCCAACTCGCTGCCTATCTGAGCAGATGCAATATTGGGCACCTTGTGGAACATGCTCCTGGTGCACCTGCTGCCTCCTGCCCTTCCTGCAGAGTGCCCGGGCTCTCCAGAGGGGATTCCTGTGGAGGCTTGGCCTAGATTCTGAGTCCTGCCTCTCATACCCGGGGCTGCTACCCAAGAGGCCAGCTGCTTGAGTACCCTGGAAGCCAGTCTGTAGCCCCAGGCTACAGCTGGGTGCATCCCACAGCCCTTCTTTAGTTTACCTATTTGGACTGAGTGCTCATTTCATAGAGAGGGGTGTGTCTTTCCCCAGCCCATCTGGCATGTCTAAGGCAGCTGTGGGGTCAGAATCTGCAGCTCCCAGCCCCTAGCCCTGCAATAGTAGGAGAGGCTGGACCCCACATCTCTGAAGTCCCACTGGGCTGGTGCAAGTGGGCTCCCAAGTTCAGAGCTGCTGTGCAGGCTGTGGGGCTCATGCACCTGTTCTGAACCCACCTGATGTGCTCAGGTTACTCACCTTTGGGCCTGTCCTGCCTCTCTGGCATTCGGCTGACCCTGAGGGCCTCTCCCTCATCTTGACCACCAGCTATGGGCTCTGACTTAGGGGTTCCCAGAACCTTAGACCATTTGGCCGACCCCCCATTTCTCAGCTAAGGAAACAGGCCAAAAAGGGGAAGCAGCTTTCTCAAGGACCCCCAGCAAGTCAGAGGCAGAACCAGGTCTAGGAACCTCTTTTTGACAGAGGTTCTCCCTGTCCCCTGAGCCTTCTTTAGTGCCTCATTAACTTCCCTGTAAGGAGACTGCCCCGCTGAGGCTGGAAATGGTGCTGTCCAGGGTGGTGTGTGCCCGTGACTGTGCTTGTGTTTGTACTTGTGAGTGTGTATGGGGGTGGGGATGAGGGGTGGGAATAAACGGCAGGGATGCTGGGGGCTGGAATACACTCTGCCTCACCCCAAAAAGGGGCACAGCAGAGCCCAGCCAAGCACAGCACATGCTTCGACTTTCCAGTCCGCTGAATGAGTGTGAGGCCGGCTGGGCCCAGAAGACAAGGGACAGGCCTTTCCCCACAGACGGCAGGGGGGCCCAGGATGGGTGGAAGATTTTGCCACAGCTTTGGGGATCCCATCCCAGCCCATGGGCTGACTGTTAAGCAGAAAAGCCACCTCTAGGGGTCAGTCATGATCTAGTGATTCTGATGAGGAGGGGGCCCCACCAGCCTCTGTCCAGGGTCTTGTCTGGGAAAAACTGCTCCCTGGCAGAAACGGGCTAATAATTTGAGAGGAAGCCATAGCTGAAATCCTAAACTGTGTGAGTGTGTGTCCAGTTTGAAAAAGCATATTTGACCTAAACATTTATATTGAAAAAATGGAAAGATATTCCCCTTGTTTTGGAATACAAACTACAGAAAGTAACAGTTAACAGAATCCTATTGGAAAGGTCAGATTCTGCATCTGGAAAGGCACAGTGATTTTCAACTGGGGTGTGTGTCCTTAACTGAGGAAGGGAAGGTGAGATTTATGTTTAGTAAAAGGCAGCTATGAATTTACCTTTTATAAAGAGCTTGCCATATACTATTAGTGCTTTTTCAATCATGTCAGAATCTGCCGGATGCCTGTGGAAATGCAAATTCCCAGGCTTCATTCCCAGAGATTCTGGTCCTGTGAGCCTAGGGTGGGGCCCAGCAAACTCTATGGGGTGGTGCAGGCTGCCCCAGGACCACACCAAGAAACACTGCAACTGGCCCCCACACACATCCCAGTCCCCAAATATGTAGGCAGGCATCTTATCTCCATGGAACAGATAGGGAAACTGAGGTCAGAGTGGGGAAAGAAATGTCATGGGGTCACCCAGGAAGTAGTAGCATAGCCACGATACACCCACTGCCTGCAGACACCATCTCTGATGGCAGCTCCACCTCCCTACAGGAACCTTGCCTACCCCCACCCCTACCTCCTGTTGCCCCTATGCTGGGTCTCTGTCCAAGGAAGATGTAGCCCTGGTCCTCTAGGCTGACTGGGGCTTGGCCCAGAGTGTGGGAGTTAGAAGGGTCCTTGGAATTC